>NC_000014.9:32945046-33248076 GCF_000001405.40 Homo sapiens
GCTTTGGTTGTAGGCTTGCCCTTCTATTGGTTATACAAAATATTATAGAGAGCCAGAAGATACCCTTTTCTAAAAGAGTAAGAAGTAATGAATTCATAGAAATATAAGGCTTTCTTTTTTCACTTCTGTTAGCTTAGTGTTCTGTGAGGATAGTTATTCAACTTGTAAAATATTGTAATTAGTGACTACAAAGTGATTAGAGGCTCCTGGAGGACAGAGAGAGAAAAGATACTGTATAAATTGAAGTGAAATTGTAGTAAATTTTATAAAAGTTATTTTGATGGGATTTAAAAATAAAAATAGGTTATATACGATGATGATTATATAATAATATAAACATTGGACACTGCCATGTTTCAGACACTATATTACATGCTTCACAATAATTTTCTCTTTAGTTTCCCCACTGACCTATGAGGGAAGTGCTAATATCCCCATTTATGCATGAGAAAATAGAGGTTTAGCATTCCCAAGGAAGGTGATAGAGACTGAATTCAGGTTTGTCTCTCAGGTGAACTTAGGCAGTACAGTCTTTGTAGAAATGTACCTTAACACCAGTGTGGAAGGGCCTGCGTTTTCAGACTTTCCAAACTCAGAGATTTCCGAGCCAATATCAGAGAGTTCCAATGGCAGAAAGACCAGTTCACTATGGGTAGTGAACGATAGCCCTCTGTTTTGGTCCTTCATCAGATGTTTGGAGAAATACAGTGTTTATGAAATTAGAGAAAGAATCAATATTGAAAGCATCGTTACCTCACCCTTTACTATCCCAGTAGTTTTGTGGGCAAGCTCCATAACTATACATACTTCAGGGCAGATTTGTAGCTGAGTGGTGCCAGAAGAATCAGTTTGCCACGTACATCTGCCTCTTTGGTCACAGCATATGAAGTTCTCAAGGCCCTCTTCTGCTCATATAATTCATGGCTCAGAGTGTGCCACAAGTTTCTCTAAAGATTATAGTTGAAGCATTTTTATTTTGTGATAGTTTTGCCACTGGTTGTGTAAAAACTGTCTCATAAGGCTTTCTGAATAACTCATTTTAGTACCTAACTGTATTTCTGGACATTGTCTTTTGAAATTTGTAAGGATTTGTACAAGTTGGCCTCCTGCCAAATTATCTGGCATTATAATAATGGCAGCAAGCATTTATATAGCATCGTGTGCTAATAAACAGGTACTCTTCTGAGAGCTTTACATGCATTCACTCATTTAATTAAAAACATGACATGTTAAAATGGGCCACAATAAATACATAAATGGTAAGTTATTTACTCCCCCATCCCCCCAACACACACACACGCGCACACACACACACACACACACACACACACACACACACAGAGTCATCTTCAAGAAGGGAAAGTTAGCCTTTGGTAACTTTTTTTCCTCTATGCCAGGAACCCTAGGGTTGGTCTGATACATAACAGTTCTTTAACAAAAGCTGTACTTTAGGAAACTTTGTAGCGTGTGATGTGGGTGTTCATTGCAGAATATATGCAAGATCTCAGTAGCAGACAAACATGCCACATTTATCTTTACGTTTTTGGATGTAATATTGTCAACTAAATAGCTTCTTTAAAAATAATAGGTATAATAGAAATTTCGGGCTTAAAAGGACTAGATAAGAAGTGCTTGAGTATTTGTGATTGCAAGATAATTCGCTTGTGTATTGGATTCATTTTTTACATTCAGCAAATATCTTGTTTATGAAAGGATAAGTTGCCTTTTAAGTTGCAAAGGACTTAAAATTTAAAGGGATATTTTACTGAAATATTGAAGATAAAAAACAAAAGTCAATAGGAAGTATAAGTGAAAAATAGACTACAAAATTTTTAACCACCATCAGATCATCTTAAAAGAGATTACATCTGATTACATTATTATATTATCATCAGTATGCTAATGCAGAATTAAAGGGCTGTGAGTTGGGTACCTAGTGTAAAACATTAAACTTACAAATCTTAATTGCATATTTTGGAAAGTAGTGTCCCACAGCATTTTAAGACCACTTTATAAACTTATAGGTCATTTCAATAATATTTCATTATATCTGATGAACTAGGGCATTTTCATTTGTAAGATTTATAAAAATAATTTTCTTATAAAGAAAAATTAATATTGGATTAAGGGTCAATATAAGTGTGAATATAGCTATAATTAACACTCTCTTCCCCAAATCTCTGATTTTTCCTTTCTGCTACAGTAACACTGCGGAAAAGGATGCTAGCTCTAAACTTCATTCAGAAGCACTTTAGCTCAGAAAGATGGCAGTATTTCAATGGTGGCAAGTGGAATGATTGAAATTGTTTGCAGAACTTCTCTCTCTGGTCCTAGAAAATGGAGACATGAATGAATATGGATATTTTATTAACTAGTATGTATTGTGCTGATGGAAGGGGCATTTTCCCTTTACAAATATAATTTATTCATCAGAATCCACTTCTAAAAACATATATATTCTATTCAGGTATATGAATTTTTTTAATTATACAAGATTTTTGTATATAGTGTACACAGCATATATATGTCACATGATACACACATATATATACACTGTTTACAACATAAATTATATATAAAATATGTATGAGATATACCATGTTTGTGTATGTCTATCTAAAATGGAAAAAAGTTACAAAGATATCTTGAACATTATAAATGTCTTACTTTAGATTGAGTTAAATTTAAATGTATGCAGTGGATTGGTGACTTTTTGTTTTCCTAATGCTGTAAGGCAAAGTAGGCTCATCATTTTTTTTTGCACATTTTTATTGTTCTGTGTAAATGTAATTTGTTAATCCTGTGAAATTTGTCATAGATAAATTTGCTTGGATTATCTTGTCACCACCGTATCTGCATTCTTTTGTTCATTGCTTATTCATAATTTAACAGTCTGGCAGTGAGCCTTTTTGGGATGCTCACAAGAGATATATGACCTCTTCCAGCTGCTACTATAACCTGCAGAATGCACAGCAAGACATTAGAAACGTGAGGATTCCTCTACTGATTAAAGTGCTCTTCATTTAAACAGTCTGTTCATAAGAATCTCAGGAATCTCTTGCTACCAGCAGTTTTTAGTTTTTTCTTCCTAACAAAATTAGTTTTAACAATTGAATCTTCATTTGCTATGAATTTTTCAGATTATCCAAAGGAAGTTAATTTCTTGAATGCTGTTTCTTCTTTATACATAAATACTTAAAAAATTTATATTTTGGGGATGTCAAAGTTGTCCAAAAATGGTTTTATTGGGCAGTGAAGAATGTAGAGTAGATATATTGCATCCTAATCTTAGAAGAAATGGTTGGTTTAATCCTGTTTGAATCTAAGAACTTTACAGTTTATATTCAAAACACTCCATATTATGTAGTATGTAGCAGACATTAAAAATAAAATGTTACTTGAAGTATAACCCCATCTTTAGGTTTTCATTATTCTGAATTAGTTTAGCATATGAATTTATTCTTTTCTCTCTCTTTGCTTCTCTCTTTCTGTCTCTGGAAATCAGCAGCCATCAGTTTACGAGCAATGGTTAGTTTTTGCCTCTCTCCTGTGCAGGCATATGATTATGGTTCAAAATAATTCATCGCTAATCCATGCAGTATTGGTTCATCTCCATCACTCTGTTCTGTGATTAGAGCCTCAGGCCTGCTGCCTTGCTTTCTGCCCTGATTTTCTTTAACTGCAACCTTTGTTTTAATATAGTTCTGTAGTCACCACTCTCCTACCAGCCCCTCTCCATTCCTCATATATATCGATTGCGGTAGATTAATATTTATTTGAAGCCATTTTTCCAGACTTTGAGAAAAATGTATTCATTTCTTACTGTGACCCTTCATCTAAAGGGAGCGGGGAGAGGGAAAATGTAGGGCTCAGGTATGCAACTCTTAGACAATAAAATTATTGTGTTTCCCGTTTTAATTCTTCGCTATGGTCAGCGTATTTTACTTTTTACAGAAATCAGGAACTTTAGTTTCTTTGAAAAAATTTTATACAGGGTAAGGCACAATGTTAACAGTTTAACTCTGTGTGTTTGTAACAGTTCTAGAATGGCTTTCTGTATTTTCTAAGTACATGCTACAGCCAATGCAATCACCATAATATACATTGATCAGCTTGCATTGAATATTTCCAGACAGGGACACTAAGCTATCATTTTCCTTAGCATCAAAATTTGCCACTTTTACCAGAAGGTCATCTAACAGATTTTTAAAAGACTTTGTTTCAGATCTCGGTAGTCCTGTGTTCCTTTTAATAATTACTTTAGTCTCATTGTAGCTGTGTGTTTGAAAGTGTAGGTCAATGAGGATGATTGCATTCAGAATTTCATGATCTGTGTAGTGGAACAAATTGAAAGCAAAGCCTGTATCAATCACTGTGAAGGGAGGGTTAATTGTTACCGCTTCTCAAGCCTCTGGACAGATAAACCAGTAATGAAATACTTATTGCTCTGATATGTGAATGCTAAAGGATGAAACAATGGAAACAGAAGCCGTCTTCAGAGATAACCAAATAAGCAAAGAGAAAAGAATGAACTAGATGAAAGTATGGAACTGTGTACTGCATTAACTCTCTTAAAGTAATATTATTTTTAGTCTCCTACCCATCTTTTACTGGCAGGTTAGGGCAGTATCATATATCAGGTTGATAAAGCCAAATAAGAATATAAATGGAAACCATTTTTTTCTGTTAAAAAGAAAAAAGAAAAAAGGAAAAAGTCCAGCCCTATGCTTTATATGAACTCTGTATATTTTATAAAAATAATTATTTCATATTACTAATTATATCACTGTTTAAGGTATTCTTTTTAAAAAAATTAGTTATGCTACATGTATTAAATTTTTATATGCATAGATGTCTTACATTCTAGAATGTTTTAAAGGATTGTTTTCTTTGAAGAGATTTTGGAATTTTTGGTTTATTATACACCAAAGTATAGAGGAAATAGTGTAATACATAAAGAAATAGTAAAATAAGAATTAGTGTGGCAAAGAAATCATGAGATTAAATACATTTAACTATTTCTTCCATATGAACTTAACATTTAAACATCCGTTAGTTACTTATATGTTGAAATATATGCAAAAATATTTAGCCAAATTGAAGTCTTAGGTCCATGACAATCATCTCAACACAGTGGGTAGTTCTGAAAATTAATGAGAATGATAATACTGTAAAGACTGTTCCAGAGTTTGCCCAAATTCATTATCTAAGACTCTTGTTAAGAACATCTCAAAGAATTTTAACCAGGAAAATATATTAATGGTTCAAAAGCATTTTCAAAGCCCTGAATTACAAAAGTATAATGGAATTATATATGCAAGAGTTATAGTTAGCAGCACAGATAACAGAAGCATTATAAAGGCATATTTTTCCATAACCTATACTGCTCTTGCATGTGGTTTCATCCATAGGGTTTAATTTCATACATGCATATATTATTGCTGTTAGGATGAGAAAGATCAGGATCATTTAAAAAATAAAACATAGGGAAGCTTATAACTATAAAAAGTTAGGTATATCTACATTTCAGCATCCATTTCAGATGTGATACAACTACTAGCAAGGTACAACAATCTTAACAAAAAGAAATAATCTTCCCACATCTTTGTATTTACCTCAGAATGTTAAGAATTTCCTGAGGCCTTAATCTGTGCCGTATTGATGTGGCTGCATAGCAACTGAAACAAATGATTGAGACATAGCCCTTTTTACGATAGTGACACCATCCTCTAGCTAATGTGGTTTTGTGTATTTTAAAAGATAGCTGTAATAGTATTGCCATAACATTGCTGAATCAGGATTTTTAAACTGCCAGTGAAATACACTAGGACAGAAGTTAGTAGAGAGCTCTCAAAGTCAAGATGCACCAAAAGGTGTCAATCTTTGTGTACAACAATGGGCAGGCAAAAAGCAAGAGTTCCATTACTCAGTAATAAATGTGTACTTAAGACAGAAGCCCGTGGATATCGAGATTGTCAGGGCAATACATTATGAATTACCACTGGTTACTTGCTGCTTGGGAACTAGTGCAGCAGCATGGAATGGCATAAATCCTGGTCACCAGTGTCAGTCTTCCATTATCTTTGTAGGAAGTTGTATTCTACCTAGGTTCTTTAACCTTTCAGAGCCTCAGTTTCTTTATTTTCATACTGAGTTGCTAATACCTACTTCCAGCTGCAAAAATCTATGATTATGTGATTTGAATTATGTGGATATATAATATAAAATAATGAGATGAGGTATTATAAATGGCAGATTGTTTTTCCAATGGCATTAACATTTACAAATATTCCATATTTATAAAATGATTAAATAAATTTTTTATGTCAAATATGGTGCTTGTTATATAGATTTCAGTCCATAAAATATAGGATGTTAAATATTTTTCTTCATGAAAACATCTTTGAAAGGAAACATCTTATTTCAAGAGTGTCCAGAGGACTTTGCAATGGAAGCAATAGGATGCCTTAAGTTAAATTTTAAAGTGACATATGATGCTAAGACTCAATGTAACACTAAAGAAAAATACTAAAATGTTTGGAGATAAGTACATTTGTTTCTTAAATTCAATTGAGACAGTAGAAGAACTCTGGAAATATTGGAAAACTAGATGATATACAATGAAGAAGGAAGTTAACAATGTAATATTTGATGGATAGGCAACTGCTTAAGGGAATAACTAATCTCTGAAGATTTTGTGTGTTCCTAAAACATTTATAGAGGAATAAATTTCTGTAGTGAGATAGTTACCCAAACTACAACAGTTATTTATTTCTTTTTAACCTTGTTTTTAAAAAGCACTTTCTCCTAATTCTTCTCCTTTACTTGTAAAGGTGAACTGATTTGGGGTTTGTAGTGCAGACAGATTTGAAGATTTACGAGTGGATAAGATTTCTTACATCTAGTAAATTAATGACTTTTAAAATAGAGGTATCACTTATTTATGGTTTCTGGAAAATTCCCAATTAATGATACTTAATAGGTATTGCATGTATATTTTTGTAAGATGATTAACTTTTTTGCTTAATTTCTATATGTGTGTGTAGATTATACATATATTCTATGTATCATATGTAGATTAAGAGTATTTCATCCCTATAACTATGTAGTTATAGCTCTTGTCAGTAATAATTGAATATACCGCTGATAAAATATTGTTCCCCAAAGAAATACTCAGTTCTACAAAAGGTAATTTTCTATTTTTCCATTATGAAGACACTTAGGAAAATGTTTTAAAATGTTATAATGTGTACTAGACTTCCGTAACTCCTTTTTCCCCCTCATCACTCATCAAAACTCTGTTTTCCTGAAGCTAATTTTGGCTAGGTACTAGAAGATGATCTGATTAGAATAATTCAGAGTTAGGGGTGAACTTTATTTGAATTTTTAAAATGAGCCTATCAAAACAAACATGTTTTCAATTAATAGAACATGAAAAACCTTTAGTGTGCCCTTGCTTGTCTCCCATACCACGCATATAGATACATTAGTCAACACTTTGAAGTACCTCCCCTGGAAACAATGTCTCATAGTGACATTGTTTTAGAAAAAAAAAATTTAATTTTATCACAACATTGAGTATAAAAATGGGTAAATGTCATGAATTGGGTTAAATACCTGTGTTGTACATATTTTCATTGCTAACCATATTTTTCTGTCTAGTTAAAAGTCACTAACTGTGGTAAAAATCTACCACCAATGAAGAAATTTAGAATTGAGTGATACGTAGTGTCAACCAAAATTGGAAATACCTGTGGCTCATGCTTGTAATCCCAGCACTGTAATCACAGCCTAGGCAGGAGAATGACTTGAGCCCAGGATTTTGAGACCAGCCTGGGCAACATGGTGAGACCATGTTTCTACAAAAAAATAACATTAGCCAGGCTTAATGGTGCACACCTGTAATCCCAGCTACTTGGGAGGCTGAGGGAGGAGGATTGCTTGAGCCCAGGAGTTTGAGGCTGAAGTGAGTTATGTTCATACCATTGCACTCCAGCCTGGGCAACAGAGTGAGACCCTGTCTCAAAACAAATCATCAAACAAAAAGCAAACAACAACAAAAAACCCCAAACAACAACCAAAAAAAAAGAAAAAAAAAAAAACAGAGTTGGAAATATCTACTCAGTGTTGAAATAGAATTTAAATTTGGGATTTATAGATGGCTATAGTATTTTTTTGTAGAAAGGCCTCCACAGCAAGTATTTAGACTTGGGTTGAACCAAACCACGTTAGACTTCACAAGATCTGGACCCTTTCCCCCTCCTGCAACTGTTTTCATTTACTAAGTGTTGTTTCAAGGATAAACACCAAGCTGTATCCTGCTGCTATTCACTTGTAAGCAGCATCTATTTCATACGAGGTCACAAAGACTTTCAGTAGGCCCTGACTGAGTGAGGCGTCTTCTGTCCTGTGGTCCATCAGTGTTGTAGCAGTCAGTGAATGGGCTTCAGGAAATCCAATAATCTACTGAAACAGCATCTTCATACCATTTTATCAGTTATTCGAGGGGGTCTGTTTTCCCTAAAGATCTATGTCAAGAATTGTGAAGGATCTTAGATTTTACTCTGCTTGCAAGCCATGGCCTGCCACACTTTAATGAATGCCGGGTCGGAGATGAAGGACAGTTTATTACTCACAGCATTAACAGTAGTCAGAATATTAGTGTGTAAGGTAATTATCTGAGCCCCAGTTCCCACAGGGTGATAAAAAGAGGGTCAAATGATACCTGCACACACAGTAGTGCAGTAGGTTGTGTTACAAGAGGACCCTTGAGTTTAGGGAACTTGAATCTTTTAAAACAGGCAGTAAACATGTCTTCCTTTTACTCTGGAGGAAGACACTGTGTCTTCCAAGACTGTTCTCTGTACAGCCTTAATTAGGCCTTAACAAAGGACAGTTAATAGTACTTTGTCTGCAAGATGTGCAGAAATGTGAGAGACATAGAGACTTGTCTCTCAACAATCTGAAGCACTAAAATGGGGATTATTATAGAAGGATGAGAGGACCTAGTGGTGGCATAGTCCTGTAGTTGAGAGCTGCCTTGAGCTTAATGCAACACAAAGTCAACAATTTGGAGAGAAAATGATGAAGGTTCCAAATATGTAATCTTCCCCAAATTTCTTAAGCATTAATCATGTGATGGAGTACACCAGGTTTGTTTCGGTTTAGCTGATTCAGTAGTGGATGGGTCCTAATGATGTTAATGTATTCCTGTTCTCATGTCTTCTATTTATCACTGTTGGTGTTTGTCCTCTTTTGTAAGCATGCTCGCTTCCTGGTTTGTTCTATTTACCCATAAACTTTAACTTGTTTAAAGTTCACTTTTTCATCTTTACATTAGATCGCTTAAATTTCTCCATAACCCAATAAGATAGGTT
This sequence comes from Homo sapiens, assembly GCF_000001405.40. Taxonomy (NCBI): domain Eukaryota; kingdom Metazoa; phylum Chordata; class Mammalia; order Primates; family Hominidae; genus Homo; species Homo sapiens. The sequence goes on from NC_000014.9 coordinate 32,954,424, forward strand.
CTGTAATATTTCTCTTTTATAGATGAGGTCATAGCTAGTAAAGTTTTGAAATTGGATTTAAGCCTCAGTCTGGACTGATGGGATGACATTCTTTTACCATGTTAGCTACCTTCTGACTCTTGTAAAGTTGTTTTCTAGTTCATTCTTTCTTCTGGGGCCCCTCCATTTCCCCACATAACTATTCTGCATCATACTGTTTTTCTCTTCCCTATACCCTTCTCCTAATCCCAGTATGAGTCTAGCTGACCCTATAGCTCTCCTCTTCTATCTTGCCTTTTAATACCTCCCATAGACATTGTCGGTATTAAGCATTTTTGCACTCTCAAATTGTACTAAATCATCACCTTACTTATCTTCTGATTCCATAGTAACTGTCCTGTAAAGCTAATGATTGCAATTATAACATAAATAGGTTGACCAAAAGTTTGATCATGCCTAGCATAATGGTGAGGTGTTACATTAAAAGATGGTTATGAGGAGATTACAATCTTGCTTAGCAAGTTGTAAACTGTAGTTCTATTTCCTGCATAATTTATACCATCTTTTCGATTGTGAATAGACATGCATTTTGTAAATTATGGTGGCATGGGCATTCTTATGGTCATAATATATTCCTACCTTTTGCATGGAGTCACACTTTTGTATGTACCATAAGTTGTTATTGTAGCTCACTTAAAAGGCTTGGTCAAAAGAACCTGTGGCTTCTGGTCAACTCAGATTCAATTTTAAAATTAAGCATTCACCTGCAATCAATGTCCAATGATTTGGCATTTTGCTTTTTCCCTTTCTAGTCTTCTAGCTCAAGGTCTATCTCAATAGGATATAACAATATATATAATTTAATGCAAATTAATTATCGAAGTGTACTCTAGTAAGTAGTGAGATCACACAGACCAAAATATACTTTGTTGGATACATTGCAGTCTTTCTCTGCAATGGGACTACTTATGTAACTTACATAAACGTCAGTCCAATATGTTTGGAGATCATGCTAAGACATCAAGCTCTAAGATGCTCATGAAGAGGAGACAAGATAACATGGAAATTATCTGTCTTTTGAGAAGCTGATCATAGTTCACTATCAGAATCTATTGCGAAAACTCAAGATATCCATAACCAATATTGAGGACCATTAACCAAAATGATGGATGATGAAGAAATAAAATATAGTCTTCTTCTGTACCTGTCTTTTTACATAAATTGTGACCTTTCTAGAAGGGAACAAATTGGTCTCCATTTTGCACCCCCAGTGCTGAAACACCTTCTTGGAACAGAGTTAGAAAATGAAGGAATAAATGAATTCCAGTTCTAATTCTGCCTATTGATATTTACATTTCATCCCAGGAATTTCCCATTTCTGTCAAAAATCTACAAGCACGCATAACATACCCCATGATCTCAGATGTAAAAAAGAAATTAATAGAGAAATATAAGCATTTTTCAATATGTATTTTTAACTAATGCTTAGTAATTCCTAGTGTATTTTGGGTTTCAAAATTGAATTGTTTATATCCTATGTTGTGGGGTCCCTGAAGATTATACCCCTGTAACTCTACAGATAATAGTTTTAGATTCAAGATGTGTCACAGCTCTCTATTAAGCAAGGAGTAAAGAAAATCAGTTACAACCAAATATACCATTGATGGTTTTTTTTTAACTTTCAAATGATACCACCAAATAGATGAATTCTGGAACAATGAATGATTTCAAATTAGAATCATATTAAAACCATTTTATAGTCAATTATAATTCCATAAAATTTGAATTGCATTAATTCTGTATTTCACAAAATTGTACCAATAATAATTTAAGTTGATTAGGCCAAAATTGAAAAATTCGATCATGTAAAATAGAACAGGTTACAAAGAGGGCTGACAGTTTTTCTAGGGATTTCTCCTCTGTTGGCACAATTCAGTTATCACATGGCCTTGTGTATATAGTACCTATAACACAAATCTTTGCACTGAAAATATCATGCAAGGTTACATGAAATAACCACAATTAATTTAGCTCCTCACCATGATTGATTGATAGTGGTGAACATTGTTATTTCATACAAACCAGTAGTGAGCTAAACCTTGATAAACTTGCTTGAACTTAACACATTAAAAGAAATGAAATCATTAACAGCTCCAGGGAAAGAGTGGATCAGTAGTTCAAATATACTTATTCCTTTCTGTCTTTACTCTGGACATAGCTTACTTTCTCCAAAGTTTATAATCTGTTGACACTGAATTTTGTCTTTAATGCATATTAGCCTTATTCAGACATATTGACATATGTCTTGAATACATGTTGGAATAAAATTTAAATACCAGTTTATTAATGCACAGGTAAGGAAACACATCCACTTTTCCAAAACCCAAATCACTTTTGATATGTTTATGTATATACCTAAGTATGTCTGAAAACACATCTAAAATATGCCCCCTCTACACACTGTGAAACTTTGGACAGAGATCTGCTCTATAACACAGTTAGAAATTCTATTCAGTGTTAATATTGAAAACTCAATCTATTGGCCAAAACCTTTCTATTTTTCCAGTGAGAGCACTGAGTTCCACAAACCAATATAACCATGAATGGCTATTTGGTGTGGCGCCTTAGCATGATGATGATTTTAGTTAATTTGTCCAAATTAATTCTGGCTTCCCAGGTCCAGATGAAACTGGTCTTCTATGTTCAGTGTCTGCGTGGGAAGATTGATCTTTTTTCTGAAAAACATATGCCATCTCTATACTATGCTCTTCTTCCCAGAAAAAGCTATGTAAATATATATGTTTTACAGTTTTAAAAATAAGATTTTAATAATTACTGGTTATTTCACTGTTATTATATATTAAACATAGTGATAAGCTCTTTATTAACTTTTTAAACATTTGAATTTGTTAATTTGTAACTTATCTTTGATATCTTTTAAGTGTGGGTTATTATAAGTATTCATTTTCATTTTTTTTTTTTTTTTGGAAATGGAGTCTCGCTCTGTGGCGCAGGCTGGAGTGCAGTGGTGCGATCTCGGCTCACTGCAAGCTCCGCCTCCTGGGTTCACGCCATTCTCCTGCCTCAGCCTCCCGAGTAGCTGGGTCTACAGGTGCCCACCACCACGCCCGGCTAATTTTTTTGTATTTTTAGTATAGACGGGGTTTCACTGTGTTAGCCAGGATGGTCTTGATCTCCTGACCTGGTGATCCGCCTGCCTCGGCCTCCCAAAGTGCTGGGATTACAGGCTTGAGCCACCGCACCCGGCCTAAGTATTCATTTTCTATTCCAGCATTCTATTTTGCATTTGCCTATTCTCTTAACAATTTAGAAAGCTAAAAATTTTCAGTTTTGTTTAACAGAGTTACTCCCTTATCCTTTGGACTGACTTCTGTCTCTTAGTGTGGGGACTGTGCACTTCTTAATCCTGAATTTGGTGGTAAAATCACAGTAAGCATTATGGGCTTACAGAAGTTCTCATTATCTCTGAGATTTTTAGGATGGGACATTTTGTAGCATAAGTGTAGAAAAACTAGCTTTGGAATTATTGCAGTTACATTCACTGTCCACCGCTCCAACTCAGTACAGAAAAGCTCCAGTTTAGCTTTTACATTATAACCACTCTTTGCTGTACTCCTTTAACTCAGACTCACCCAGCATTTCCTTAAATATACTTCATCAGTTCCCCTCAAAGTTGGGCCTTTCCATTTTTAATTGCCACCTAAAGATTTATTTCTCTTTTTATAAAAGCCTGTGACCCCTATGGTCCACCTTGGTTTTTTTCATCTTATATATTATTTAAAATGAAAGTTCTCTTCCCCCAAATAACTGAATGCTTCCAGAAGGGTTAATAACCCCCACCCACCAACCCCATGAACCTACCATTATCTTCAGTCTTTCCTTAACCAACTACATTCAGCTTCCTTGTATACCTCCAAACCTGAGGTCATCTGCTGCCAATAGACACTTTGAGTTGTTATCTTCCATAATCTCTTGGCAGCATTTGACGCTGCTGATCACTCCTTTCTTTTTGAGATACTCTGATCCCTGGACTTCCATGATGCCATGCTTTTCTGGTATTCCTCCCAGTTATCAGTTTGGTTTCCAGAGTTCTGTCTGGGTTTTCTACTCGTCTCATTCTGCACTCCCTCCAGGACCCTGGCATTCATTCTCATGGCTTCATAAAAAAGACTGAAGATGCTGACAACACCAGTTTCTCATTTGCCATCAAGATCTCTCTCCTTGTCTCTAAACCCGTATATACAGCTGTGTATTGTCCATGGCCATTCATACTTCCCATGGATACCTCAAACTCAATGGAACCCAAAACTGAATTATACAATATTTAGCACATAGTACATGCTCAGTATATTATACATGAAATGAGTGAGTGGGTAAATAAATACATGGGCAGGAAACACACTAAACTTTAGAAAATGAAGTAGCCCCAGAACAGGCTCATAACAAAATGGTGATGGTGGTAGTATTATTTTGCTCTGCCAAACTATAACATGTAAGTCAGGAGTGTCCAATCTTTTGGCTTCCCTGGGCCACATTGAAAGAAGAATTGTCTTGGGCCACACATAAAATACACTAATAATAACGATAGCTGATGAGCTAATAAACATGGCAAAAAAAATCTCATAAAGCTTTAAGAAAGTTTAAGAATTTGTGTTGGGCCCTGGGTTGGACAAGCTTGATGTAAGTCTTGTTTGCTTTGACCAGTGAAATTTGTCCTTTTTAATCTCTCTTTGACCTCCTGGTTTTTAGACACACTATTTGCTTATTTTGACTGATTTTTGAACTTCTTTATTTCTGCCTCGGTGTTCTTGCTCTGAAACCTTTGCTTTGCTTCTTTTGCCCCAGAAACCACAAAACCTTTAATGCCACACTTGGCCTGGTTGTTACTAGGGGCTGCCTGGTATTTAATACAGTTGTGAGGGTGTGTGTGTGCACATGTATGCATCTGTGTGTTCACACTTCAACTGTAGTTCAAGTAAAGATTCCAAACCTAAGTAATGACCTTGAGTCTAATGTTATTAAAGTTATAAAATTGAAATAAGCTAAGCCTTCAGAAAACTATGTTTACATTTACGTGAGTAAATATTTCATATACTTTGATTTTATTTTATTTTTGCCAGTTTAAAACTTCTTTTCTTTCATGAAACCTTCTGCAGCCTGCATGAATTGTGTTCCAGTTTCTCATAGACAGAGACTTAATTACGACTATGATGTAAAGGAGTGAGCACTTTCACGTAGCTGCATGAATATACACATAGTGCTGGTTTTAGAAGCGTCGGGCATACTTCATTTCCTCAGTAACAGCATCACTACTTTGTGTCGAGATTCCCGAGTATTTTTGGGTTTATTGAGAGGAAAACTCTATTTGCTGAATTTATCAAGTAGCAAGCATTCATGTAGTGATGGTATCTATGTTCTTTCTATGCCCACCTATACCCACAAAGAGGGGATATGCTGACTGAAGTCAGGTAGCTTATGTCAACTGGCATAAACATTCTATGAATGCTACGTAAGAGACACGTGATATCTAATGATGTTTTATGTGAGTTTCAATTTTTTTTTTTTTTTTTTTTGGTGAGTAATGAGTACTTAATTGTTGAATTAGGCAGATCTGTAGTTCTTCCTGTCCTTCCCAGTATGTATTAGGGAACTTTGGAAGAGAAGTGTAATATATTGGTTATATGATAGTAATAAAACATGTGGAACAACTTTAAAAGAGAGATCACCCGAGAGGGTTTACTTACTTTTATGTTTTCTTTGTATTTATGTAGTTTTTTTTTCCATTGACTTAAATATTCTTTACATATTCCTTACACTGATTACCAAAGTTATGTAATGAGTTCTGGAGAGAAGCAGGAAAAATAATATTTATTAGAGTAGCCATGGAGAAGCCATGTCTTATGTTTGTATCCTTGAACATTTCTTGGAACAGCAGGAGAAAAGTAAAAATAAAATCAGATTTTAATATAAAAAGAGTCATTTTTGAATACAAATGGAAGCTAAAAAGACATACCTCTTCCAGCGCTTAATGGTGGTTGGCTGAGAGAGCGTCTCTGACAAATTACCAAGAACACCACAGTGGAATGTCAAATTGTAGACCATTTTTTAAAGGGAAGGGTGAGCAGCTATTTCATGCACTATTACAGCTTTCATTAATTCAGAAGTAATAAAAATGGATTTTCTTCATTACTCTACCAATTAGTCAAATGCAGTCGTCCATTTATTTGTTTTTTAAAACATTATTTGGATTTCTTACTATAGAATGAAATCATTTCATGGCCATGAATTTTATTCATAGTGCATATATACTTATGTGCTTGATGTGGAATTAGAAAAAAGGAAAGAACTTACATAAAACCTAGCAGTGATCATTTAAGAAATAGTAGCAGATGAAAACCTGCAATAAGACAGCTTTATTCATTCATAAGAACCCTGACAGCAGCGTTTTGTGTTTGGGTTAGTTTTGTTTTCCTCAGCACATGTGTTTAAACATGTTCACTAACCTCTGGAAGTATTTAGAGAAATGTTTGTGCAGCTTAATTCTCCATGTAAGTGATAATTTCATGGCAGCTCTTGAAATAAACATTTTTGTTTTTGAAAATATTTTGTGACTATTTCTATTACAGAAACAAATGTTTAAAACTCAAAGTGATATTTGACCAGTAATTTGAAACCTAATTACAATTCTCTGAAAAAAAATGTGAATTCGGCTGGGTGTGGTGGCTCACGCCTGTAATCCCAGCACTTTGGGAGGCCGAGGTGGGCGGATCACGAGGTCAGGAGGTCGAGACCATCCTGGCCAACATGGTGAAACCTTGTCTCCACTAAAATACAAAAAATTAGCCGGGTGTGGTGGCGCGTGCCTGTAGTCCCAGCTGTTCGAAAGGCTGAGGCAGGGAATTGCTTGAACCAGGGAGGTGGAGGTTGCAGTGAGCTGAGATTGCACCACAGCACTCCAGCCTGGTGACAGAGCAAGACTTCATCTCAAAAAAAAAAAAAAAAGAAAAAAAAAATTGAATTCATATCGGATTGTAGTACTGCCACCTTATATTGGTCCTGCTGTTTTCACACTGAATCTCAGTAACGTGTTGTGATAAATTGCTCCATATCTCCAATTGAGGATGCCTCTTCATCATCAATAGTGTGCATATCATGTGATATCCTACAGGGACACACCTTCCATCATCATCATGATCATTGTCATCATCCTCATTCTCATCATCCTTGTCACCATGAATGCAACATTTCTTGAACTTTGTCTCAGTCACCATGCTGAGAGCTTTACATACATTATCTCATTTAATTCCCCCAATAACCCTCTGAGGAAGATATATCCCCATTTTATAGATGAGGAACTAAGTCTTTTAGAAGCTATGAACTTTGCTACTCAGTCACCATCTCATTTAGATTCTTTTTAGGAAGCTAAATTTTAGTGGTAAATAAAACATAAAAGAGTGAATACAGTGGCTTGGAAGTTCAAATACAGAATAGAATATTGATATTCTGTTGCCTAAGTGTAATACAAATTAACACAAGTTAGTTATTTACTCTAAGTAAATAATTAAACACAAATATAAAACTCCTCAAATAATGTTCATTTGCAGCTTTGGGGTCAAAACAGGTGATAAGAAAAAAAAGGAACCTGAATTAACAAATATTTTGGTACAATGTTGTGTTGCTTTTTGATGTTAGTAAGAAACTGTTTCTATGTGGATTTAGGGTCTTTCTGTAATAAAGGGAAGGAGAGGACATGTGGGTGATATTTTGAAGAATTTCTGCCTGTAGAGGAGGATGCCAAAAAGTGAGTTGGTTTATTAATATTGGTTTAAATTGAAAAACGTAAGACTAGATTTTTTGTTATTAAAACGAATTTTGAAACTATTAACCACTACTGATTTATTTCAAACTGCAAGTAATAACATTGGCATAAAGCTGGAACAAGACAAACCACTTAATAAGCCATTAATAAATGATTAAAATGTCTTAATAAGAAGATACTGTGTTTATAAATGGTAGCGTATTAAATGCAAGTATTAACAGATAGATTACTAACAACTGTGAAATCTAAGAAAATGCTAAAATTTCAGAGTTTATACCACAAATCTTTGGGGGGTAGCTTTTCTTTCTTTCTTTCTTTTTTCTTTTCTTTTTTTTTTTTTTTTTTTTGAGACTGGGTCTCGCTCTGTCACCCAGGCTGGAGTGCAGTGGTGCGATCTTGGCTCACCACCTCCCGGGTTCAAGCAATTTTCCTGCCTTAGCCTCCTGAGTAGCTGGGATTACAGGCATGCACCATCATGCCTGGCTAATTTTTGTATTTTTAGTAGAGACGGGGTTTCACCATGTTGGTCAGGCTGTTCTTGAACTCCTGACCTCAAGTGATCTGCTCGCCTTGGCCTCCCAAAGTGCTGAGATTACAGGTGTGAGCTACCACACCTGGCCAGGGGTAGTTTTTCTTTCTTTTTTTTTTTTTTTAAAGAGGTGGGGTCTCACTATATTGCCCATGCTGGCCTTGGTCTCCTGGGTTCAAGTGATCCTTTTGCCTCAGCTGCCTAACCACAATTTTAAAGTGCACATTTCCTTCTAATTCAAGATCCCTTCATCTCCTTTCTTTTGGAAAGTCATCTATCATTTAAATGGCTGCTATCCAGTGGCTTTTCTCATAGTGGTGATTGCTGACGATTCTGAAGAAAGTGTAAAATAATTTAACGATAAAAACTATATCTTCTGAGGCTAAATAACTTGCTCCAAAAAGGAAGGCAGTTCTGAATGCAAATAAATAATGGCAAAATAAGGTTTTTTTCTGTGTTTGCTGTAATAGGCCCCATATTAGCTATCTTTCAGATTTTAAATACAGAGTAACATTTGATAAGAGGAGCTTTGCCAAGTGGAAAGAAACAGCAGATAAGGACATTAAATTGAAATAATGAGCTGCTAAAAAAGATAATGGATCAGGCTGTTCCAAAGCAAATCATGGGGGAAAAAAGAAGGGAAAAACTTTGAAACTGGGTTCTCCAGCTTTTTCAGACAGGTTATCCTTTTACCTCAGCAAAGTGCTGGCTGTGAGGGGAGGGAATGGAGTGGGTATTCCCTGTATAATTGATGCCGAGGAGGGTAGATCGCAATCCCTGCACGTACTTACTGACGTGGTGGTCCACAGCTTCCACCCAGTTTGTCCCCTTCTTCCCCTGGACAAATAATCCAAGAGACAGAGGCAGTCATTAGTGCCATGATCGACTTTGAAGTTAGACAGAATTGGACTCCCCATTTTAATGTTTAAATTAATTTTACATTTAAAATTAATTTTTAGTATTCAACTAGAACTTAGTAGATGATTCAATTAGGTAATGCATTGGAAAATGCTTTATAGATTCTAAAGTTCTCTGTAAGTAGCAAGTAATATGATAATTGCATGGCATGAATGATCCTGATCCTCAGTATTAGGACTTTTATTATTGTTACAGGATAAAGAAAAATACACTGAGAAGCCATGATTTGGGAGGTCTGAGACACCATTAATTAATGGAAGATTCAGTTTTTCGCTATCCTTCCTTGGTATACCTTAAAATCATATTCAAAGAATAAGTATTTTGCCCTTACTAAAATGCAAAATCCAAAGTGATCACATTTACAAAAAATGCTGATCAGAATATAGACAAAATGACCGATAATATCCAAAACAATATTATCCCCAACTGGGAAAGTTTCTTCAGCGCTTTTGTTCTACATTTTGCTGCACTAAAAAAAAAAAAAAAAAAAAAAAAAGAGAACATTAATTAATTTAGTATTTGCTATATGCATGCTATACTCTGTGCTAAGAGTGTTTTTTGTATTCTTCATTTCTTATTCAACTCTATGGGGTAGGTGTTATAGCCACTTTATAAATGAGGATGTGAGGAACAGAGAGGTTAAGTAAATTACCAAGGTCATATAACTAGCAAATTTGATAGCCAGGATTGCAGTCTATGTCTCCTGAATTCCAGATCCCACATTCCTATCCAGTACACCATATTTATGCAAACTGTGCGGAACTCTCAACCTCCTGATTACTTAAGTTAAAAAAGTCCAGTGGTTACATATATGCATACAATGTGATATAAATAGAGAAAGAAATATATTAATGAAGATGTTTAAAATTCTATATGAGTAGAAAAAATTCTGAAGATTTAATAGATACATCTGTTGTAAATAGGCAGCCCATATATTCTGCCAGAGAAAGGTTATACATTTTAAAATGTGTAATTAGAGAAGCCTAAAACAATGGCAGTTTGAGGCCGGGTGCAGTGTGGCTCACGCCTGTAATCCTAGCACTTTGGGAGGCCAAGGCAGGAGGATTGCCTGAAGCTGGGTTCAAGACCAGCTTGGGCAACATAGCAAGACCCCTGTCTCTACAAAAAAAAAAAAGAAGAAGATTAGCTCGGTGTGGTGGTGCTAAGCAACTAGGGAGGCTGAGGTGGGAGGATCTCTTGAGCCCAGGAGTTGGAGGCTGCAGTGAGCTATGATCACACCACTGCACTCTGGCCTGGGTGACAGAGCAAGACCCTGTCTCTGAAACACAAAAAGAAAGAAATGGTAGCAAAACAAAGTATTGAACTATGAAAAATAGAAAACCTGAGCAGACCAATAACAAGTAACAAGATTGAATCAGTACTAAAAGTCTCCCAGCAAAGAAAAGCTCAGGACTTGATGGATTCACTGCTGAATTCTACCAAACATTTAAAGAAAAACTAATACCAATTCTTATCAAACTATTCAAAAAAATTGAAGTAGAGGGAGTTGATCCAAATTCATTCTAAAAGGCTAACATTACCCTGATACCAAAACCAAAGACACAACAAAAAGCAAAAAGGCCAGTGTCACAAATTAACATACATGCAAAAATCTTTTAACAAAATACTAGCAAACTAAATTCAACAGCACATCTAAAAGTTCATTCGTAGTGATCAAGTGGGATTCATCCTTGAGATGCAAGAATGGTTCCACATATACAATTCAATAAATTTGACACATAACATTAACAGAATGAAGGCCAAAAACCATCTGATCATCTCAATAGATGAAGAAAAATCATTTGACAAAATTCAATGTTTCTTTATTATAAAAACCCTAAACAAATCAGGTATAAAAAGAATGTATCTCAACACAATAAGGACCAGAAATGACATACCCACAGCTAACATCGTACTGAATGGGGAAAAATTGAAACCTTTCTCTCTAAAAATCTGGAACAAGGCAAGGATGCCCACTTTCACCACTTCTATTTGACATGGTACTGAAATCCTAGCCAGAGCAATTAGAGAAGAGAAAGAAATACAGGGCATCCAAATTGGAAAGAATGAAGTCAGATTGTTCTTGTTTGCAGATGACATGATCTTGTATATAGAAAACTCTACAGACGCCATTTAAAAATAGCTGTTGGGACTAAAAAACAAATTTAGTAAAATTGCAGGATATAAAATCAATATACAAAAAATTAGTGGTGGTTCTATAGACCAAGTGCAAACTATCTGAAAAAGAAAGAAATCAATCACGTTTACAATAGATAAAAAAAATCTAGGAATAAATATAACTAAGGAAGTGAAAGACTTCTACCATGAAAACTATAAAACATTGATGAAATAAATTGAAGAGGACACTAACAAATGGAAAGATATCTCATGTTAATGGATTGGAAGAATTAATATTATTAAAATGGCCATACTACTCAAAGCAATCTACAGAATCAGTGCAATACCTATAGAAATACCAATGAGATTCTTTATAGAAATAGAAAAAGCAATCCTAAAATTTGCAAGGAACCACATAAAGTCCCTGAATAGCTAAAGAATCTTGAGAAAAAAGAACAAAGCTGCAGGCATTATACTACCTAACTTTAAAATATACTACAAAAGAGTAGTAACCAAACACTGTGGTAACTGCATGAAAACAGACACATAGACCAATGAAAGAGAATAGAGAAGCTAGAAATGAATCCATGCTTTTATAACCAACTGATTTTTGACAAAGATGTCAAGAATACACATTAGGAAAAGGACAATCTCTTCAGGAAATGGTACTAGGAAAACTGGATATCTACATGTGGAAGAATAAAACTAGACGGTTCTCTCTCACCACTTACAAAAATTAACTCAAAATGGATTAAAGACTTACACGTAAGAACCCAAATTATGAAACCCCGTCTCTACTAAAAATACAAAAAATTAGCCGGGCGCGGTGGCGGGCGCCTGTAGTCCCAGCTACTGGGGAGGCTGAGGCAGGAGAATGGCGTGAACCCGGGAAGCGGAGCTTGCAGTGAGCAGAGATTGCGCCACTGCAGTCCGCAGTCCGGCCTGGGCGACAGAGCGAGACTCCGTCTCAAAAAAAAAAAAAAAAAAAAAAAGAACCCAAATTATGAAACTGCTATGAGAAAGCGTAGGGGAAACACTTCATGACATTGGCCTGAACAAGGATTTTTTTGAATAAGACCTCAAAAAGCACAGGCAACAAAAGCAAAAATAGACAAATGGGATTACATTAAACTAAAAAGCTTCTGCACAGTGAAGGAAACAATCGACAGAGTGAAGAGACAACCTACAAAATGGGAGAAGATATTCACTACTATGCATCTGACAAAGGGCTAATATCCAGAAGATACAGTTGAACCTTGAAAAACATGGATTTGAACTGCACAGGCCCACTTACATGAGGATTTACTACCACCCCTGAGACAGCAAGACCAACCCCTCCTCTTTCTCTTCCTCCTCAGCCTACTCAATGAAAAGATGATAATGACCTTTATCATGATCCACTTCCACTTAATGAATAGTAAATATATTTTCTTGTTCTTAGGATATTCTTAATAATGTTTTCTCTTGCTTACTTTATTATAAGAATATATAATGCAACATATAATTTACAAAGTATGTGGAAATCAACTGTTTATGTTATTGGCAAGGCTTCTCATCAACTTGGGCTATTAGTAGTTAAGTCTTTGGAGAGTCAGAAGTTATACACAGATTTTCAACTTTGTCGGGGGTTGGTGCCCCCAACCCCAGCATTGTTCAAGGTTCAACTGTATAAAGAACTCAACTCAATAGAAAAAAAATCTGATTAAAGAATGGGCAAGACATCTGAATAGCTATTTCCTAAAAGAAGACATACAAATGGCTAACAGGTACATGAATAAATGTTCGATGTCACTAATCATCAGGGAAATGCACATCAAAACCATAATGAGTCATCATCTTAGCCTGGTTTTAATGGCTATTATCAAAAAGACAAAAAATAACAAATACTGGCAAGGATGTAGAGAAAGGGGAGCTCTTATACACTGTTGGTGGGAACAGTACAGCCATTATGGACAACAGCATGTGGGGGGGGGTCCTAAAAAATAAAAAACGGTAGTATCATATGATCCAACAATTCTAGTTCTGGATATATATCAAAAGTAAATGAAATTAATATGTTGAGGAGATATCATTGTGTATCATTGCAATAGTATTACATTGTGAGAGTGTGTGTGTGTGTCATTTGTGACAACATGGATGAACCTAAAGGACATTATATTATGCAAAGTAAGCTAAGCACAGAGAGACAAATACTGCATTTCTCACTAGTGTGGAATCTAAGAAAGTTGACCTCATAAAAGTAGAGAGTAGAATAGTGGTTACCAGAGACAGGGAGACTAGAGGGGCAGGGGATGGGGAGAGGTTGGTCAGGGGTGCAGAGTGAGAGTTAGGAGGAATAAGTTCTGGTGTTCTGTTGCACAGTAGGATGACTACAGTCAATAATAATGTATTTTGTTCTTCAAAATAGCTAGAAGAGAGGATTTTGGATGTTCTCACCACAAAGAAATAACAAGTGTTTGAGGTCATGGATATGCTAATTACCCTGACTTTATCATTAACTAATGTGTGTATATATTGGAAATCACACTATACCTTATAAATATCTATTATTATGTGTCAATTAAAAATAAAACATTAAAAAACTTCCTAATGTACCTGTCATATAATGTAAATGTATATAAAATGTTTTGATTTGAACTATTAGTATTAAAATTCTGAAGGTGATATAGGTTGGTGTCTTATGTCGAAATTTAACTATATCAATGAATTCATCAGTTTTGTACTTGGAATATAATTATGAATTACTTGTTTTCTAAATCCAGTAATAAAGTTTAATAATAGTACATTTCCACACTTTAAATCATATTACTTTGCATAACTAATATGCTTGTGCAACAACATTTATTATCTAACACAATCTCTGAGGGGCAGGAATCTTGGAGTGCTTGCCTGGGTGGTTCTGGTTCAAAGTCTGTCATGAGGTTGGAGTCAAACGCTGGGGCCAGGGAAGCCACTACTTTCTTTCTTTTTTTTTTTTTAAACTTATTTTGAGCTCTGGGGTACCTGTGCAGGGTGTGCAGGTTTGTTACATAGGTAAATGTGCGCCATGGTGGTTTGCTGCACAGATCAACCCATCACCTAGGTATTAAGCCCAGCATCCACTAGCTATTCTTCCTGATGCTCTCCCTCTTCGTTGACAGGCCTCAGTGTGTGTTGTACCCTCCATGTGTCCATGTGTTCTCAGTGTTCAGCTTCCACTTAAAAGTGAGAACATGCAGTGTTTGTTTTTTTGTTCCTGCGTTAGTTTGCTGAGGATAACAAAAGCCACTGCTTTCTAAAATGGCTCAACACATGTGGTTGTGGACAGGCCTTAGTTCCTTGTGGCTGTCCTGGTAGTCTCAGTCCCTCACCTCCTAGGCCACACCAGAGGCTGCCTGAGTGTCCTCAGAATGGCAGTTTACTCACATCAGAGTACAGTGGTGAGAGAGAGAAAACCCAAACCAGAAGCTGTAGTCTCTTAGAACCTAACCTTAAAAATGTCAGACCACATTCTGTTGGACTTAGAAACCAACCCTGGTGCGGTGTGGGTGGGGAGTGGGGAGTACATGAGGGTGCCAAGTACTAGGAGGTGTGGATTATTGCAAACTGTCCTAGGGACTGATTGTCACAAGAAGTATTTCATTAGGAAAAAATGTACTAATAATATGCCAAAGTTTTCATGAGGAAATACTGCCCATATTGTGACATAAATATTGCATTTTATATAAAAAGGTCTGGACCAAATCCTCTTTCTGCATTGCACATGGATAGGATTGGTGATTTTGTTAGATTGAGTTTGTAGGTTTAGATGGCATTTAGTATATCAGACTGAAAAACAGTTCTTAGGATAGAAGAACTAGAAGTACTAGATTAGAATGTCCACTGTGCCACTTCTGAATCTCAGCTTTCTTATCTGTAAAATAAGACTAACGTCAGCCTTGTAGACTTTGTAAAAATCCTGGCCTGCTAATGGAAAGTAAATGATAGGTCGTGGAATTAGTTCATGAATAGTAGACAAATAAATGTTTACTTCTCAGAAACACTTTTTTAAAAAGGTACACTAAAAATAATTTTTAGTACTCTGCTATAATTCAGAAAAGAATGTCACATAGGATTGCCTTTTCTAACTTAATAAGTGAAAAGAAAACCACATTACTAATTACTGAAAACAATATGAAGCTAATGAGAAGAGCAAAGACTCGCTAGCTTCCAGGTTGAATATGGAACTAAAAACTTTTTAAAGGGCATTTGCAATAGTAGGGGCTAAAATTCTAAAACACATTGAGATATCTGGATATTAAGGAAAATGATTTTATAAACCTCTAGAGCAAATTTCAAAACGTAGGATAAAAGGAATCAAATGTATTAATGGAAAAGCAACTGAACTTAATTTCGATTCTTTTCTATCATTTTTTCCTAGGCTAGAGATAGACTAAATTCATATCTGAAAATTCTCAATTTTTGAGAAAAGACAAAATGTTTGTCGTTACAGTTTTGTTGTTGCTGCCCTTAGTTGCTTTCATTACCCTCAAATTCTGTAACTTGATTAATTTTCCAACTCAGAGACCTAACATAATATGTCCCTTTTGATTCTTGCACAGTTCCATGGTTTTCTCTTACCTTTCTCAAAGAAGTGGCTTTCCTTCTACTTTTTATTGCTAATTAAAAAATACATTCAGAAAAATTCACACAACACACAAATATAGTTTAAAAGTAATTATTAAAAATAATTACCCTACTGTATTCATTTCTTGGGGATGTTGTAATGAAGTGCTGCAAACTGGGTGGCTTAAACAGTGCAGCCTTACGTCTTTTCATTCTGGAGGCTAGAATTCTGAGATCAAGGTGTCGGGATCATTAATCCCTTCTGAATGCTGTAAGGGGGAAACTGTTCCATGCCTCCCTCTTACCTTCTTCTGGAGGTTTGCTGGCAATCTCTAGCACTCCTTGGCTTCTTGATGCCTCATCCCAATATCTGCCTTCATCTTCACATGGTGTTTTTCCTGTGTGTGTGTGTCTGTAACACATTTTTCATTTGTGTAAGAACACTGGCCATACTGGAATAGAACCCACCTTAATGACCTTCTTTTAACGGCATTTGCAAAACCCCTATTTCTAAGTAGGGACTGGGGGTTAGAACTTCAACATACCTTTTTTGGGAGAGCACAGTCCAACCCATGACACCTACCCAGGGTGTTATTACCATTTCAGAAATGACCACCTGGAAGTATGGCACTCTCTCTTCTCTGTGGCAATTAAGATTGGACTTTAGTGAAAATGATTTCTGTGTCTTTCTTTTTTCTTTTTTTTTTTTTTGAGACAGGGTCTTGCTGTGTCGCCCATGCTGGAGGGCAGTGGCATAATCTCGGCTCACTGCAACCTCTGCCTCCCAGGTTCAGGCAATTCTCCTGCCTCAGCCTCTGGAGTAGCTGGGATTACAGGCATGCGCCACCATGCCTGGCTAATTTTTGTATTTTTAGTAGAGATGGGGTTTCACCATGTTAGCCAGGCTGGTCTCGAATTCCTGACCTCAAGTGATCCACCTGCCTTGGCCTCCCAAAGTGCTGGGATTACAGGTGTGAGCCACCACGCCTGGCCTGTGTTTTTCTTTATAGTCTTACTACCTGTGCATCATCTCTAAAATAAAGATAGTTTTTAAGGCATCTTTTAATGAAATGGATAAGCTTTGAAAAGCAGGACTGTAAATTATAAGTCATTTATAATGTTATCTTCAATTCCCTGAGACAACCTTTATTAAAAATGCCTACTTTCATAAGTGAAAATAAATAACTTTAAAATAATACTGATAGCTTTCAGCAGGCATAATAGTAGAAGTGATGTTTTGTGAGCTCCATTTTGGATCACATTTTAATTTTTTTATGCTTAGATACTACCTCCTCAGTTGAGGACTAATATCCATATATAGTATACTTTTCCAGAATGTGTTTTATTTCTGCAATGTATTCATATTGTAACAAAATCCATAATCATGGTCTCCAAACGGTTTATTACTAAGAGCTCAAATTAGCATGTTCCTTCTACATCCATTTTGAAATATTTTAATCTGGTAAACAGCATTTATTAAGATAGGTTAAAGTCTTGTCATTCTTTATTGAGAAGTGACAGATATCTATTAAATCAGTGGGACTCTTTTTTTTTTTTTTTTTTTTTGAGATGGAGTCTCACTCTTCGACCAGGCAGGAGTGCAGTGGCGCAATCTTGGCTCACTGCAAGCTCCACCTCCTGGGTTCACGCCATTCTCTTGCCTCAGCCTCCCGAGTAGCTGGGACTACAGGCGCTCGCCACCACGCCTGGCTAATTCTTTGTATTTTTAGTGGAGACAGAGTTTCACCATGTTAGCCAGGATGGGCTCAATCTCCTGACCTCATGATCTGCCCACCTCAGCCTCCCAAAGTGCTGGGATTACAGGCGTGAGCCACCGCGCCTGGCCATCAGTGGGACTCTTGATCAGCCTGAGTTATCCTGTGTAGTAAAACATTGCCGGTACAATACTCATTAAAAGCAAAGAAACTTGATGTTTTAGTGACCCTGTTAAGCCTTATTAAGGAATGAATGTAAGATTTAGTTTAAAAAATATTGAAAATAATTCATGTCTGTTCTATTTTTGAAGATTCATAAAATCAAGTTTGCTCAATATAAAATACACACACATGCACATGCACACACAACTTTTGCCAAATTCTGCAGCATAAAAGACTAGTTAAACTAAATTCCTTGAAATCACATTTTTGTTTTAATTAAAGTCTTCAGTGCTGTAAGTACAGATGGTTGCCAAATTTAAAATGACCCATGCTGAATCCAGCAGGTTGCCCCTGCTCACCCATTGCTCTCCCTCTTATTAAAATCTTTGCTTTGTCTGCTGTGGAACCTACTGTAGGAGGGGGGAAAAGAGAAACACTTTGTCACAGAGTAGATCCTTCATATTTCTTTGTTGAACAAAATACATTTTGTTAGAAGAGTCATCAAGAACCGGGAGTTCAGGAACTGGAAATGGATAGAAGTGATAGAAGGATTGGAATAGGATAGTTTACCCTCAGATTCCATTCATTTCAGGATTACTCACAAAAAAGCACCCTCTCTCACACACACAATGGACAACCGCTACTGTACCTGAAATACTCAGCTCATTTTAATGGTTAGCACATATGCTGTTTTTACAAGGTAGATACTGCTGGAAGGCATTCTTGCAGATTAGTTTGGTCACATTGCCTTCTTTCTTATATCTGAGGTAAAGAGAGTTTTGCATTGACTGTTAGGGTGGGGAAAATGATTTTGGTGGTGGTGGGGCTTTGTCATCTAGAGAATGGGAATGGTGATTAAGATTTGAATAAAGGCACTTTCAGCTTAGTATCTAAGAAAGAGAAGACTCTACATAAAAGAGACATTCTAAGCACACATTCATCTGTTTGGAGATTTTGCCTTGAGCTAACACCAAGCCCAAACAAGGAGTGGGGTAGTATGGGGTTTTTGTCTCTTATTAATTTTTTTAAAATTTCCTTTTCACTGACTTAGTCTTTATTCTGGGAATACATGGTCCATTATTCTGCCATGTTAAGGTTAAACAGGCATCTGGGGCTGATCAGACACCTAACTACAATCTAAAAAGTCATTTGTTTGAAAACAGTGTTCCAAGTTTCATCTAAAAATGTACTTTCAGAATTTTGTTAGTAAGTTTGGAATTGCTTGTAAATGCAATTCTGTTTATAGTTCTATGAGTATATTTTGATTTTTTTTTTTTTTTTTTTTAAGACAGAGTTTTGCTCTGTTGCCCAGGGTGGAATGCAATGATGCTATCTTGGCTCACTGCAACCTCCCCTTCCCGAGTTCAAACAGTTCTCCAGCCTCAGCCTCCTGAGTAGCTGGGATTACAGGTGCATGCTACCACGCCCGGATAATTTTTTGTATTTTTAATAGAGATGGGGTTTAGCCATGTTGGCCAGGCTGGTCTCAAACTCCTGAGCTCAAGTGATCTGCCTGCCACGGCCTCCCAGAGTGCTGGGATTACAGGTGTAAGCCACCATGCCTGGCCATATTTTGAATTTTGAATGTCATTTCTATCACAAGGAAGCCTAGTTTAAGTAACTATTTCAAGGGCTGACATCTGAAATAGGCCATAAGGCATAACTTTAGTGAATATATTTTCATTTTCTGTATAAAACTATATTTTCTAGAAACGATTTGAAGTCAAGAACTGTATTAAATGGATTTCTGTTCCTTTGATATATAGGATATTGCCTTGCACACAGTAAGTGGTCAGTTAATAATGAGGAATTAGTACATGAATGGCTCTACAGAGTGTAGAAAGAGAACCTTCCAGAGGTCATTTACATGAGGAGAACTGTGAGTTTGATTACTGTCATCTAAGTGACAAAAGAAGTTATTCTTTATTATCAATTCATTCATAAATATTTAGTTGAACACTTAAGATTGCTAGTCACTGTGCTGAGTGCTCTGTGAGGAAGGAAGATGAATGAAACAGAAACTCCATCCTCAAGGAGTTTGCTTTCCATTGGAAAAATGGTGATAATAATAACACACAAAAACATGAAGATGGCCACAGCTAAGTTACAGATAATGCTTTTGTAGTTCAGCAGAGTGTAAGGATAGTTGAGGTGTTTGGTGATATCTGAATTTGAATTTGGAAATGTGATGAAGGAAAAGAAGGTATGTACCAGCAAGGGCTGCTTTCCACTGCAGATAATCAGAAAAATTGGCCAGTAGTAGCTTAAACAAAGATTAGTTATTTTTTTTTCAAATAATTAGAAGTATAGAGGTGGGTGACTGTTGACATTGGTTTAACAACCAAACAAAGACAGAGCTAATGTCTCTGTTGGTTCTCTTAGTCTCTTTCACATGGATACCTCAGCTCTATCATGTCTGCTCTCAAGGCAGGAAGGGTGAGGGTACCTGGAGGTCCAGCCACTTTCTTACTTTTTATCAGAAAAGCAAAGTCTTTCTCAGAAGCCCCAAGCTGACTTCTCTTTACATCTCATTGGTCAGAACAGAGCCACATGCCTACCTTTAATTATCATGGTAGCATCCAGACTATACTAGAAAGGTCTAAAAATATCAGTATCAAACAAAAACAAATCACAAGCAGAAAAGAACAAATGAAAGGTTTTTCTTTATTGTTACTACTGAGAATAAATATAGAGTATCTGATTAATAAAGTAGTCTGTCAGAATTTAGTGGGTAATCAATCATGATCTTTAGATTTGTCTATATTAGTGGATGCTATTAGTTGAATAGTTTTACAGAGTACCATACTAGTGAAAGTGTGACATAAAAGTCTACAACAAGCACTTGAATGATTAAAGACTCCTTTAATCATAGAGATGGATATCTGAATAGAGAACCTGTCACTTACAGATCAAGTCTTTTAATACTACCAGCACAGAGAACTTGCATTAACAGTTGGCTGATTTCTTGTCTCCATTTGAGAAAGTATGGTTGTTTTTTTTCTTTGTCTGCCCTTCTATTCCTTCCCTCCCTCCCTCCCTGCCTCCGTCACTCCCTGCCTCCTTCCCTTTTTAGACTGAGTCTCACTCTATTGCCCAGGCTGGAGTGCACTGGCACCATTATAGCTCACTGTAGCCTTGAACTTCTGGACTCAAGCAGTCCTCCTGCCTCAGCCTCCTGAATAGCATGAGCCATCACAGATGTGAACTACTGTGCCTGACTCCTTTCAGTTTCTAGAAGGGACTTGTTTCTGTTATTCCTTTCAAATGGTCATTGTCACCTTTGTTGATGTTGCCAACAAAGGAGATTTATAAGGAAACATCTTTGCTATCTTTAAATCATTAGACCAGTGTGATTGAGCAAAAGTTGCTCACAGTTTTTTTAATTAATCTTACATCAGTTTTGAATACATGTTTTAGTAGAGGAATATGAAGTGCTTTATAGTCCAACAGATCATGAAGGATTGATAGCTCTGGTAGTTAATAAAACAAAACAAAACAACAGCAACAAACAGCTCTGCATGTTTTACAGCATTTCTACCTCTTAAAGGTAATTTTCTTCCTTGGTAATTTGTGATTGTTGGTGGTGAGGGGCGTGTGTGTGTGTGTGTGTGTGTGTGTGTGTGTGTGTGAGAGAGAGAGAGTTTGCAGACACGCATGCATTTTACCTGAACCACCCTAACCTTAGACTTTTTCTTCCTCTGGCCTCCTTGGGGACCACAACTATGACAGAGCAAAGACAATCAGCTCCTTGTGATTGTTATACATCAGTGGCTTTTAAACATGAGTGTGTGTGAAAATCCTTCAGGGAGCTTGATAAACATGAAGTCTTACAGGCCTGCTGATTTATTAAGTCGGGCAAGAGTGGAGATTGGGAATCTAAAGGTACTCCAAACAATTCTGTTGCAGGTGACCCCTGGACTCCACTTTAAGAAGCACTCCTGCAGCCAGTGAGCGAGGTGGTGGGGACAGTTAGGAAGACGGCTCTCGCACTAGGCCTCAGTGTGTCTCACCTCCTCTGGTCTCTGAAATCTGAGGTCTCTGAAGTGCGTTGTGAATACTCCAGGTGGTTTGTAGGGAGACTCATTTTGATTCAGAAAGGAAATAATGAAACTTCTGTTTATATTTATTTTTGACTTTGCCATGTAAAATTTATTTTTTATTTGTGTTTTGTCACACACATGCTGTATCAGTACAGTTTTATATATTCGTACTTTAGAAATGGAGTGGTACACATGTATTAGAGGCCTGTTCTAGAAAATGTCTTACTGATAGCGGTGCATGATCAAAGAAGTTTGGAGGACGCTGCTTTAAACGATTTACAAGGCCAAAATCCATATCTCTTTCCAGCTGTCTGCAAGAGTTTATTGTTCCTTAGTTGTTTTTCATTTAGGTATCAACATTAGCCAGTGCTTCTTTTACTACTGTATGCATACACACAGAGCACAGCAAAAGATTGAGGACAAAAAGAGTTTGCAATTAAAGGCAAGTAGAAGTATCTGTGTGCTAAGGTTAGTTATCTGACTTAACACCTTTATTTGAACAAACTCCTACTGAGAAATCAGAAGAATCAAGGTAACTTCAGTCTCTCAGGTTCTGGCCCTCGCTTCAGCTGTGAATAGACTTACCTTCTAGTAACGGTGACTCAGTGGCCCAAAAGTGGATATAAATAAATGTGGATTTTCTAGAGAGTTTACTCATTCTCTGTCTTTAAAACTTGATTTAATAAACCCTTCTGTTCACACAGGACCCTTTCCTATAAAGTATTATCTGGTCAAGGTAACACACACACACACACACACATACACACACACGTTTTTAACGGCATAACATTATTTTTAAAAGATACTTTTAGATTGCAACAACTAAAAACACTGATTTGTCACTATAATTATGAATATAGTCCCATAGGTAAACTTTCATTTTCCGTATTTTGGAGCTGGCATCAAGACTTTGCCTACTCATATTTTTTATTATTTAAAATAGTCTATAGGATCCAAAGATGCCATGTCTTTTTATCTAGGTTCTTCTAGTCAGTATTTCTGGACATAAGGCCGTTATTACCTTTCTACGAGTTTTGTCTCTGACACGCACACACACACACACACACACACACCCCTAATCTATTTATTTAATGGAATTGTAAATAAAGGAGAAAAAGCACATGTGCAATTTCTGGTTTAAGGCTGGGCATAGTGGCTCACCCTTATAATCCCAGCACTTTGAGGGGCTGAGGTGGGTGGATTTCTTGAGCCCAGGAGTTTGAGATCAATCTGGGCAACATAGAAAGACCGTGTCTCTACTGAAAACAAAAAAATTAACTGGGCATGGTGGTGTGCATCTATAGTCCCAGCTGTTCAGGAGGTGGAGGCGGGAGGATCACTTGAGCCCAGGAGGTTGAGGCTGCAGTGAACCGTGATTGCACCACTGCGCTCCAGCCTGGGTGACAGCAAGACACTGTCTCTAAGTAAATAAATAAATTTCTCATTTGAAAAACTTCAGCAGTTTCTCTCAATATTGTTAATATTTTAGTAGCCACATAGCACAAGCAGTGTCTGAAGATCTGAAATCTATTTTGGTTTCTTATTTTAAAAATCATCTTTTAATGCTATTTATTACTGATATTTATCAGCATTATTGTTGCATAGGTCTGGGTAATTTGAAGAGGACCGGCAAAGTTGGACTTAAAATGATAATAAATATAGCTACTACTAATAATATTGATTGAGCCTACATGTGCGTGACACTGTGCAAGCCAGTTTATTATCTCATTTAATCCTTGCAATAACCCTGTGAGGCAAGTGCTCTCATTATTATTTCACTTTACAAATGAGGAAGTGAAGATGTGGGGGGGTGAGAAAACTTGCCTTCAGTCACTCAGCTAGTAAGCTGGAGAAGAGGCAGGACTCCAAATATCAAGGGTCTAGTTTTTAGCTATGTGTATGTATTCTGCTTCTTAGTATCTGCCTTTCTGCTGTGACTGGAGGGTTGGCTCATTTGTAAGATTGGGAGTTGGGATGGGGACAGACCTCTTTGGGGAAAACAAACACAGCCTACCCTACCCCAAAGGAGAAGCCCAAACACAACTGGGAGAAGGGCCATCCACATACAACTCAGAGAGCATCATTTCACTTGTATTTTGCGTGAATAGAGTCCTCCAGAGTTCTGCAAAATGGTAGTACTGGCTGGGAACTTCTGTCTTGAGCACAGCAAGCTGGAAGGGGTTATGGGGTTTGTGTATTTATAAATATTAGCAGTTTTTTTTTTGTGGATTGGGGAGCTAGGAAGCTAGGTGGAAGGAGGGCCATCTAGACTCTTTGGAGGAAACTGGGTCTCTGTCACTTGTGGGGCTCACTAGGTGTCTAGGTTCCATTCTCTCCAAAACGTTTTATTTTCACTGAGGAAACTGTTTTCAGTCCTTTGATCCAAGATTATTAGTATTTCTGCATCTCAGTTTACTCCTTTCAGAAATGGAAATGATCATTGCTTTGTGTATTAGAGAAACACTGAATGGATTGGCGAGAAAGGTCTTCAAGTGGTTGGTTGCTCTCTCCCTTATGACAGTGTCAGATAATGACTACTTGCAGTTTCAGGCTGATATTTTCCTTCGTCTCTAAGGTGACACCCTTTGAAGATGTCTTAGGTGTGATGTTTTTAGAGTCGAGAGGTCAGGAATCTCATCTGTCTGCTTGTGTTTGTATCTCCCATATCTGGGACATCGTAAGGGCTCAAAAAATAACTGTTGAGTAATTTAAAGTTGCTCAACCATTGTGAGCCTCAGTTTTCCTTATCTATAAAATGGGGATAATAGTGTGAATCTCATAGTATTCTTAAGAGGATTAAATTGTATAACATGTTAAAGAGCTTAGTGCAGTACCTGCCACACTGGAGGTATACAAGAAATGCTTTATTTTAATAGTTATTATTCTGATTATTGTGTTTTATCTTTAAAAGATAACTCTTGACTCTGCTGCTTAAAACCTCTATGCCTTCAAACAAATTGAGCTCTCTGGGTCTTATTATATAAAATAGGGCTATTACTACTACCTACTTCACTGATTGCTGTAAAATTTAAATAAGATTTAGAATTTACAGTTACTTAGTGTGTATTCTATGCACCACTGAATTAGACACACTATCTCATTTAATAATTGGAAAAAATCCTTTGTGGTAGGTAGCAGTATTCTCATTTTACAATTTCAAACACCAGGTCTCGGGGAATGAAGGTATCAGTGTAAGGTCACATCGGTAGTAATAGCAAGTGTCTGTCTGAAGCCACTGTTCTGTACTTTACAAACTCTAAGTCCATTTAAAAGGGCCATACACATATGTGGGCCATGATTGTAGCATCTCTTTCTTTGGGCCTGAGGGCTGCAATATAGTAGAGTCCTTATTTGCCCTGTTGAGGGATTTAAATGCATCATATTACAATGAATATTTAAAGAAAGAACATTTTCCCAAACTTCTCTTTGGTTTTGAAATTTTCACTTTTTTTCTTGTAATGATCAGTCTAAAAATACTGAATTCTGTATTTCCAAGATCACAAAGGAGTAAAACCACTTGGCCAAAGTTTGAAATTAGGTTATTTTTGTGTTACATTGCCCATTTTGTGGGTCTTGAAGTGGTTATTAAGTAAAATCAGCTACAAAACTGGGAGGTCACTTAGTTTTAGGATTATGTCAATTGACTTGTCAAAAACTTTTGTTGCGAAGAAAAGAAATGACATTATTATGAATTCTAAAGCAGCTAGATAGACTTCCTATGAGTGTTAAAATTTTGCCAGAGAATCATGATTTTGAACATATCACATATCCAGACCGGGGAGCTAAAACTAACTAGTACATTTCCTCTTGTGTGTCTTAATTAAAAACTAATGTAAGAAACAAGAAGAATTGGTTCCTACCTTGAAATGTTGTTTCCCAGACAGATCTTTCCTTCCTGGAAGTCATTCCAAAGTTGTTTGGGGTGTCAGGTTCAGAGGTAATTGAATTTTTCTGTCTAGTGAAAAGAGGTGGCTCTCTTATTTTGGTCGGTTGTTCCCAGGGTTTTGAGCTTTGAAAAGGTTTGACTTAGAAACCATGAGGTACTAACGCACTACATTTTTGAATTACTATTGATTGACATGTCTCTGTTCAATGTAAACAGCTTAAACAGAGAGTGCAGTTATAGAAATGGAATTTGCATGAGAACCTTCTCCTGTATGATGTAATGATTGTTTCATATTAATCAAAATAACAAAAGGGGATATTAATTTTTTTGTAATGAGCTGTAAATTAGAATATTGAATTTGGAATAATTAAATTATACTTTACTTATGTTTTTCTTCTTGGACGCTACCATTTTAAAAAACATACAGTTCATGTGAAAGTCTGAATAAAATTCATGGAGTAGCATCAAGGACCTCTGAGTCCAGGAAACTGAGTTTGGCAGTACTAATTTGTATTAAAGTTGTTGTTGCATGACAGCCGGAAGAAGATTTAATGCTTGCCACCTGAATCAAGTCACGGAACATTGGTTTCTATAACTGCCATGAATTTGAATCGAGGCCAGTATCTCTAAATTTGAAATAAACTGATACTCTGTCTTGAAAGATGATACAGGCCACTTATGTTGTATAAGGTATTTAGAAAAGAGTATTTCAGTTTAATTTTTTAGCTATATATACACCCACACACGCATACACACACACATACACACACACACATATATCTTTCAAATTGTTAGACTCCTCAGCACTGTGACCTCCAGTGGTTCTTGCTGTTAGAGGCTCACACAGAAGAACTCGGAAATGCCTGCAGCCATTTATTATCCACTTTCAGCCAGGAGTTAGCAGTGAGTTTGCACCTGGTTCCAGGTTTGGCATTTCTCCTCATACCATGGAGGAGCTGCTCACTTCATCAGAAAGTCATTATCCCTCTTGGATGTCACTATGGTTCAAAGTATTACAGTATTGCTTTAGGAATTTAGATTTTAACCCAGCCACCAGATGCAAAATCCATTCACATGCCTAGCACAATAAAAATGATGATGATGACAATAATTCATATTTTGCATTTGCAAAAACATCTTTCATCTGAAGGGCTTTTGTAAATGGAACATGCATCTTGAGACTACTTTATAGACAGTGATCTTTGAGTCCAATATAGAAATGAAATGAATCTACCTCTGGAGTAAAATATGGTAGCCATTTAATTATTTTTTAACAAGCTACGTATTAAGCACAGTTGTATCTTTATGCAATAAATGTTTTGCTGAGGAACTTTATCAATTATATTTCACATTAAAATGTTCAGACTTTATTTTTATTCTTACTAAAAAATAACATGTTCTTTTGATTAGAAAAATACTCAGAAAGTTGACTATTTAAAAATAAATCTCTGTTGAGTCTTTTTGTCAAGCCGAAAAAGATTCCTTAATGTATCACATAGATGTGTCTCGAGTTTTCTTACGGCAGCACAAGTCCTGCTTCATCTTGGGGTGGTGTGGAGCGGGGGGTGAGAGGAACTCCAACAGCATACTATCTTGATGGACAGAACCAATGCACACTCAACTCTTAATTGCACAAATGGAAATAATCCAGGCCGTTTTCTTTTCCCTTTAGGCTTCCTTGCTAGATGATCTCATCCACTCTTAGGGTGTCAAATAGCAGCTCTGCTGATGGCCCATTCCTTTTCATCTCTTCTTCCCATTTCTTGCCTTATTTTCTGCTTAATCTTTCAAACTGTCTGATGAACTCCTCTCTCAAGATATCTTACCAGGAACTCTGTCTTAGTTTTATGTTGCTATAGCAGAATACCACAGACTGGGTAATCTATAAAGAAGAGAAATTTAATTCTCATACTCCTGGAGTCTGGAAAGTCCAATATCAAGGTGCTGGCATTTCATGAGGGACTTCTTTACGGCGTGATTTCATGATAGAAGATGGAAGGGCAAGAGAGCTTGAGAGAAGAAGAGATCAAACTTGCAGTTTCATACCCTTTAATAATCAGCATTAATCCATTCTTGAAGATGGAGCCCTGATGGCCTAAACACCTCCTATTAGGCCCCACCTCCCAACACTGTTGTACTGGGGATTAAGTTTCCAACACATGCATTTTGTGAAACATGTTCAAACCATAGCATTTTCAAATTCCAAAATAAGATATCCCTTACAATAGTATCTTACCAAACACAGTGGCTCATGCCTGTAATCCCAGCACTTAGGGAGGCAGAGGCAGGAGGATTGCTTGAGCCCAGGAGTTTGAGACCAACCTGGGCAACATAGTGAGATCTCATCTCTACGAAAAGAAAAAAAAAATCTCTATCTGCACTACTTAAATGACTGACCTTTTAGTCCATGCTCTTACTTCTGTTATAAATGTTCAAGACTTGAGACAACTTCTTCCTTCTCAAATTCAATTAGTTCCTAAATTCAATACACTTATCTTCAGCATGGTCCCTTGCATCTGTCCACTGCATTATATGAACCAGTCAATAGGCATTTTATTGCTAACTGTAGGATAAAGGAACAGAAGGAAGGTAAAACCCGTATCACTCAATTTCCCCGGTTGCTAATATCACTCAGATGGTGGAGGCGGAGTTAAAACTATTGGCCAAAATAAAGCTGTAGGTAACTTGCAGTTTTGCTTATTGTTCTGTAATGATAGGAATAATTTAAAAGTTTGAGGCTACAGCAGAAATGAAGTGTGTCTGATTTGGCCAGTTGTAACAGTTTATAGCATGGCATGCAATTATAAGTTATCTTAAGTGAAGATGAAAGGAAAAAAAAGTTTGTTAGGTATAATTAGAGAAGAAAAACCTATTTCAATACTAAAAACTGTAGATGTTTGAGTAGCATATTGCCATCATACAAAGGTATCAAGGGGTATTTTCACCGCCTTCAACTAGTAATAATAATGAATATATGCCCCATTAAAGACTATTTTAAAAAAATCTTCAAGTTCTGTCTTTATTAGAGTATTTTGTAGGGTTTACATCCCTGAAAAATATGTCCTTGTGAAATTTTGTATTTTTCTTTAGACTATAAAAATTCTCCCACTTCTTACTTCACCAAATTGTGTATGTGTGCATGCATATGTATATGCATGCTTTATATTGATGGAATGATTTAGTACATTAAATAACCTGTTTACATTCCCACTATTCAGGGCAGGGCACTCACTTGTATTAAATTATTTATTTTTGAGATAAACACTTTCATCTGTCATTGTAGGTTTCCACTCATTTTTGTTCCTCTAACAATAATATTAAGTGCAAAATTTCCCTTTATAGATGAAAAAATAATATACACCAGTATTCATTCTAAAAGTTTTTGCCAAACAGTATAAATTTAAATCTTTGGCTGAAACTGTGTGATTTGTGTGGTTTCCCTTCCGTGTCAATAATGGCTATATATTAGTGATGCTGCACTATATTCATGCAATTTATAACACATATTTAATGAAATAGAATTATTATTATTATTATATATTTTTTAAATGGAGTCTTGCTCTTTCACCCAGGCTGTAGTGCAGTGGCATGATCTTGGCTCATTGCAACTTCCACCTCCCAGATTCAAGCAATTCTCCTGCCTCAACCTCCTGAGTAGCTGGGACTACAGGCATGTGCCACCAAGCCTGACTAATTTTTGTGTGTTTAGTAGAGATGGGGTTTTGCCATGTTGGCCAGGCTGGTCTCGAACTCCTGACCTCGAGTGATCTGCCCACCTTGGCCTCCCAAAGTGCTGGGATTACAGGTGTGAGGCACTGCACCCGGCCAAATAGAATTATTAAGTATTGTACAGAAAAACTTATTTAGAAGAGAAGTCATTTAATACAGTGTGGTAAAGTGAAGTTTAACTGACTAGATTCAGTATATGTAACACATTATATGGTTTCCCATGTTGTGAAAGAGAGTTGCCAATCTTTAGATGCAACCCTGACCTGTTATAGTGCCTCAATCTTATTTTGTTTGGTTTTAATCCCTGCTGTATCTTAGAATTTTGTATGGAGTTAGAAGCAGAGCAAGGGTTTTTTCTCCAGCTGTTCTTCAAGGATCTTCCACTTAGATTGGAGCAATGTGCTTATATAAATCTTGCCACATTTTTAGTGCTTCTGTAAGGTGAAAATGCTCAAATAGGGTTACGTAAATACAAACTTACTTTGGGAAAAAAAGTAAGAGGGAAAGAGATGAACTGTAACAGAGATCTGGTTTTTCATCAACATTTTGTTTTATGAGTCTTTGGAGATGTGGCTAAGTTGAGTAACTAAATACTTATGCTTCAGTTCTCTATAAGCCTTTCTTGTGCTGTATTTTGAATGGAAATAATTTTAAAGCAGTTTTTTCTTTGGTATTCACAAAATTCTTTCCAACAACATTATCAGTGAATTGGATGACATTGAGATAGCAGGAATACTATTGTGTTTGTATGTGTTTTTTAGAGATGGAAACTCCTTAAAAAAACACAGTGGAACCGAAATAATGTCTTTATTGTTCATTCTTAACAGAAGCTCCATTTTCTTTTGTAGGGTGGAAATGGTTGACTTTAATTATCCTTAGTCATGTGAATATTCTGTGAATTTTTGCCCTGTCTTCTAAAAGAGTTTGTGGGGGAATGGCCACCAAGTCTACAGCTCCAGTGTAGTCATTCCTGTGTTCTAAAAGCTCAGTATTTGATTTAATTGCTAAGGACAATTGCATCAGTGGGGATTTTTCTGACTTGATATCTATGTTGCAAACTAATTAAGTCCTGGGTATAATGTGCATAAAAATATACATAATTTGAGAGCCAAATTATATGTATTCTTTCATACTGGGAGTTCTTTAAATTGTGGTAATGATTATTTGTTGATATTCATGGGGGCCATATGATATGGACATCAGAACATTGTCTCAGCTTGATGTGCTTATAGTCAGATAACAAGGAATTCATATATATTGATACAGAAAATGGTAAACAAAGAAAGTAATCCTACCAATGGGCTTGGTGACTGTGGTCTTTATGTATGCTGGTGTCTCATTTTTAATTTAGGTAGGGCTCGTGTGTGTTGAAGGAGAGAGGTGCAGCTACACAATTTAGAGGCTATGGAACATTTTTGAAAAGTCAGAAATCTATAGTACACAAAAATTTTAATTATCCAAATAACACAGGGAGGGGACCTTTGGTTATTAAAATACTCAGCCTTGTTGTTAGGCTATTCTCTTGCAAATGGGAACTTTTAGTGTTTCAAGAATTAATATTTCTGCTTGTTTTCTGTAAATAATTTATCTAATGCCAAAAATACATGTCTAGTAAAGAAATTTAGCTCCTTTTGGAATTTTCAGTGCAGACTTACTAGGGAAGATTTTTCTTAATGTATGCCAGCTAGGTATTATGTTTAAAAAACAAAACAAAACACAAAAATCAACAAACTCATAAGAAAAGATACACCATGGAAGGGAAAAGAAAGCAGAAAAAAAGATTTCAGGCCTGTAGGAGTGCAAAGAGTTGATTTCTGTATTTAACAAGGATGTTTAGGATTCACATTCTCAACATGGATGGCAGCAGCCTGATTCTCCATAATGCAAGGAAATAGCTTAGAAGAAGCTATAAAGTTCTGTCATGTCATGGCTTGGTGAGCGAGGATGGATTTACACGATCAAGGATATAAATGGCTTTGAGTGAGTCGTTAGTCATAAGGTCCACGATTCTTCATAATTGACATGGCTTCCCCGTGTCATTCAGACAGACAGCAGTAAGGACATGGGGCTGCAGCCATTGTCACTACAGCCCTGAGAGTCCACATGGGCGCCGCTGTGAGGATTCTGAACTCTCCGTGCAGGAGAACACTGTGTGCCTCTTGAACCGTCTGTGTGCAGCTGTGGTTTTGGATGTGTTGCATCATTTTAGAAATCATGGCTGGGGCTCTAGCTTTAAGTTTCTCACTCTGATTTGTATGATTTAGAGGAGAGAATATGAAAACTGGTTCCATTTCCCTCCAAGTGTGACCTGTGTTCACACTTTAGCTTGTGTTTTGAGAACAGGGTGGGAATGTTCTCATGTCATTCATTATGATTCAGCGTATTTTAATGAGGAGAAAGGGAAGTATAGTCTCTTTAATTTAAAATATTTTGGATAGTCTACTGGGTGCCTTCCTTCCAAGGAACCATGGACATTTTGACACATTCTGAAAGAGTTGGACACAGCTGATTTCCTTTGACTATCAGGAAAAGTATGGAGAAGGAGAAAGGGAAACCTCTGTGTGCATGGGTTTTTGTGTGTTGATGTCAGTGGGGAGGGTGAGGTTTTGATTCCATTACTATATGTCAAGTATGTTTTAAAATGTGACCTAAATCTAAAGGCAATGCTAACTCCAATCAAAGACTTTTCTATTAAAATTTAAAGTTATTTTCGGTGTCTCATTCTACATTTTTAATAGTGGCATAATTGTAAAAATTATTTTGAAGGTTAGTGGTAGTAGTTAAAAAAGTTAGCAGTTCCACTGCATAACATTTAGTTAACAGCAGCGTTGTAGCTTTGATTGAGCTGGGCTGTGGGAATGCAGGTCTTTAGCTAAGGATGGATATGATTTTACTTTATTTTTTTTAAGGTGGAGAAATGAATGAGGCATGCATTCATGTTTTTCACCTAGGCCAAATGGAAGACTTTTCAGTGATGTAACCCATTAGGCTGGAGAAGCTTTTCTGTGGCGCTGCCCCGCGGTGCTGAGAATAAGTTATGAATGCTGCACTGTTTTCAGTGCAGAGGGCTTTGCCGGGAAGAGAGCGGTGTGCCTGGGCCCCAGCTATTGAGAAGATGCCAGTCAGGGATGAAAACGTCTTTCATGAAACTATAGCTAACTTCCCTGTGACACATTACCATAGAGCAGAGAGTATTTTTAAACCAATAGTGTGAAAATAAGCACAATACCTTATAAAAGTCGGAAGGCTTTATTTTAAAGTATGCACATTGAGTGACTAAAAATACACAAGTTTGTGTCAGAATTTTTTTTTTTTTTTTTTAGTGAATTGGTCTTAGCAATTTCCCTTCTCTCCCTCTCTCTCCCTGTTCACAGCTCTGATTTCTTTTGCCTTTTGGTTACAACTACAAAAGATGTCTTCTGAGACAAATGCTGGTCCATGACATCAGGATGAAGGAATGCTCAGCCCAGTCCTGCATGTTTGAAAGCATCAGCTGCTTGAAAAAAATGTTACATTTTCCAGGATGGATTAAAAAATTAAGGATGATCCCTGAAAGCAGTTAGTTTCAGACCTTTACACAAGTTTTCTTATTTTTTATTTCCAGTGATTAGAAAGATACCAACATTGGAATTGGATTTTGAAAATTAGTAATATAGCATTTTTCTTGAAATAGAAAATGTGCTGTGGTCTTTATAAAACAAATGATAATAATTGATGACAGTAACAACAATTGGACAGCATACAATTATATATTCTATAAAAATTACAAACTTAAAAGTGTAAATTTTAAAGACCAAATCTTTGCTTTTATTTTAGACAGTATAATTTTATGAATTTACAAGACTTACATTAAATTATTGTATGTAAAAAATACTTTAAATTTCTTTTTACTCTTCTTAGCTATTACCATGACTTAATTTGGAGCATTTCCATGAAATTTCTTATACTTGGATTAAGTACATACTAATTAAAATAACAACTAAACATTCTGTCATGTTTCAACATATGAAAGAGGCATGCTGCTTTTATTTCCTTTTTAACTATTGGTATCCTTATAAAGTTAATTATTGTTATTAATTTCCCCTCCTGATTCTACATCAATAGGAGAAAATGGAAGTTCTAGAAAACATTTTAACAATAACAATTTCAATAAAATATATCAAAATGCCAATATGTAAAATATTCAAATAAGATTTAAGAAAACATTGATTTGGTGATTTGTTGCCTATATATTTAAGAATCATAATGTCTGAGTATGGCAATTCTCCATTAAATTATGGTTTAAAGTCTTAATCATGATATAATAGATGGTAATCTTGTAACTGAAAAAATGATTATTTTTGCCCTCTAAGACTGTGTTTTTTGTATGTCCACAGCAGACTTATGTCAAAGGAAAAGGACAGTTTTCTTTAATCTTTTATCTTCTCAGTAAAACTAAATTATAAAAAGTAATTCCTTTGGTATACGATAGTAGTTTAGAAACAGACACATCCTATACATTAAAATGAAAACATTTTCTCCATTAAAATGAAAATTTAAAAAAAGATTGATTAAAATGTAATAATGAATAGGAAACCGATTAATCTAAAAACATGTTTAGGATTCAAGCTTTCAACTGGTCTGTTGTTATATGAGAGAAAAGAGAAAATCTTGTATTTATACAATACCTTTTTTTATGAGGACCCTGGAGGTTGAATCTGGTTTTATAACACCAATGGGGTGTGTCATCTTTGAGTCTCACTAGCCACAGTGGCAACTAAGTAGACTGGACACATGTTCTTTTGTCCTCACAGTCATACACTGATGTCACTTGACTAATGTTCTCCAAAACTTCTCTAGGGCTTACTTAATCTCTCCAATACTTAATTTATACCCCTTAAGAAGACCTTCCAATTTATACTTTTCTCTAAATTTATTTATTCTATATCTCCAATTATGTAACCCATGGCACAACTTCTGTAGAATCTTCCCTATCATCTAGTCACTCAGTGCGTATTTATTGAGTACCACTATACCACAGCCACTAAGCAGGGTGGTGGAGATCACAGATGAGCTAGACATGGTATCTGCCATCTAGGATCTCCCAGTCTGAGTGTGGGGAGGAACAGGAATGGAGGCAGAAATATGTGCAAAGCAACAGTTGCAACTAGTGTGATGAATGCTGTGGAAGAGGTAGGTAGAGGATATTCTGGTGGCATAGAGCTGGGCTACCAGTTGCACTGTGGAGGCTCAGGAGTGGATGTCAAGAGCAAGGAACCCTTTAAGTCTTGAAGAATGAGGAAGAACTAAGCAGGTAGATAAAGTGGAGAAGGACATTCCAGGCACAGAGGCAGAAATACCATAGGGAAATCTATACAGGCTGTTGTGACTGGACAGAGGTAGTCCTATACAGGAAATGAGGTTGAAAAGCTATATTTTGAGAAGTTATTAAAAGTTTGTGGCCGGGCACGGTGGCTCACGCCTGTAATCCCAGCACTTTGGGAGGCCGAGGCGGGCGGATCACGAGGTCAGGAGATCGAGACCATCCTGGCTAACACGGTGAAACCCCGTCTCTACTAAAAATACAAAAAATTAGCCGGGCGAGGTGGCGGGCGCCTGTAGTCCCAGCTACGCGGCAGGCTGAGGCAGGAGAATGGCGTGAACCCCAGGGGGCGGAGCCTGCAGTGAGCCGAGAGCCCGCCACTGCACTCCAGCCTGGGCGACAGCGAGACTCGGTCTCAAACAACAACAACAACAACAACAACAACAAAACAAAACAAAAAAAACCTTGTATTCTATGCAATGAATTTTGACCATTATTTTCTACTTCCTATCACAATACCTGTGAATTGAATTAAGCTGAAACAAATACAAAGATCAGCTTGGGAGTGAGCTAGTTAGATTTGAATTTCAGAAAGATGACTCTGGTAGTGATGTGGAGGAGAGAGGAAGGAGGTGAGATTCACGGAAGGAGATATCAGTGTGAAGCTCTTGCAGTTATTCCAGGCAAGACTTGGTGCCCCCATTGAAAGCAGTGTGAATAGGGGTGGACTTGATAAATTATAGGAGGCAAATCTACACAAACTAATTAGTGAATGGATATGAGGGGTGAGGATAAAGGAGGGAGTCACGATAAGCAAAGGTTGGGTTCTACTCAGTACACTGTGTTTCTATTCCCTGAAACAGGGAATGTAGGAAAAGGAGCAAATATGTGCCAGAAGATCATGAGTCCTATTTTGGATGCTTTGAGACCAATGTCTTCCATGAAAACGTGAAATGGCAGAAACCCAGATATTTGCAGACTAATCCAGAATATGAAAATAATGGAATGTATTTGATAAGCAAGTGCTTATTGAATGATTGAATGTGTGTGATTAGCCTTCAATTCATTACATTTTAAATGACTATTATTGACTTGCTATGATTATTTTAAAATCATACAGCACAACAGGAAGCATTCTAATTATTATAAAAGTGAAAAGATAAGTGGCACAAACAACTCTTTTTGTGGCTTTAAATTTTCCAGATAGGTTGATGTGACTATACATAACTCTATACTTAAAGTTGATTAATCTAGATGCTACCATTATTCCTCCTTCCCTCATTGCCCATTTTTTTGAATGTTTTAGTAATAATGGAAGGCTACCAGTGGGCAAATCCAGTAGGTAGAGGAATAACTGGAAGAGAAATGACCAATCAAAAACTTGAAAACTAGGAGTAAGTACAGATTTTAAAAAGTCAGGCCAGGTACGGTAGTTCACACCTATAATCCAAGCACTTTGGGAGGCTAAGGCAGGAGCATTGCTTGAGTTCAGGAGTTTGAGACTAGCCTGGGCAACAGAGTGAGACTCTGTGTCTACAAAAAAATTTAAAAAATAATCAGGCATGGTAGCGCACGCCGGTAGTCCCAGCTACTTGGGAGGCTGAAGTGGGAGGATCACTTGATCCCAGGAGGTTGAGGCTGCAGTGAGCTATGATCATGCCACTGCACTCCAGCTTGGGTAACAGAGATGCCATCTCAAAAACAAAAACAAAAACAAAAAAAAACAAGCCACTGATTGGAGGATTAATCCATTTGTCAAAGTTTGTTCTTGGTGAAGTGTATTACTGGAGGCTTATCAGGATCAATGAGATAGATACAGGATAGTTATATACAGTCCTGGGCTCAAGTGACCCTCCTGCTTCAGCCTTCCAAGTAGCTGGGACTACAGACAAGTGTTACCATGCCTGATTAATTTTTTAATTTTTTTTTTTGTAGACACGGGGTCTCACTATGTTGCCCAGGCTAGTCTCAAACTCCTGCTTTATGTTCTTGATGGTTCCCCAGAAAGCCTTTCTAGGTGTTGGGGCTATAATTTCAGCAGAATCAAGTCCCATGTAAAATGTAATCTGGACATGAAGGGTAATGTCCCCTAAGACTACCTTAGAAGTCTTCACTCTGGAGAATGAAGATTCTCAAGGGATACCTGGCCCTTTGGTAAAACGCAGCATTGATGTCTTTAGCTTTCTGTCCATTGGCCATAGTTTGCCCAATAACACTAGTGGCCTTTGTCATTGAAGCTGTACAAGGTAGTGGTCTCCTGGATCTCTCATTTATATCCTTGTAATGGCAGTGGAGATAAAATGTAGGTAGAATTCTTCCC
This sequence comes from Homo sapiens, assembly GCF_000001405.40. Taxonomy (NCBI): domain Eukaryota; kingdom Metazoa; phylum Chordata; class Mammalia; order Primates; family Hominidae; genus Homo; species Homo sapiens. The sequence continues at coordinate 32,991,546 of NC_000014.9, forward strand.
CCTGGCTCTCCAAAACAATACAAATAACACATGTAATTCATTTAATGACTAGATAACAATGAATATCAGTGACAGTTATTTTACTGTCCGTCTCTTAATTTGCATCATTTAGATCATAACCCATGATTAGTTTAAAGCGATTTGGATTATAAATGCTATCCCATACTTTCAACATTTGAAAATATCATTCAGGGTTGGTTAAAAAAATATGATTGCACCTCCCTTTGGGCCTCACAGTAAGGCATTCGTTGCCTTGGTAATTTGACTGTGTCTGGTGTAGGGTCTGTCACTCAGCTTTGCCAACTCAGAAGTCTGATGTTGTCAGCACTCAGAGGGCAGATCCGTCTCTCTCGGGTGAACTCACATTAACTACATTCATGAGGCTAATAAAACCAGAATGCCAAATTATTCGCTTACCATTAGAAATACAATCACACAGATGGAATGCTTGTCTTAGCAAGACTCAAACATTCTTTTTCAAAATGAAGAGCCAGATTACACTTAGAAGGGGCCCAGTGAGCCTGGAGTCAGAATGGGGGAGTTGGAGGAATCAAACTGTGATGGCCTGATGCTGCCATCTGCACATGGACTGGTCAGTAAACTGGACTCCTAAAAGTCTGTTAACCAAAGCTGCTCCTCCATGGAGAATGGTAGGGAAGGGCACATCCCACATTTGTGTCTGTTGCTCTCATTTTCTAGGTGGTACCTGTGGTTAATGAATATGTTTTCTACCATATTATTTCTTTAGGTCATTAGGTAGTAAATTTTGATGGTTTGGAAGCCATTCTGTTTTCTTAAGATGACTTTGCCTATTTCTGTTCCGATATGTTCTAGTTATGGTAGAAATTTCATAGGTATTTAATTTCCAGGTATTTGGGGTAGGCACTGCCTAGCACCCAGGTACAGGTAGTGTCTAGACCTGAGGTAGTGGGGCATGAGCAACTAAGGCTGATTCTCTGCTTGTCCCTGGCCTAGAAACCACACTTGTCCTAGAGCCTGGCATAAGGCTGAATGACAGGTAAGTTGCTGTAGTTATTGATGTTTTGGAAGTGTAGGAGAAAGTAAGTAATCAGGGAGTATAGTGACCATATTTTCTGAGGTAAAAAGACACAAGCTAGCTTATATCTTCATGTGAAGATACTAAATATTACCCTTATTGAAAACATTATAGGAAACATACATAAACTCATGATTAAATTTAGAATGGAGAGAATTGAGTCAAAGATGACTCCAAAGTTTTACGTAACAAGAAGAATGGTAATATGAATAGTCAAAATAGGAAGACCGTGATATGGAGCTGGTTTGGCAAGGAAAATTATGGTCTCTCGGCAGGGTGTGGTGGCTCACGCTTGTAATCCCAGCACTTTGGGAGGCCAAGGCAGGTGAATCACCTGAGGTCAGAAGTTCAAGACCAGACTGGCCAACATGGTGAAACCCTGTCTCTACTAAAAATACAAAAAATTAGCTGGGTGTGGTCTCAGGCACCTGTTGCTACTTGGGAGGCTGAGGCAGGAGAATATCTTGAACCCGGGCAGTGGAGGTTGCAGTGAGCCTAGATTGTACCATTGCACTCCACCTGGGCAACAAGAGTGAAACTTCGTCTCAAAAAAAAAAAAAAAAGGGAAAATGGTGGTCTCTTGAGACTATGCTGCATTTGATTGATGTTGCTGTTAAAGTAAAAATGTCCATGGGCCCTTAAAGCAAGAACGGGAGCTGTGTGAGGACAGGGATAAATATGTAGGTTTGGGACTGACCACTTTTAGAGGTTTGGGAGTAGGAAGAACAGGAGACTCCAGGAAGGAAATATGAAATAAACTTTTAAGGAGGCAGTTGAAAGCAGGGGCAGGAAATCCTAAGAGGTGAGACATTCGAGAGGGAAATATAATCAAATACAATCAAATTCCTTCCTTTGTGTAGGGACAGAAGATCTAAGGTGGTGAGAAATTGAGGAGAAAATTATAAGCAAATGCGCAAAGTGAAAAGAAGATTTTAGACCTAGAAATGACCACTGAATTTGATGACAGTGTCATATATGGCAAAAGATTCATTTATTAATATTAACCATTTTGTATTTTTATATTCAAATAACTAAGGGTTGTTTTCCATTTGTCAGGCAGAAGTGCTGGGCTTTACTGACAGATTATGGTTTTTATTTCCCACAGTAAATTAAGCATTCTTTCCAATGAATTTTTATGGAAATTGATTTTAATTTTGAATGAAGGTGAAGTTAGTTTAAGAAAATGGAAAAAAAATAAGATATTGTTACCTTTTAAAAGACCGATATATCTTCATGGTTCTGTAGATATAGTCAAATTTTGATCAATAAAATGGTAGCATGAAAATCTTTCCAGGTCTTTTTGGCACTCTCACATGCTCAGTTTAATAAAGCACTTTTGTTTACATAAACAGGATCTTAGCTTATCTAGCCTGGAAGGAATTTGAAGAGGAGGATTTTTAAGTCAAATTAATTACCTTCTGCCCCAGGGAAAGGGAACCAATAAATATGCAGAGATATCATCCTTTGAGTTTTGTAGGTTAAAAGGTGATAGAGCAGCTGGTGTTTTCTGGGGGAGCTGGAGGAAGGGGGTATAGATGATGGACTGTGATAGGAAGTTATTTGTTACTTTGTTTGAAATACTATATTATAAATTCCATGAATACTTTAAATGTGCAAGTGTGCTTAATGTACACTATTGAGAACAAAATGTAAATGGTTTGGGCATTCTATGGTACTTCACTGTTCTGTTACAGTGAATACTTGCCAACTGACTTCCTGTATATTAAATTAATATCCTGTTAACAAAAATTATGACAAGTGAATACTACTTATACTTCTGTCATTTCAGCAAAAGACAGAAATAATATATCAAAATGAAAATAACATACTGAACTTTTGTAAATTTTAGATTAGAGCCCCAAATTTTTTTTTCATGATGGATGTTAATTTAAATGAATAAAAATGATTTTATGTAAAGAGAAGCTAATCTTTGATGCAGGTTGCAAGATAACTGCTTGCTACTGGGAACTTAAATTAAAAAAAAAAATTGGATAGGCTCGCCATTCTAGTTTTTTGTTTGTTTGTTTGTTTTTGTTTTTTTTTTTTTGAGACAGAGTCTCACTCCATTGCTTAGGCTGTAGTGCAGTGGCATGATCTCAGCTCACTGTAACCTCCACCTCCCAGGTTCAAGCAATTCTCCTGCCTTGGCCTCCCAAGTAGCTGGGATTACAGGCATGTGCCACCATACTCAGCTAATTTTTGTATTTTCAGTAGAGATGGGATTTCGCCATGTTGGCCAGGCTGGTCTCGAACTCCTGACCTCAGGTGATCCACCCGCCTTGGCCTTCCAAAGTGCTGGGATTACAGGCATGAGCCACTGCACCCAGCCCATTCTAGTATTTCTATTTTAAATATTTAAGCACTTTGAGTTCCTTGAATCAAGATTCTGTCTTTGGAGCAATTGTTATTTCACTAAAGAAACAAGTGGCTCTCGGGAAATGTTATAAAGAAGACAGGAAAGAAAGAGGACTGTTTTAGTAGGAAACTGAAGCTGGGCAGCTCAGCACAGAAAAAGGAATATGGGCTCAAACCCTCATCCGTTGACCAGAATTCTTGATGACCCATTGGACATCTTTAGTGGATAATTCAGCTCTTCCAAATCAGCCCATCCAACTCCCTCCCTTCAGTAGGGATTTATCCTTCTTGTTCTGTAACCTAGTTAATGGTCAAACCATCCATCCAGTTACTTAAGCCAGAAGCCTGGGAATCGTGTTTGGCTCTTCCTTACATGGTATTTCTGCCTCCTATTTGCCCCATCATTGTGCCTACTTCTCTGATTCCCACCATGGTAGTCCTGGCTGAGGCCCTCTCATCTTTCTTCCAGATAACCAGAACAGCTTCTTAACTGCCTTGTTCATTCCATGGGATGGCCTCTTTAAAAGCTTCCACTGGTGGAAATGTGATATGGTTTGGTTCTGTGTCCCCACCCAAATCTCATCTTGTAAGTCTCACAATTCCCATGTATTGTGGGAGATGATTTAAACATGGGGGCAGGTCTTTGCCATGCTGTTCTTGTGATAGCAAATGAGTCTCACAGGATCTGATGGTTTTAAAAGTGGGAGTTTCTCTGTACAGGCTTTCTCTTTTCCTGCTGCCATCCATGTAAGATGTGACTTGCTCCTCCTTGCCTTCTATCATGATTGTGAGGCTTCTCCAGCCATGTGGAACTGTGAGTTCTCCATTAAACCTCTTTCCTTTGTAAATTGTCCAGTCGGGTATATCTTTATCAGCAGTGTGAAAATGGACTAATACAGTAAATTGGTACCAGTAGAGTGGGGTGTTGCTGAAAAGATACCTGAAATTGTGGAAGTGACTTTGGAGCTGGGTAACAGGCAGAACAATTTGGAGGGCTCAGAAGAAGACAGGAAAATGTGGGAAAGTTTGGAACTTCCTAGAGACTTGTTAAATGGCTTTGATCAAAAGCCTGATAGCAATATGTACAATTAAGGTCCAGGCTGAGGTGGTCTCAAATGGAGATGAGGAACTTTTTGGGAACTGGAGCAAAGGTGACTCTTGTTATGTTTTAGCAAAGAGACTGGTGGCATTTTGCCCCTGCCCTAGAGGTTTGTAATTTGAACTTGAAGGAGATGATTTAGGGTATCTAGCAGAAGAAATTTCTAAGCAGAAAGCATTCAATAGGTGACTTGGGTGCTTTTAAATGCATTCAGTTTTATAAGGAAAAAAGAGTATAAAAGTTCAGAAAATTTGCAACTGGATAATGTGATAGAAGAGAAAATCCCATTTTCTGAGGAGAAATTCAAGCTGGCTGCAGAAATTTGCATAAATAACGAGGAACAAAATGTTAATCCCAAGACAATGGGGAAAATGTATCTAGGGCATGTCAGAACCCTTCACAGCAGCCCATCCCATCACAGGCCCAGAGGCCTAGGAGGAAAAACTGGTTTTGTGAGCCGGGCCCCGGGTCCCTGTGCTGTGTGCAGCCTTGGGATGTGGTGCCCTGTATCCCAGCCACTCCCACAGTGGCTGAAAGGGGCCAGTGTAGAGCTCAGGCCATGGCTTCAGAGGGTGCAAGCCTCAAGCCTTGGCAGCTTGCATGTGGTGTTGAGCCTGCCAGTCCACAGAAGTCAAGAATTGAGGTTTGGGAATCTCCATCTAGATTTCAGAGGATATATGGAAATGCCTTGAAGTCCAGGCAGAAGTTTGCTGCAGGGGCAGAGTTCTCATGGAGAACCTCTGCTAGGGCAGTGGGTATGGGAAATGTGGGGTCGGGGCTCCCACACAGAGTTGATACTAGGGCACTGCCTAATGGAGCTTTGAGGAGAGGGCCACCATCCTCCAGACGCCGGAATGGTAGATCCACCAACAGCTTGCACCGTGTATCGGGAAAAGCCACAGACACTCAATGCCAGCCCATGAAAGCAGCTAGGAGGGAGGCTGTACCCTGCAAAGCAACAGGGGTGGAGTTGCCCAAGACCATGGGAACCCACCTCATGCATTAGCATGACCTGGATGTGAGACATGGAGTCAAAGGAGATCATTTTGGAGCTGTTAGATTTGACTGCCCTGCTGGATTTCAGACGTGCATGGGGCCTGTAGCCCCTTTGTTTTGGCCAATTTCTCCCATTTGGAATAGCTGTATTTACCTAGTGCCTGTACCTCCATTGTTTCTAGGAAGTAACTAACTTGCTTTTGATTTTACAGGCTTGTAGGTGGAATGGGCTTGCCTTGTCTCAGATGAGACTTTGGACTGTGGACTTTTGAGTTAATGCTGAAATGAGTTGAGACTTTGGGGGACTATTGGGAAGGCATGATTGGTTTTGAAATGTGAAGATAGGAGATTTGGGAGGGACCGGGGTGAAATGATATGGTTTCGTCCTGTGTCCCTCACCCAAGTCTCATGTTGCAAGTCCCACAATTCCCACGTATTGTTAGAGGTGATTGAATAATGGGGGTGGGTCTTTCCTGTGCTGTTCTTGGGATAGTGAATGGGTCTCATGAGATCTGATGGTTTTAAAAACGGGAGTTTCTCTGCACAAGCTCTCTCTTTTCCTGCTGCCATCCATGTAAGATGTGACTGGCGGCTGGGCGCAGTGGCTCACGCCTGTAATCCCAGCACTTTGGGAGGCCGAGTTGGGTGGATCACGAGGTCAGGAGATGGAGACCATCCTGGCTAACACGGTGAAACCCCGTCTCTACTAAAAAAAAAAAAAAAAAAAGATGTGACTTGCTCCTCCTTGCCTTCCACCATGATTGTGAGGCTTCCCTGGCCACGTGGAACTGTGAGTTCTCCATTAAACCTCTTTCCTTTGTAAATTCCCTAGTCTCGCGTATGTCTTTATCAGCAGCATGAAAGCAAACTAGTTCAAAATGTAAAGTAGTTCAGCCACTATGGAAAACAGTTCTGTGGTTTGTCAAAAAGTTAAACATAGAATTACCTTCGTACCCAGAAATTCCACTTCTTGGTATATACCCGAAATATTTGAAAATGGGTACTCAAATAAGAACATGCTCATGCATGTTCATAGCAGCACTGTTTACAATAGCCACAAGGCAAAAACAGCCCAAATGCTCATCAACAGATGATTAGAAAAAGAAATTGTGTTATAAATGTACACTGGAATATTATTCAGCAATAAAAAGGTATGAAGTACTGATACATGTACCAGTGTGGATGAACCTCGAAACCACGCTAAGTGAAAGAAGCCAGAAACAAAAGGTCACATATGCTATGATTTCATTTATATGAAATATTCAGAATAGGTAAATCTATACAGACAGAACACATATTGGTGGTTACCAGGTGATGGGAGAAGCAGGAAATGGGAGCAAGTGCTTAATGGGTATGGGGTTTTTTTTTGGGGTGATGAAACTATTTTGGAATTAGATAGAGGTAGTGGTTTCACATCTCTTTCAGTAAATGCCACTGAATTGTTCACTTTAAAATGATTAATGTTGTATCATGTGAATTTCACTTCAATTAAAACAATTCAACAAACTTTCACTGGCTCCCCCTTGTGTACAGAATGAGGCTCCAGTTTCCCCAGCTTCCTATAGGAGACCTTCACAATCCACCTGCAACCTAATTTCCCATTTCCTGTCCTGCTTTTCCTTCCCCTGTAGTTTCCTCTCACCCATAGGGGAATAGTTGCTGTTGCCAAAACACTTTGTTATTGTTGTTGTTTAATCCTTCTCTACTTGGGCTGATGTTCTTCTTCCTGTCTTCTTTCTTGGTGAAGAACAGTAGTGCTGGCTCCTCTATGAAGTGCATGCCCCTGCCTTGCCCCTCCCCAGGCAGTAGCATTCTTTCTTGGCCTCCTCCCGTTGCTCACCCTTGCTCTGGAGGCCTCCTCAAAGCCCCTTCGCACTGTGCTGAGGGTTGTGGTGGCCCTGCCTCTTCCCATCATCACACTGTGTGCTTCATCAGGGCTGGAACCACATCATATTCATGTTTCTATTCCTCATGCCCAGTACATGCCAGGGAACATAGTGGGTACTCAAAATTTGCTTTTAAACAGTCATTTAGTTTTTTGAATAGCAATTTTTGCTTCTTTAATTTCAGCTGTTGATTGTGGTAAAAAAATTCAGTTGAACTTCTTTTCTATATCTTGATTTACAGTAGGAGTACTGTGAGGAATTAGATGGGTATTATTATAAATGTTATATTCCGGCCGGGTGCGGTGGCTCATGCCTGTAATCCCAGCCCTTTGGGAGGCCAAGGTGGGCAGATCACAAGGTCAGGAGATTGAGACCATCCTGGCTAACACGGTGAAACCCCATCTCTACTAAAAATACAAAAAATTGGCTAGGCGTGGTGGCAGGTGCCTGTAGTCCCAGCTACTCGGGAGGCTGAGGCAGGAGAATGGTGTGAACCCGGGAGGCAGAGCTTGCAGTGAGCAGAGATCACACCACTGCACTCCAGCCTGGGTGACAGTATGAGATTCTATCTCAAAAAAAAAAAATAAAAGTTATATTCCTTGTCTAACACAGTTGCATTTTCTAAATGATTACCCAGTCTGTATTCCCCCACTGAAGTGTTTTTATTTTTAGTAATTACATGTATATTTTTCTAATTATTTCCTTTAATATTTTGGAGGAAAATAATTTCAACATAAGCTTCTTACCTTTAGTAAAGATGCTCCAAAAATTATATATAGCCCGGGGAAAAATCTGTTAGTGATGTATTTTCTTAGACCCAGTTATACTTACTCTTACATGTTTTTTTCCCCCTTAAGATTGTTTAACTTGGGTTTCTGTTGCTTGTAATAAAAAATATCCTGAATATTATAACTTAGGATGTACAAGTGTTGCATAGACTCTGGAGATATGAAAAGGAAAAAGATTCAGTCCTTGTCTCCAAGGTATTTGTGGTGAGTTGTGATGAAGTGGACAGAAAGGCTCACAATTGCCACATAGTATGATAATGCTACAATTGACATTTATACAAAATGACCTAGTACACAAAGGAGAGAACCCTTCACTCTGCTGGGGGAATAGAGAATGGTAGCACCATGCCATATGGAGTTGAGTTTCTAAGAAGGAGTTGCTGGCAACAGGATTTAATGGTGCCTGGAGAGTGTCAACAGCCTCTTAAATAAAATGTTTTATTTTTATTTTTATTTTTATTTTGCCAGTTGTTGCCCAGGTCACATAAGTGTAAACTAATTTTGATCAGTTTGAACTTGCTTGCTACCAAGTCTAGTAGAGACCTGTTTTAATGACTATTGCCAAAATGTGATTTACTAGAAAGTATTTCAGGCTCAAATGCCGACTAAGTGTGGCAGGTTGTTTAGCCACTGTGTTTCTCCATACTGCATTATATTTGATGGCCAAAATTAACTCTGTGGGTCAGCTCACTCCCTGATGTGCTGGATAAACCAGGGTGCCACTGCAAGACTCTGCATGTATTTATGTTATAGACACAGATTTTGTGAGTTGTTATGTATCTGGTGCAAGTATATGAGTAGAAGTTTGAACTTCAATTAGTTGGGTTTATGAAGCACTGACAGCGTAGGGCAATATATGAGGCATGTAGGAAATTACAAAGGAAATAGGAAACACAATCTTTGTTCATATTGAGTTTATAATCTAATGGAACAAATATAAATGGAGATACATGATAACAGATAAAATAAACATAAAAACATAGTCATAACCAGTTACAGATGGATAGAGATATTTGCACAAGTGCTATGGAGTTGGGAAAATTATTGCAAGGACTATTGTCAGCTGGGGTAAGTCAGAAACTGTTTTAATACAGGATGTAAAACTTATGCAAAAATATTAAGGCCAGGAAGGACAAGGATTAGTGTGGGGGAAATCATTTTAGGAAGTAAGAATGAAATGAAAATACAGAGGGAGCAGGCAGGCTATTGTAGATGACAATAACGTTAGCTGGAAAAGCTGAGTATTTTTAGGACATACGTTTCTTTTGGAAAAGCAGCTATACTAGAGTAGGCTAACTGCTGTAACAATCAGTGCCAAGTATCGGTGACTTAATAAAATCAAAGGTTACTTTTTTACATCGGATCCAATGGGAATCTTTGTGTGTGTGTGTCTCCATTCTACGCAGTTATTCAGGGATGCAGGTTTGTAATAGCTACATTCTAGGTTCTAGGAGTCTTCCTGTAGGTTCTAAGAACCTCTTTCATTCAGCTGGTGAAATGGACAGAAAATGGAGGATAATCTGTGGGAGGTATATATGGGGCCAGCTTGGAAGTAACTCTACCCACATTCTACTGACCAGAACTCAGTCTTGTGTCCCCACCTCCATGCAAGAGCCTGGGAAAGGTAATGTAGGTGGGTGCCTCTGAGGAAAAAGGCATGGGCTTTGGGGGACACATCATCTCTTGCCTTCACTTTTTTGCTAGTATCTTATGAATCTAGAGCACGTCCTTCTTTTTCACCTGAAATTTAGGTGATTTGAGTCTCCAATTTTCCTATGGAGCTTACGTGCCCTGCCGTCACCTCACACTCACCACTCTCTCCTTTCCTAGCTTCATTATTCATTATTTTTTATCAACAGTCTCTTCATTCTTGTATTACCTTAGCACGTACCTTGCAGTTATGGTTAGCAGTGTTCCTTCAGGATGCCTCTTCAGCCTGTTCTTTCTTTTCTTCTTCCATCTGCACACACTCTTGATAGTGACCTTATCTCCTAATGATGGCATTGGTATAGTAAGTCCCTACCTAGAACTCCACCCCGAATATTGCTGCTACATAAATAATCATTTTCTTCTTGCTCCATTCTCATTTAGTAATCTCTTTTCCTCCCTTTTGTGTGAGAATGAATTCCAGATTCCTCAGCCTGTACCTAAAGAATCACTGTTCCCTAGCCTCACCTCCTTCCTACCCTCATTTCTGACAGCTAATCACAGGAAGGCTCTACTCCAGGCAGACTGGTCACAGCAGTCTCTGAATTCAAAGGATGCTAATTCTGACCCTGGAGAATGTATTATTTTGTACATTTCTGGAGCAAGTCTCAGCTCATGTCATGTATAACTCATGAAACCTCACACACAAACACATTGTCTCCCAGTAATACTTCACTTGTGTGTTTCATTCACTTCTCTGGGTGCTTAGACTTATCTAGCCTCGTTCTGCTATAAAAATGTTTGTGTGCATGTTTTGTTTCTTCATGTCGATAGTTAAGATCCATAAGAGCAGGGACTATGTCATATATCTCATAATTTCCCACAGAGCCTAGCATGTAACTAGGCACACAATGATTACTCAACAAATACTTGCTGAATAAATGTATTGGATGGAGATGAAGACACTTAGGTGTAGAGATTTGGATAGGTGTTTTCATTTGATTCAAGAGGCAATTGGGAGCCATTGATGGCTTTTGAGAACAGGAATAAAAAATTATTCAGGGAAGGGAATTCTTATGGTTGTTTGTAGGATCCTGTCAAGTTGCAAATAGACAAATACATGTTAGAGATGGAGTCAAAGCAAGGAGCCTGCTTTTTTCAGACAGCGAAGTGGCCCTGTGCCCTACAGAATTAGAGAAGGTGGAAGTCTGAGGCCAGAGATTTCTGATAGGCTTTTGAGTTGTGAAACGTAGGATATAGAAGTAAATGATAGGACTTACTGATACCTGGAGACAAAGAAATAGGTGGCTTCCACAAATTCTGATAAATGTAGTATTGATGGTAGCAAATTGGGAATGAATGATGATTTGAATGACTGTAATGTGTTGATTTAATAGATGTTCAGGTTTAGGATGAAACAGGATTTCAGATGCAGATGTACTACAGACATTGGGAGGTTGGTATGTTTGTAAGAGCTCTGATTGCAGAGTTAGGAGACCAGTGATCTAATCCCAACTTTGTTGTTGTTGGGGTTTGTGACCTTGGGCAAGTCATTCACACTCTCTGTATATTATTGTGTGAGTTAGGCTAGAGCATCTTCATGGGGCAGATCATTGAGAGTCTCCCTGTATAGGCAAGCATCATAGCAACTTGAGAGTTTTAATACAAATGATGATTTCATTCGTAATTTTTGTTTCTTTTTTTTTTTTCGCAGAATTGAGGACAAACATTTCCTTACCTTTCTTGCTATAATTATATTTCAGTGTTAGCCCTTTTTAATCCCTTTCACCCTTTAACTGCATCCAAAAAATAAATACTTATCAGTTACTGAGATAATGGAATGGAAGCTCAATTATGCTAAAAACTAATGGTTAACACTAACACATAGTAACAGCTTCTTTTGCAGTATTTATTCTCTTGTTGATAAAAAAAAAAATAAGCCCAACGACCCACTGCTGCAGAAAGAATTTAGCTACAAGTTTATCAATTTAAGCAGGCCAACTGCACAACTAAATGCATGTGAAACTTAACAAATCCCTTGGGAAAGCTGACTGTAAGAATTTTCTAGTCTGTGTTGAGTTACTGAGGTGCGACATGGTGGATTGGACTTAATGCGCTAGGCAAGCACAATCAAATAGAGACAGTTTAAGATTTTTTTCTGTGTCCATGAAGGGATCTCTGGTAGGTGTCTAAATGAAGCATTCAGAAAGGACTATAACACCATCATGAGTTATCTTCCCTGAATATTTTGGAAGGTTATTTTGGTTTAGAAGAAATCCAAGTAAGATTTTCACAGTGGAAGCTTTGCAACAGTTGAATGATTTAAGATTATTATGTGATTCATAGGAATAGGGGAAAATACAAAGCATTGTCCCTTACATTTTAATTTTAATTTTCAAGGGAGAAATTCAAGAATAGTGTGTGTGATTTCCTGGACTTACTTCGGGTTAAGGCAGTTTGATATTCTAGTCTTTTAAAGTTGAGCATCAAAACTGGTTTTAAGACCACACTTACCCTGGAATTTCAGAAGAGTTTGACATAAGAAAGGTATTGTAGTAAAGTGGTTGAGTGGGTACGGTCTGGAGTCTCATTACACTGATTTGAATCCTGGTCATAGCACCTATTAACATGTGACTTAGGGCAAATTAGTTAACCACAGTTTTCTAATCTGTAAAATGGGAGTTATGCAATCATTATTAGGGGTGTGTAAAGATTAAATGAATTATTAATAGTGTGAAGCATTTAGAACAGACATGTAGAAAACACTCAAATATTAGCTATGCAACAACTCTAATAATAATTTTTAGTACAGTGTGTGTTGCTTAATCACGGGGATACATTTTAAGAAATACATCATTAGGCTCCTTTGTCATTGTGCAAACGTCATAGAGTACATTTACACAAACCTAGATGATATAGCCTGCTACACACTAGGATATATGGTATAGCCTATTTCTCAAAGCCTACAACACTGTACAGCATGTTATTGTACTGAATATTGTAGGCAGTTGTAACACAATGATAAGTATTTGTGTATCTAAACATAGAAAAGGTCCAGTAAAAATACAGAAAAAAGAAGAGAAATGGTACTCCTGTATAGGGCACTTACTGTGAATGGAGCTTGCAGGACTAGAAGTTGCCCCAGGTGAGTCAGTGAGTGAGTGGTGAGTGAATGTGAAGGCCTAGGGCATTATTGTACATTACTCCAGACTTTATAAACACACTGTTCACTTAGGCTACACTAAATTTATTTTAAAAATATTTTTCTTCAATAATAACCTTAGCTTACTATAACTATTTTACTTTATAAACTTTTGATTTTTAAAAACTTTTTGACTCTTTTGTAATCACAGCTTAAAACATAAATACATTGTACAGGTATACAAAAATACATTTTTCTTTATCTGTATTCCATAAGCTTTTTTCTATTGTAAAAAGTTTTCCTTTTTTTTTTTTTTTTTTTAGTTTTAAAACTCTTTTACTAAAAACTAAGACACAAACCTTCACATTAACGTAGGACTATACGGTATCAAGGTCACTAATACCACTGTCTTCCACCTTCACATCTTGTCCCACTGGAAGGTCTTCAGGGGTAATAACATGCTTGGAGCCGTCATCTCCTATGATAGCAATGTCTTCTTTTGGATACCTCCTGAAGAATCTGCCTGAGGCTGTTTTATAGTTAACTTTTTTTTGTAAGTAGACGGAGTACACTCTAAAATAATTATGAGAAATATAGTATAAGAAATGCCTAAACCAGTAACTTAGTCATTTATTATCATTCTCAAATATTATGTACTATGCATATATCAAATACTGTGTGGGCCAAGGGTTGGACAAGCTTGCTTTACACCATCATCACCACAAACATGTGAGTAACATGTTGCGATGATAGCTACAATGTCAGTAGGTGATAGGAATTTTTTTCAGCTCTATTATAATCTTAGGGTACCACTTACATATATGTGTTCTGCCTTTGACTGAAAATGTCAGTGGCACATGACTATATTGTTATTCTGTGATCACTTAGTGAATCTGTATACTTTGTTGGGAGCACAAGTCCCATCACGTCACAGTTTTTCAGCTGCCCAGTACTCAGCTGATAACAATTAATCTGAGAGGTGGGCTTGAGAGTTGGGTCCCCAGCCCCTGAGATAGCTGGAACCCCAAGCGGACGACATTTTCCACCTAGGGAAGGCATCCTTCTAGAGGAAACTCACTCTGAAATAATCTGTGCTGGAAAATAGAGGAAACCCTTTAGTTTAGAGTCAGACTGGGGTCGAAGGGGGGAGTTGTTCCAAATTTATAGGCAGTGGAAGTCTCAAAGTTGTTAAAGCAACTGCTCCTTGGACGTTACTTGGTGGTTGGGTCCTAAGGATTCAGATAGCTTTCCTCATTTTTTTAAATGTCGGCTTTCATGATAGCACTTGTGAGTCTTCAATCTCACTTTAGACCTTTGAACAAGGATATTCTTTTCAGTTTTTCCTATAACCTGTCCTCTTGATACTGACCTGTGTCCTTATGATTATGACAACGGTCCTTCCACGGAAACTCTGCCCCTAACACTTAACCCTCAACAGCCAAACTTGGAAGCATGTAACTCCCTCCCCATGAGCCAGCTGGCTGACCAGAAGGCGGGGAGCCATTGACATTGACCTCAGCCTCCTCCCCTGACTCGGCACATTGACCACTTCCTTCATCTCCTCTTGCTCTCTGGATCTCTGGAGCCTACTTGTCTCTGGCTCTATTGATTTTTCCAACTCAGTGCTTCCCTGCTTCTCCCTTCAGAACATTCCTAATCAGGACTCTCAAAGAAAAGATAAAGAGGAGGCACTAGAGGAGGCAAAGCTGAAGGGAGAAAGGCTGGGCCTAGAGAGAGTGATCACATAATTTGTGGTTGTGCCTGGGACATTTTGAGGGGAAAGTGGGGGCTGTTCATAATAACACTAGGACAACCTGGTGTAAAGCTGGCTGTCCTGGGCAAACTGGATCCTGCATCCACCCTGGACTTAAGACTTCGGTAGAGAAAAGGATTTATTTTTCCACCCCTCTTCCATATTCTTTCCACACAACAACAGCGCTACCAACAAATTATCGTGCTAATTTTTTGGTGAGTAATTGGCAGGGGGAGGGGTAACCATGGGTTACCACAGCCTGGTCTTCTAAGAGACTAAGCAATCTGGTTACTAAACACATCTAAAAAGTTTAGAAAGTCTGCCAACTGTCAATCAGCAAATAATTGATCAGTGATTATTATTACCATTATTTTTGGCCAAATGCAATGGGTGGACTCATTTCTCTATTCTTTCTCTCACTAGGGGAGAACAAAATAGGATTTTATTGCTTTATATAACTGTTGGGACCCTCTTTATACCTTCCATAACGTTTCATAATGAGAAATGTTGAAAAAACATTTATGTCGGGCAATGACTGGAAGCATTCTTCCTTTTTCCTACAAGCATAACACAACCTGGCAAGCCAAGTTTAAAATAATCAGAACATTTATAATTCTAATAGGAGCAAATTCATCTATGCATGTTTTGGGTCTCCTTGTGTTATTTTAAATAAGTGGTAGAATCTATTAGTAATTAATTTTGTAAACACTAGTTTATTGTACATGAGCATAGAGTAAGCTTGAATTATGACTTTTTTTGTTATCCATTAGCACCTATTTTCCAACTTTAACGTAGATGTCACAGTCAGTGGCAATATTTGATAATAGAGCTTGTCAGTGAATGTTATAATTTTAAGTGTTAATTTAAATAAATGAGGTTCCTATTATAAGTACCCCTTTCTAAGTGTGGATTGTAGGAGCCACAGAATGTGAGGACTGGGAGGGGTCTTAGTAGCGCCCGGCGCAAGCATCCTGGATGCCACAAGGTGCAGGGAAGCCTAGAAGCACGAGTCACTTGGCTTAACTCACTCGTTGCCTAATTCTGTATTTTTGTTCCATATCTCAAATATTACGAAATACTACTAGGCTATAGGAGGTACATCATTTTCTAAAAAATTGTATATATATGTTTTCAAAATGGTGACCTAAATCAGCAGTCAGACTGAGGGATAACTTCCTATTTTAAAGGGAAATCTCTAATTTAATTAAATTACTAAATATTTTGAAAAGTTATGAAGGATCCAAAGCAGATTTGGCTTTATGCTGCATAGTTTCAGTTGTGGAATTCAAAAGAGATATTGTTTTGTTCTGCAGATGTGGAATTTTTGTTTGGTTTTTAGAAGCAAGTGCTACTACATGCTTTACACTTAAAATATAAAGATACTGACCCTTTAACTTATACTTTGTATAAACAAAAGAAAAATTTCAGAGGAAGAATGTTTCATGTTCTAGCATAGGGGTTGGTAAAGTATTAATATTTTGGAAAGGGGACAGATAGTAAATATTTCTGGCTTTGAGGGCCATATGGTCTCTGTCACAACCATTCAGCTCTGAGTAGTCAAAGACAATATGTAAAAGAATGAGTGTGGCTGTGTTCCAATAAAACTTTATTTCCAAAAACAGGCAATGAGTGAGATTAGCCTGTTGGCCAAGGTTGCCAACTCCGGTTCTAGTGTGAGGATAGAGCTCTAAATTCAATATTAACTTAGAGGAAAGCCATAGTTTAAATTTATTCCAGTTAAAGAAGAAAGAAAAAAATATCCTGTATCATATTGTTTACCAAGGAATTGTATGTAATTAGGATGTATACTTAATTAAAATAATTCCTAATAAAATGCTAAGAATGATAGAGAAACACCAGCAGAGATTATTACTGCAACATTATTTATAAAAGCAAGAAAGAGAAACAGCCTAAATGTTCATTGATGGAGAACTGGTTAAATAAATTGTGGAAATCTGCACGGTTAAAAAAAATGAACTACATGTATTATTTTACTGACAAGGAAATTTATCCCCAGCACTATTTCTTGAGGGATAAAAAAGCAAGTTATAGAGTAACATATACAATACAACACTGTTTATGCTAAACAAAAAAGTCACAGAAGAATACAGTATATTTTCTGTAGGTAAAAATATATATTTGTGAATTTATATAAAGAAGCTATAGGGGAGTGCATACCAACTTGATAACAGTGATTATCTCTGAGCAGAGACTGGTCATAGGAGTGTTAGTCAAAGGTCAAAGAGAATGTGAAATCACGAAATTTAAAAAGACCCTAGAGAATGACGTACACAAAAGCTAGACAGACATTTACATTCTGAAGAGTATAAAGAATGAGGACTTATAATTTTTAAGTTTAAGGTTGTAGCACATGGAAGTTATAGTCTTTGTAATTTTGAGGGTTTTATAGGAAATATAAGAAATGAACGTTAGGTAAGAATTCTACCTCCCATAGAATGGGCATGCGATTTATTTATTGCGTAGGCCTTGGATGTACAGAAAATCTTTGAACATTATGAAATTTGAGAAACTCAATAACTTAGCAAAGGTAATAGACTGACCACTGTGGTCAGCAATTTATGAGCCGTATGTCAGTGTTATGGTCAGTCTGGCCTTAGGAATTTATACCTGTGCTTGTGTCACATTTTGATAGGGAAGCTTATTTTGCAACATGCTACCTTCTCAAGTGAAATCTGTGAGGATCTGATGCCAGTGTACCTTAATTTAGCATCATATTGTTTTAAAATGTGACTGTTATAGACTAGCATAGTATGTGAGTCCAGACCCAGACTGGATAACAACGTAAAAATAATCTTGTTTATAGGTGGAGAAGAGGCTCTATTTTCAATCTAGCAAGTATTTCTTGAGGGCCGACTATGGGCTCCTCACTGTATTAGAAAAGTAAATGCTAATAAAAGAAATGTGAATGACAGCTTCTTTCCTGAAAGAGCAAGCCACCTCACTGGGGAATAAGAAGAAATTAAATAAAACCAAAAGACATCATAGTTTTAGACACCAATGCAAGCATCCAGTAGTATGGAAAGCAGATTAGGGGACCAGTGTGGGCTCTAACAGTTGAGGGTCAGCTTCTTGAGAGAATTGTGTCTTGATTTGGGCCTCAATGCAAAGTTTGGATTGATATGGGAAGATGGAAAGGCTGATTTCAGGAGGGAAAGTGATTGCAAGCAATGATGGTGAGGCAGAGAGCATCTTTAGGCATCTATTTGGAAGAAGAGCCTAATGTAGTAATGATGACGGTGGCAACAATAATGACATTAACACTGGTGCTGGTGTAATGGAAGCATGAGCAGTAGCATAAATAGTGGTAGTAGTAATACTAGAGTCTTGTTTTTTCACCAAGAGTTTTATGCCAGGCAAGATGCTAAGTGTTTCACACCCTTATCTTTTCTGTCTCACTAAGTCCAAGGCCATAGTACCACTTTTTCTTCATTATAAAGGTGAGGAACCTAGGTTTAGAGAGATCACATAACTGGCCAAGAACATGTGGCTGGTGAGTGCCAAAGCAGGTATGTAAACACTTTCTGTCTAACTCCAGAGCCCCAAACCTCCAACACCAAGCAGGCGCAGACAAGACCAACCATAGTCTAGTGCTGGTTCTGACACTAAGGAACCCCTTGCCTCATTTTCCTTCACCATAAAATAAAGGCACTGGACAGTGTAATCTTCAAGATTCATTGCATTCGTTCCACGATTCAGTTACTTCCACAGAGAACAGGGCTAATAATTGTACTGTGTGGATTGGATGAGACAATGAGATAATGCATGGAACAGTGTCAGGCAAACAGTAGACATTCAATAAAATTTTAGAGTCTAGTAAATAAAATGTTATCATCTCATCATCAAACAGCCAGTTTAATTAATTGCCTCAACATTTATTCTACTGGCTACACCCTAAACTCTGGATGAAGGAGATGTTGTATAGTTAGCATGAACCTCTCTGTTTACATCCAGGGTGGAGAACGTCCCTACAGATGTGGGTCATAACCAGGGGGATAGGTTGTGAGAGATCCTCTTTTTCATTGAAATGTAACTGCATACCTATTATATTTGGCAGTAGCATTCTAAAAGTACCAACAAATACAGTTTCAATAGTCAAAGTGAGAAGTGGACAAGCCAGTTCTCCTTCACACTAACTTTGAGCCAATCTATGTAAGAAGGTACATACTTACAAATACAATAAGCTGTCACTTAATGTCATTGATAAGTTCTTGGAAGCTGTAAGCAAAATGATATATAATGATAACAATTTTACCATAGGCTAATTGATATAAAATTGGCATAAATAAGAATTAAGTTCCTATGAGATATTTCTGGTTGCAAAAACATCACCAAGCTTCTAAATAAAGACTGCAGACTCTTCTAATATTAAACATTGAAGTAGGCTGGGCATAGTGGCTCACGCCTGTAATTTCAGTGCTTTGGCAGGCCAAGGAGAGATAATCACTTGGGGTCAGGAGTTTCAAGACCAGCCTGGGCAAAAATAAATAAATAAATAAATAACTGGGAGTAGTGGCATGCACCTGTAGTCCCAGCTACTTGGGAGGCTGAAGCGGGGGGATCGCTTGTGTCCAGGAGTTTGAGGCTGCAGTGAGCTAGGATTATGCCACTGTACTCCAGCCTGGGTGAGTGACAGAGCCAGAACCTGTCTCAAAAAAAAAAAAAAAAAGAAAAGAAAAACATTGACATAAATGTGAGCTCTAAATACATTTAAGAAAGACTAATAATTATTTTTGAAACTTTTGTTGAATTTGTGAGTAATGGCAGTTACTGTGGTGTTGGGTTAAATCGAGGAATAGATGTTTGCAAAAGTGAAACTTGTAAGAGGCACTTTCAACCATCATGCAGTTCAAAAACAATAACTGATGTGGTGGCACACTGAGCACTTTTGTACTGCATCATTTTTCACCATGCATTTGTATGATTATTGTATACTTTTAAATTTTTATTTGACAATAATTTGTATCCATTCATTTTCCAACCCGCTTATTCAAATTCAGGGTTATGAGTGGCCAGAGCCTATCCTGGCAGCTCCACTCAGGGTGCAATGTGGGGACCAGCCCTGGAGAGGACATCATCCCATCACAGGGCACATTCACACACCCACACTCACTCAGACTGAGACGATGTAGACATGCCAGCAGGTCACTTAATGTGCACAGCCTTGGGATATGGAAGGAAATCAGAGAACCTGGAGAAAACCCACAGAGACTTGTGGAGAACATTGAAAACTCCACACAGACAGTGGCCCTGGCTAGAAATCAGTTTTTTTTTTTCCTCATCAATGTTATAAGGAAATGAGGTTGAACAAAATGACATTGTTGGAGGACCTGCTGTAATTCATAAGAAATCAGCAATTTCTAAAGCAGAGTCCTTCATTTCCTGCTTGTTTTTCCATTGTCTTTAGTCTTTATGTGCTACTTACACTTCGAAAATAATTTAATTATAAACCAGATATGCTTTTTCCTTCCCTTCCTTGTTTTTGCTTTTAGTGCCTTTTTCTCCACTTTGGTGTTGCTTCTAATTGCAGGCTGTGAGAATTGAGATGGGCTGCCCAAGGTGTACTCTTGGTTTGTGGCAGACATGAATAAAAAATTCAGGTTTCGAAAGGCCAGGGTTCATGTGCTTTTTTTTATACCTCACAAAGACTTTTTTCTTTTCTTTCTTTTTTCTTCTTCTTCCTTTCCCCCCTTAGCAATAGACCTGTTTCTCCATATAAAATCGTACACAGGAGCCCAGCATGTACAACAGATGGAAGTGGTGCTGCTCAGGTTGAGTAAGGCCTGGGGCTGTGCCTGCCTTCCCTTCCTCTCTCCAGCTTGTGTCCTCCCTCCAGCATCCAGGCCTCTGCACAGAACAATTAAAAACAGCCTTGCCCTATCCCTTATAATTTCACTAATGATACAGGAGCACTGTGAGTTTTATCACACTTGTTACAGGTTTTAACTTTTTTTCTCTTCTCAAGTGGTAGGGGTGTAGAGTGGAAGAGAATTGAGACCCCTACTTGCACAAAACAAAGTTTTTAGTTGCTATCTACTTCAAATATTCAATTTCTAATATTGGCTGATTATTGCAATGAAGGCATGTATTGGTGGATGTAACCAAAGTTTAAAAGAACTAATAACTTGCTAAATAGCGGGAACCATGTTTTTTGTTTTCTGTCTTTTAACTTAGAGTTTCACTTTTCAGCTTTAGACCCTATGAGAATCTTCAAATTAAATGGTGTCAGGAAAAGTATATAATGTTTTCAGCCTCAAAGTCATATCTTTTTTTTTTTTTTTAGATGGAGTCTCGCTCTCTCGCCTGGGCTGGAGTACAGTGGCGCGATCTCGGCTCACTGCAACCTCCGCCTCCCGGGTTCAAGCGATTCTCCTGCCTCAGCCTCCCAAGTAGCTGGGATTACAGGCGCCCGCCACCACACATGGCTAATTTTTTGTATTTTTAGTAGAGACGGAGTTTCACTGTGTTCCCCAGGCTGGTCTCGAACTACTGAGCTCAGGCAATCCACCCGCTTCTGCCTCCCAAAGTGCTAGGATTACAGGCGTGAGCCACAGCGCCCGGCCCAAAGTCGTATCTTTTGATTAACATGTTTATATATAAACAGTGGCAAAGCATGAAAGAGAATTCACTGTCCAGATTTGTTGATTAGTATCATGAGTAGTGGAATCTGAGCGTTCTTGGGGACTGAGAAAGCAGTGGGAATAGATGGGTTTTCTGACTGAAAATGTTCCATACCCTTGTGTGAGAGCAAATCCAAACAGTCTTCTCCACTGGACCTTTGTCTGCTTGCTAATGAGATATACTGATTAAATGAGTAAAATAAGTCAGAAAAAGTATTGTATTCTTCACTCAGTTTCTCCATACCCAAAGAATACATGCAGATCAGAGTAGATGGTTTCATCATACAACAAATGAGAATGTTGGCTGTTATTTCATAAATACATGGATCTCTTTATCCCTAGAGGTTGTCTTGTCTATTTCTCCAGTTATTAAAAAGGTTTACAGCAGATTCTCTTATAAAGGTTTTAAAATGATCCAGACTTAGCATTTCTATTAAAAGAAAAAGTCTGAAATGGAATTTGGAATCATGTGTTTTGGCTCATTTTAATTAGTTTAAGATAATGAGTTTAAAGGAAAATTTACATTTTGGATAGTTTTACTATCTCCCTTTTTTGATTTTAAATGTAGTACATACTTATTGTATGCCACACAGTGTACAGAAATGTAAAGACAAAAACCTGTGACCTCACTTCACAGAAATATAACCATTTAAAAAAATTTGGTGATAATCTTGTAAACTTTTTATACATCTATACATTTAAAATATATTTTACTGTACACACTGATCTTACTATGCTTTTAAAAAGATTAATAATGTATTTTAGAAATCTTTACATCAACATTTTCTATAGTTGCACATGATTTAACTGCACATTATTTTATGTAAGCAGTTCCTTATTAATGGATGTTTAATCTGATTTCAGTATTTTGTTTTTATAAACAATGCTGTGGATATCTTTCTGCATTTGGGTATGTGTCAGTTACTAGATTTGTTAGGGTAAATTTAGACAGGTGGAATATGCATTTAAATTTGGATAAATATTGTCAAACCGCTCTCCAGAATTTTTGTCATTTTCTTTTCATGTCAGTAACAACATGGAAATGTCACAATAAAATAAGCTGAAAAAAGAAATAAAACTATTTCCACTTTTCTATATATGTCCAAGTGAACAACAAAAATAATTTAGTCTAAAACATCTTCAGTGCAGGATCAGTAGAGTTGACCTTACTCCTTACTTCCCATAAGGTATTACTCAAATCAGAAAAGCATATTTAAAAAATTATTCTCATAATCTCTTTAGAATAGGCAAAGAAAAAAATGTTAATTTTTAGCTAATATTAAAATGTTATGCTGTCACATTATTTGGGGAGGATGCTAAGATGCATTTTTATGGCAGAGACACAGATAAGGAAGGGAATTGTTTATTTATCGAGAATATTTGTTCAAAGATTCTATTTCATAATATGCTTTTAGTATGAAAAACATATAAATAATTGTGGAGAAATATAAATTTGTTTTTTGTTCCTGCTAAAGTTGTAGAGATACATTTCTAATTAGTATCCTCAATATAAAATAAGCTACTCAAATGTCACAATTGTAATAAAATATTATACCATTCATTTGAACTAATTCTTCAGACAATGATCACATCCTTTTATGAAAATCATTATTAATATAGTCTTTGAAATGTGATGTATGACATATCTTAAATGACTAAATGACACATAATGAAAACTTAGGATATTAAAATAACAAGTCATATTTATTCTTTTTAGTAAATAAATTTGTTGAACTGTGGAAAGAGAAGGTTTGCTTGTTTTAGGTACCTGGGTAATAATATTACTTCTTAGATTATTTTTTGATGAGGGAAAAATGAATGGAATAAACATTCCAAGAAGAAAAGAACACCAGCGGGAAATTATAAACCAACATCAAGAGGTTGGTGAACATAGGAACTTGATTCCACATGGAAAGAGAAGAGGTACCTCTGCCTCACCAGAGCTGCACAGCAGGTGAGGGAGACTCCCTTGGAGCATGAGGCCGGGCCTTCGGAGGAAGCACTGCTCTGTGCTGTGCCCAGCAGTAAGGAGTATTCACAGGTGCTGAGTTGTAGAGGACTCTTACTCGGTACACTCCAGATACTGGCAGTAGTCTCTCTTGGGAGGTGGCAGGAGGCTGTATGTAGATCAGAAATGGCTTTATGAAAGATAGACCACATTCTTGGAGTGAGAATATGAGAATTAATGACTGGTCTGTTAAATCTCTTTGAAGCCAGGGGGTGCTACCAGTTCTGCTGATCAATGTATTTAGGAGTGAGATGGTTACAAAGGCCTGAGAATGTATCTCTAAAGTTCTGGATTCTAACTTACAAGGTTTGAGACAAACTGTCTTCATCTGTTTTTCAAGCTTTCAGGACTGGGAAGAATGACCTTCATGGGTGGCTTGTTGTTAGGACCAAGAGGGCTTTAAATTGAAATTTGGGGCTAGTAAAGAGAAGAAAATAAAAATAAGCAAAACATAAAATTAATATCTGACTAACAAAAAGGAAGGGTGAATGAAGGTCCTGAAAATTCTCTGGAAACCATAGTAATAATGGGGATGGAATTAATACTGTCAGATATCTGTATGCTGAGTATAAAGTAGAGGTTTTAAGCAGAAAACTAAATTACAGCATAAGGAGTGTGAGCCAATCTTGTCCCAAGGATTAAGGAGAAGAACTTACAATGTAAGGACTAACCTTTCTCTTTGCAAGAAGCAGATTAAAAAAATGCAGAGGACCCACTATGTATTATATAGATGCACATGCAGTACTCACACATATATACACACACAGAATATATATGCATACACAGGCAAGTGTGTGTATTCACATACACACCCCTACATATTCTCAAGAAGGAAATACACTAAAATGCTAAAGAAATTACCTACGGGCAGTAAAATTGTGGGTAATTGTTTCTCTGCTTCTTTGTATTTTTAAATGTTTCAACAGTAAACATCTATTACTTTGACAATATAAATAGTATTTAAGTAATATTTTTAAATCCCAGAACTATCAAAACATATTTGAGTAGAAAGCACTTGGGTATGGATAAAATAATTGAAAAGAGTAGTTTTTGGCTACTTTTTGAAATGAATAATGTTTTAATTGTTGGGATTGTAAAACTATCAGTCGTGTAGGTATAGTAATGTCAGGGAATTTCATCTCTACTGATTGTCTCCTAAAATCTGAAAAATTGATGCTTTGCCCTAAAAAACAATCTCTCAAATGATTGAGGAAACGATGGAATAATTGAATACCCTCAACTTAATTCTAAATTAAGGGAGAATTTGTTGGTCAAGTGAAGACTGTGTATAGCTAGACCTGTAACTGAGAATTTAGGCAGCAGATTTTTAAACAATCCAAATAAAAAAAATTTTTGCCCCGCTTAATACAGAGCCAGTGTCTCTGTAGCACTTGGCCCATGGTAGATAATCTAAAAATGTGATATGTGAAATTCCATGACTTAAGACTGTAAAAGACTGCGTGGTATTTAGTGGACATAGCAATATTCATGGAATGAATGAATGAATGAATGAATGAAAAGGTGATTGAGTGATGGCCTGTGGATATGGGAGGCTCTAATAATAAAATTCTGACAATAACTGATACCCAAAGAAAAAGAGAGTGGTTGTCTAAGCATCACACACCAGTTTTCAGAGTACACATGTAAAATATAGAACCATGAAAAAAGATTTAAAGTTGTGTATGGAAACAGAAAAAAAGGAAAAAAAAAAAAAAAAACGACCTAACCCATTGCTTAATTGGCACCTTCTCTGTGGGATCCTGTAGCAGTTTTTTTGCTCTCCTATGTGTTCATTTCTCTTTTATAAAATACTTAACCATTTATTTCTCTGTAACTCCCCTTGCGGCCTTCTGCCCCACCTCCTTCCTAATTTTTAAGCATACTGTGTCATCTTTGTGTTCCTTTCATTCTCATAAAAAATATTTGCACATTCCAGGCGTTTCATAAATATTTGCTGATTTGCATTGTTTGGAACAGATGGTATAATGTTAAAAGATGACTACAGAGAAAGAAACACTACTAAATTCTATTTAATTTCTGTTTTCTCTGTGAATGATAATGGTTTTTCAAATTAGAAAGGGCAGCACAAGCATAACTAAAAGAACCTGAAAACCTCAAGTAAGTGTAGAGATTCTAAATGAGCCCCTAACTGCCTTCAATCGCTACAAATTCATCTCATGGCACTAAAGGAATTTTCAGCTGGGACTTTGGAATCACTCTTGGAAAACTTTGGAAAATCCAGGAAAGAGGAGAGATGAGCCAATTTCTTGATATTTTGCAACAAATGGATGCCTAAAATTAGACGTGTTCTGTGATGGGAACTACCAAATGGATGAATTGACAGCTCTTGAGAAGACAGTAGTCATTAGATGCCAGCCAGGATGCCAGGCTAACCTCATTTCCTTTTTTAAAAAAAATGATTACTGAACCTAGAGTAGAAAAATTCCCAGGGCATAGTGTATCTCAGTTTATGCAAGTCACCTGAGAAGTGATAAATTATATTATGGTTGTGGGCATTTTGTGGATACATGTATTGTATGGTGAGGGATTTATGGGTTTTGGAGCAAATGATCTCCCAGAGATAAATTAATCGAATAGAAGTCTGGTCTTTAAAGAGATGCTGCTTTAATATGGTTCTGTTCAACAGTTAATCAGAGTCCCATTTATTCATGTTTTACAAGTCAGAAAATTAAAGAGGACTGGTCATTGATGGTGTGGGGGTTAAGGGTGGTCTAAACTTAAAGCCTGGCCCTGTCATTAGCTGAGTGACCGTGAGCAAATTACTGAACATCTCTGTGCCTTAGTTTTCTCATTTATGAAATATTCCCTAAATGGTAGCTAGTGCTTATTTAGAATTTACTGCACTAAGTGTTTTATATGTGAAAAAAACTAAGCCTTAGAGAGATTAAATAGCATCAAGTGGACAGAAATAGATTTCACTAGGATTAATAATGGGCAAAGAAAATGAAATCTAGGAGCAATACATGTAAAGTTCATAACATTTGTACTTTTATTAAATCATTTCCATAAAATTGATCTAAATGTTTTAGTTGACTGTGAGATGAATATGATTCATTGTCATGTCGTGGCTTTAAAAATTAGAAACAGAAAAAACAGCAAACAAAAAAAAAGAAACTGGTCCCATTACTCTTGAATAATTTGGCCACATCTAGAATATGTATCTTTTTCTTTTTCTCCAGCAATTTGTTAAGAGGGACAGATTGTGGAGGTGGACACAAAGGCACAAACGGACTAGCTGGAAGAACTAGAGTTAATAAGTTTGGAAAAGTGGAAACTTTGAAGGAAGCACGAATGCTGTCTTAAAACATTTGAAGGGTGTCATTTGGAAGAGGGATCGATTTATCTTGTGATGCTCCAGTGGCAGAATGGGCTCCAGGGGTAGAAGTGATGGGAAGTCCAATTTGACCTTTACATTTTTGCTGACCTTCAGAACCATTTAAAGTGGGATGGTCTTTTCAGGATGATAAACATCATCTTCTCCAAGTCATGGCAGAGGCAGGACTTTCTGAGAGATACAATAGAGGAAATTCCCAAGTTGGATGGGGGTAAATGAACTCTCATTTCTCTTCTAAATCTAAAAATTTATCATTCTGTGAGAGACTGAATCTTTGAAAAGAATGCATTTTCTAATGATGAGTGTTACTGGTTAAAGGCACCTACTCTTCTTTAACTTTATGAATTTACTTGAATTTTTTAGAACATAAACAAGTTGAAAGTATAAGAAATATATTTTTCATTTTCAAAAATGATGACTATTTCAGTGTTATTGGGAAAACCATAATTTTAGTTAGTAAAATTTAAAGCACTGAATTCATTAGGTTACAAGAAAGGCAATTTCTTCTTCACAATTAATTGTAAGACATTTCTTCCCTTATTGAAGGGAAATCATCGTGTTTAAAGAGCATTTATGTTGAGTTAAGAAGGTGACATTTCTTTGACGTTTGTATGCACATAAAGGTAACTTGTAGAGAGATCTAAGAACACAGGGAGTGCAAATTTATAAAAAAAAAAACCTTTCACATGAAAAGCTACTTGATATGTATCAAATATACTCTTGGACTTCATAAGGTTATTCATTTTAGAACTTGGGTTTTCTTTCTTTCTTTTTAATCTCTTAAGATTACTGGCTACAGTATTATCTTGCCCAGATTCATAACATTCTGTTAGAATTTTGCTGAATAAAAATGAGTATGATTTTAGTAAGGAAGTGTGTTTGATTCGTACCTCGCCTCCCCACCCAGGTGTCAGGCCAGCCCAAGCTGTTTAGCACAATGAAAGTTCTTGTTTGACCATAACTGCACATCTCACTCCACAGGCAATCAGCATTTTAATTAGTGATTCAAAGGAAAGTCATTGTCCTCTAGTTGCTTTATCATAATTGCCAAATAATTTTCCATTGAATAAATAAATAATGTAAAGGAGAAACCTCCCCTCATAATGCTGTCATTAAGGCTTCATTTTTTTACCCGCTCATTTGTATTTGTATTAACACACAGCCCACTTGAAAGGGAGTAATTATAATGGCTTTCTGACAGTAGCCTATGGCTTTAAAAAAAACCGGGGATGGTTTCCTTTTCTATCACCACTTTGCACTGCATGGCTTATTTTAAGGTTTAGATAAAGGAAGCTCTTGGTGGCTGGTGTCTCTTCAAAGGTGTGTGAAAGTGAATGATTGATTTGCTGTGTGCATCATTGGAACTAGGTAACTTGCATTATGACTCTGATGTACTGTGTAATTGATGCAAGTCCTTTCATAGCATTCTGAGATTGAAATCAATATTCGTTTGGAGTGCAACAACTGTAATAAACTACACTCCTTTTGTAAGCAGTGGTCTAAGGCTTTGTAAAGGATCAGTTAGAAGGGACAGATTAACATTTTGGTCGGGCCGGGATCTATTTGAATAGATATGGAGAATGCCTTCTAAACAACCCCATTTAAAATAGCTGGTTTCATGAAATTAACTTTTTGATTTTGCCATATAGAAACTTCTTTTGCTTTGCCTTTATATGAGTCTCTTTTCCATCCGATTACAAACCTGGGCCCAATGGAGAAGAACAATAATTATTTTCATGAATAAGTTGATTTTCATGAAAACCACCACAAATATTTATATACCTTGACAGAAATGTCTTGTCAGTATTATATTTTTCAAAATATTGATGATTGGCAATTGGAATTTGCATTCTTTATTTAAAAATGGGTATGTCTTGACAATATCTAGTACAGAGTAAAACTTCAGATACCAAAGAGATGCCTTCTGAAGAACAAAGAAATCAGTATCAATTAATTCTTACAACCAGATAGTGTATTTATCATCATAAATATTCCCATACGAGAACTGGCAGTGTAGAGGCCAAGAGGGCTGGTTCTGGGGTCAGACAAATCTGAGTTCAAATCCTGGCTCCACTGCTAGCCAGCTGTATCACCATGGAAAAGTGATGTAAACTTTAGCCCCAGTTTACTCATCTGCAAAATGCAAATGTTAACGGTAAGTACCCAGAGTAATGCAGGGAAAATCCAGTGAAATAATTAGCATGAAAACATTGAACACATTGCTTGGCACATTTTAAGCACTCGATAAATGGTGGTGAATCATAAAGACAATATGTCATGCCCATTTTTTGGATCAGAGTTCCTTTCTCTCCACCCCATTTCTACAGCCCTCAAAGTGCCTCTCAGAATCTCATTGCTTGGACAGCAAGGATCTCAGTGGCTATTTTGCTTCCCAGCTCGCCTGCTTCTGCCACACCAATCTTTAAAAAATATTGGTCTGCCTAAAGCTGTTCATCAGTGATTCCTTTCACCACATCAAGTCCAACGTTTTTGTTTCTTTTTTTTTTTGAGATGGAATTTTGCTCTTGTGGCCCAGGCTGGAGTGCGGTGGCGTGATCTCGGATCACTGCAACCCCCGCCTCCCGGGTTCAAGCGATTCTCCTGCCTCAGTCTCCTGAGTAGCTGGGATTACAGGTGCGTGCCACCACGCCCAGGTAATTTTTTGTATTTTTAGTAGAGATGGGGCTTCATCATGTTGCCCAGGCTGGTCTTAAAACTCCTGACCGCAGGTGATCCACCTGCCTCAGCCTCCCAAAGTTCAGGGCATTACAGGCGTGAGCCACTGCACCCGGCCAGGTCCGACATTTTTATGTTCAACTCTATTCTTTTGTACCCACTGCCTCCAATTTGTTGATAAGTGGCTTGAAGGGTTATCGTGAGAAGTAGAGGATGTTGCTTATGGAAAGTGCCTTGCAGAGGGCCTGGTACTGGATCATCATCATAATCATCATCAGCAGCAGCAGCGTGAAAATCAAAGCCAGTGCTTCAATGCGTACAAAGATTAGGCAATGTTCTAGGTGTTTTCCCTGAATTAAGAACTATTATCCCCATTTTACAGAAGAGGAAATTGAGACACAGAGGGCAGTTGGTACATAGAAGTTGTTCAGTAAGTGGGAGTTATTTTTACTATTACCTTCACCTGAGTCCCTGAGTAGTTTCCTTGTTTTCTCCAAATGTGTATATTTCTTGCACATTAGGAGTCACAAATTATGGCCCAAGGGTCAAAACCAGCCTACAGACACATTTGGTTTGGGCTGTACATGGTTTTAGTAACCAGAGATTTTCACATAAAAATGCCCTTCACATGTGTGCACCCACCCCCTTGCCCCTCTAAACTTCCTAAATCCCACCTATTTTTCAAAGCAAAGATCAAGTGCCTTCCCACTGAAGTCATCCCTAATTATTTGCACCCTAATATTCCTTTCTCTTCTGAGCCCCTCAGCACTTTTGGTCTTTTTATATATTTAATTTAACATTAACTTAGGTAATAAATAAAATATTTTGTGTTGTCGACTGTAACATGCTTTCACCAATTAGGTTCTCATAGCAAGGGCCAATATAATAATTGCAGGAGTGGTAATAGAACAATAACTGTTACCATTGATG
Organism: Homo sapiens; assembly: GCF_000001405.40. Lineage (NCBI taxonomy): Eukaryota > Metazoa > Chordata > Mammalia > Primates > Hominidae > Homo > Homo sapiens. Next base: position 33,021,876 of record NC_000014.9, read on the forward strand.
ACGAACACGTATTTTATACATGTAAAGGCTATCCCATAAAACTACATGTCAAGGTAGGTATTATCATCCCCATTGCACTGATGAGGAAACTAAATGGAGACTTGCAGAGGTTAGGTGGTGTGGCTGAAGTCGCAGGCTGGACATTCCAACCTGCATCTGTCAGATCCCAAACCCTGTACTTTTCCCACCTTATTCACCAGGCTGCATCTCTGTAGCCTCCTGCTCACCTACTGCATGTTGAACCATGTCAGAGGAATCGTGATTGGCCTTTAAAAGGTATATTTACCTTTGTTTACAAAATAGAAGGCATAAACTTTCTGTCAATGGGAAAATAATGAAGACAGAGATTACGAGTCAATATGAAATAACTTGAAAAATACATTGGAGCATATGCCTTGATTTTTGAAGAAAAAGTCTATATAAGCTGCTTAAATATTACCCTGCAGGGCATTTCCATTAAAGTTGTTAGAAATTATACATTCTTGGAGTTTAAAAAATATTACTTTTGGCTGGGCGCGGTGGCTCACGCCTGTAATCCCAGCACTTTGGGAGGCTGAGGCGGGCGGATCACGAGGTCAGGAGATCGAGACCATCCTGGCTAACACGGTGAAACTCCGTCTCTACTAAAAAATACAAAAAAGTAGCTGGGCGTGGTGGCGGGAGCCTGTAGTCCTAGCTGCTCTGGAGGCTGAGGCAGGAGAATGGCGTGAACCCGGGAGGCGGAGCCTGCAGTGAGCCGAGATCGCGCCACCGCACTCCAGCCTGGGCGACAGAGCGAGACTCCGTCCCAAAAAAAAAAAAAAAAAAAAAAAAGTTACTTTTGTGTAAGAAAACCCAACTCATTGTTTATTTAGTGCCTGTTTAAAAACTTTACAATGCTCTCCTTCCCCTAATTCATTGTAAATATTTAAAAGGATAAATAATATATTTTACTATTATTAACATTCATCAAAATCATGACAGCTTTTTATTTGCCAGTGTCATGTTTGTAAGTTTTTGTTCTGTGGTTGCTTTACAGTGAGTTGCTGTGCTTTAGTCAAAAGTTGAGGCATGTGACTTTGCCTTTCTGAGTGCAGACAGAATCTACTCCCCTTAAATTTTTAATCTAAAACTGTTAACAGTTTTACAAAAAGAAGCAATTCTACCTGAGAGCTGCCCTCAAAGACATCTGTACTCTTCTAAGCCGACATAACAAAAATAGTGGCAAACACAAATTTAAAAAAAAAAGAAAAGAGGCCACACTAAAACCTTTCTCAGTCATGTCTTCTGGGCTGTCACCATCAAATATGGCTACCAGTTATGATCACATTTCACATCTCTGACACAAACGGTTTGACAAGAAGCAATCTGAAGGCTTTCAGAAAGAAATCTGTCTGCAGTATTTTTTGTGTGATATAAATATTACAAGGTCAAATTCATTTTTTTCTAGTGAGACAAAATGTTAACCTTACACTTGGATTCAATGCTGACCCATGACATCACTTTTGGAATGAATATTTTTTTTCATTGGAAGGTGTGACCTAATCTCCATATTTCTTCTATGTATCTTATTTCCTAATTTGACTTTGAGTCAGAATCACCTTTTTTCATACATGTGTTGATGCTTTCTGCTGCTGGAAATAGATCTGTAGGCTGTTAACAATTATTGTCATTCTAATACATTCTAAAAATGCATTATAAAGGTGGATTGATTCTGTAGTTTTATAATAACCTGAATGTAGCATTGGTAAAATAGATGGGAAGAGTATTCAGAATACATCCTTTTCATATTAGACATTAAAATCCTTTAGTAGTTTTGAGGTTTTAGGAAACATCTTTTCCTGCTCTTGGTATAAAATAATGATAGAGCTTTTGTCTTGAATATTCTTTTGTGTTTTTTAATATTGTATTACAATTGAGAGCCTAGATTTGTTTGCTTATTGTGCATGTATTTACAGACCATGCAAAAATCCATCATCCGTAGCCTGGCCTTATTATCCAGTGGGTCTCACATAGGCATACATTTAGATCAACTCAGCAAATACTTATTGAACATTTACTGTATGTCGACCACTAATGTAGGGGTGCAAAGATGAAAAAAGATACTGATGTGGCCCTTAGATGTTCATAGTATGGATAAATTGAAGGAAAACCAGACACTTTAGTTTGTTTTTGGCAGAAGAGTAACTTGGTAGGTCTTTTGGACAGAACAAGAGCAATACACATTCAAGTAATATATGTATATGTGTGTGTATATATATGTGTATATATATGTGTGTGTGTGTATATGTGTGTGTGTGTGTGTGTGTGTGTGTGTATGTATATTCCCCCCACCAAGATGGAGTCTTGCTCTGTCACCCAGGCTGGAGTACAGTGGCATGATCTCGGCTCACTGAAACCTCCACCTCCTGGGTTCAAGCAATTCTCCTGCCTCAGCCTGCAGAGTAGCTGGGATTACAGGCGCCCACCACCACACCCGGCTAATTTTTGTATTTTTAGTAGAGAAGGGGTTTTTCCATGCTGGCCAAGCTGGTCTCGAACTACTGACCTCATGATCCGCCTGCCTCGGCCTCCCAAAGTGCTGGGATTACAGGCGTGAGCCACCGCGCCTGGCCTCCCAAGTAATATATTTAAATCATCACATGTCTCCATGTCTCTAGTGGCTACCATATTGAGGAGCATGGGTCTGTAAAATAAGAAGACCTTTGATTAATTGAAAATCATGTTCTTGAGTACTGTGGGGTTGAGGGAAATGCTTACCGTATAATGTTAAGTGAAAACATTTATTTACAAAACATTGTTCACAATTTGTATCTTAGTTGAAAATTACATATATATCAATACACACACCTAAGACTATAGAAATACACCAATGAAAATGTTCACATAGGCTAATTCTGAATGTTGGGATTATGGATAATTTTTATTTTGTTTATGTGTATCTGTAGTTTTCAAACTCTTCATAATGAACACGTATTACTTTTGTAATCAGAAAACACCAAACATGCAGAAAATGGATCTTTTCAATATTGTAGACCACAATACCCATGTAATGTTTTTAAAATCTAAGTTATAAATCAGGTATAGTTTTGCCATTAAAATACATCCTATAGCTATGCTTTCTAAACTATTCTTAACATATTTGTGCATATCTAAATTGTTAGGGTGCTCTTGAAATGAGCCTCCAAGTCCTCTAATAAAAGTAACGTATGTGTCTTCATAGATTTTAAAATAAGAAGTTTATAAAAAAAGAGGGAGAGGACAGAGGAGGCTGCTACTGCACAGGTACAGTGATCACTGAGATTTTAGAAAGTAGAAGGCAGCTGGCTTAAACGGTTTTGAGCAAGCTTTTGGATCAGACAAATCTAGGTTTGGGTCTTGGCTTTGCTACTGACTGGTTGTAAGACCTTGGGTAAGGCACTCTAAGTTTCTGAGTCTTGTGTCTTAATCTTAAAAATGGGAATATCAGGATATGCCTTGCTGGCTTGTTGCCAGAATTGAATATATAATACACATAACACACCAAGCATGAAGCACACAGTAGGTATCAGTATTAGTTCTTTCTGCCTAACCTGACCTACTCCCAATCATAGATATAGTTCAGGTGTTAACTTGCTGGTATCCTCTACAAGAGAGGTTGGTTAGAGCAAGTCTGCCAGGCTAGGAAATATCAGGGAGATCTTAATAAGTTTCTGATATGGTTTGGCTCTGTGTCCCCACCCAAATCTCATGTTGAATTGTAATTCTTAATGTTGGGGGAGGGATCTGGTGGGAGGTGATTGGATCATGGGGGTAGATTTCCCCCTTACTGTTCTCACGATCCCGAGTAAATTCTCACGAGATCTGATGGTTTAAGAGTGTGTGGCACTTCCCCCTTCATTCTTTCTCTCTCCTGCTAGCCATATGAAGAAGTGCTTGCTTCCCCTTTGCTTTCTGCCATGATTGTAAGTTTCCTGAGGCCTCCCCAGAAGCAGAAGTCTGTATAGTTCACAGAACTGTGAGCCAACTAAACTCCTTTTCTTTATAAATTACCCAGTCTCAGATATGCTTTTATAGCAGTGTGAGAATGAACTAATACAGTTGCCAAGTAGGTTCCATAGGGAATTGTCAAAATATTGAAAAAGAGATATTTGTAATTTGATTATTTAAAATAAGATGTTTTAATTTCATCTTCTTCATTGAGGCCTTCACCGCCAATAGCAGCCTCTTCTCTTGTCTACTACTACAAAAGGAACAAAATTCCAGGTTGATTTTAGGTAAATCAATAAGAGGCATATGTCAAATTCAAATCATTATTTACATAAGATGACCATTATTCCATGCAAAAACATAGCGTGTCCTCCCATAGCTAGTCTTCTGGCTGGCCCCAATTCAACTGTCAGGTCCCAGCCTAGATGCCACTTTCTGGGACATCTCAGATACCTCAAGTTTGGTTTGACCTTTCTGTGTACCTCTTATCTTGCTCACTTGCAATTGTATGTTAATCAACTGTTCTTCACTAAATGTAAACCTTCTTAGGGCAGGGAATCTGTATGGTTCCTCCTTGTATCTGCAGTCTTTGCCATAGTTTCTGGTCCAGTAGCTATTCAGTTAACTTCGGTTCATGTGAATGGTTTGGGAAGAAGTCACTCATGTTAACGGAGTCTACACAGCAACAACAATGTGCTAAGTGATTTTCCTTTTTTTTTTTTTGTTCCTCTCTGTTCACTGTGTTCTTCTTGCTGGTTTCTCATATTTTATGGAGAGCTAAGGAGGAATCAAGATCTATAATCTTTCCTGTCTGATTTTACTTCTTCCTAACAGTGAATTTACTGTCCTTTTTACTCTTCCTTCCAATTCATTCACTCCTACTGTACAATCTGTCTCTTAGCTGTAGTATACTCATTCATCAGAAAGCTAGTTTAAATATATTGTTAGTCTTTTGTATGCCTTTTTATTGCTTTTGTTAATTAACATTTCATGTAAATAACAACAGATTTGGTTTCTTGAATTCAGAGCTTGAGTTCCTCATCCTTCCCCCCTACACCCCTTTCCCTTTTTTCCCCCTGTTACATTGAAGCTATTCATTTTATTATGGAGTTTAGCAAGGCTTAATCCTCTGTAGCTAAATTCCAGGGACTCTCTAGGATCTGCCAGCTCAGGGAAAGGGGTGGTGTTAGATGTGATGTGCTTCATGCCCTTCCTTCCTGCCTGGTAAGTGTATCATTTTCTCCAGTTGACCCAGTGAAGGGAGGTTACCAAAACGCTTCTAATTCCTAGGTCAGATCATAGCCTCTAGCCTGGACCACCAGCGTTGGCAGGGAATTGGGCCACTGCCAGACACTTGGAGTTAGGCACAAGGGCCCTATTTTTCTGGGGCTGAATTGAGTAGTCTTCCTGCTCCCTCCTCTTCTAGGAGTTTACATAGATGGAAAATAAGTTTTCTCTTTTGGCAAAATAGCAAGGCAGTTCAGAGAAAGACGTGCTTGGGCTCTGAGTCAGGAGGAATACGAATCGTTGGAAAAGCTGGAAAAGGCCTGATTTTCCAGCCTTTTCTTTCTAAAGCTTTTATTCTCTCTCTCAATATATATTGGTATAATGAGTTTGTTAGAAAGGAATTCCATTTTTTAAAGGTTCATTTACTTAAACTACTTACTCAGATTAGGTTAAGTTGGTATTTCTGTCTCTCTTTCTTTCCCTCTGTCTTGAATTTTCTTGTAGCCCAGCTTCCACTTAATTTTGGCAGCTTGGAGATCCCATTTTATTTTATGAATGCTCATTGACGAGAGGTAATATAATTGCCCCCACCCTTCAAACCATCTGCATTTGTTTTCTGTATCATATGATTTAGTGCTTGGCTATAAACAGCTGTATTATAGATTCCTTTCCCTTCTATGCTACCCTTTAATAAGTGAATTTACAAGGGGCAGTAGATCTCCCAGAAGCAATATACATATTTTTAACAGTATGTGGGGAGGCTGAACTAACTTGTACTGAGAGTAATAGGCTGGATATCATGGAAATGGGAATTGGCACTAATAGCTGCTCTCAGATAAAACTTTTCCTGTGCCTTCTTTTGTATATCACATGATACTATGTCCAATGTACAGTCAAACTTAAAATAGAAAAAAAATCAAATACATGGTAGTGAGTTTTCAAACTCATATAACCTGGGCTACTTTCACTTAACACATAGTTACTCATAAAATGTCACTTTTTTATGAATTCAAGAAGTTTTTTGGGGGTAAACTTAGTGCCTCATGCCTTGGGCCATCATGTAGGTTACACTCTAGTCTCTGTAGTGAATCTTAGTTACTCTCTGACTTTGGAACACTTGGTCTTTGCCTCCACGTGTGAAATACATTTATAGCTTATAAACAATAGCTTTCCCTTTAAAAATAACATGTGGATTTGAAAAAACATTGAGATCTTTTCTGTATTTCTGCCTCAGTGTCATTCATTGACATTTTACTGTGTCATTTCTGTGTTGTGTTTTGTGACTAAACCCCAGCTATTCCCTATTTTTAAACTGATAGATGGGTTTTGATAATTCTGCTTTACAAGGGAAAAGCTTGAACAATAGTGGGAATGATAAAAAATAACAAGTGAGTGAATGCCACCACAAAATAAACACAAAACTTTGTGCTATAGACATTATTCTCCTGCTACTATTTTTCTTTTCATGCTGGAGTTTCACTGTTAGACAATTTTGTCATTTTGGGATATATTTGGACTCTGTGGAATTTATATTTATATAATTCCCATCTGAACCTAGTATCTATGGCAGTTAGCATAGGCAGATATATCAGTAGGTAGAATAGTCATGTATACCTGGCCTGGAGTAGTTGTGTACAGGTACAGTGGGAACACCAAGAAATGAAGAAATACACTTACTGGGAAAATTGAAGAAAACATTACAGAGGAGATGATGAGGGAGACTTTTTTTGAGGTGATGGAGGAGATACATACATACATATATGTATATATTTTTTAGATTTTGTTTCATTTAAGTTCCAGTATATGTGTAGGATGCGCAGGTTTGTTACATAGGTAAAAGTGTATCATGGTAGTTTGCTGCACCTGTCAATCCATCATCTAAGTGTTAAGCCCAGTGTGCATTAGCTATTTTTCCTGATGCTCTCCTTCCCCCCCGCCCCTGATGGGGGAGGTATTTTGAAGACAGCTTAGGAGTTTGATTAGGTGGAAGTGATCAGAAGTGGTTTAGTCAGAGGGTGTAAGAGGAGCAAAGGCAGAGTAGAGGAAAGGCCTGGAGTGGGGGAAGAACAGGGGACTGTGTGATGCAGCTAGACAGAAGGGAACATAGGAGTGAGGCGGGTAGGGATACATTTTTCACAGCACCACTGGAAAGACTGGCATGCCAGGTGAAGTGACGGACGCTTTCTCCTCTATGCAGTGGGGAGCATTGACAGTTTAAGTGGGGAAGAGGATAGAGTCAGTTTCTTAGAATAATATCAATTTTAATATTTAAAAATGGATCAAAAAGTGAAGAGAATCTTTTAAAGTAAAAAATGAAGGGAGACTTTGATCAAAAGTGAAGGGGATCATCTAATAATCTGGAGAAGACTACTTGTAGCATAGGTTTCAGTTTCTTAGGAGAGCTCTTGAATCTCCAAAAATCAGCCCAGTATTTCCATTAATAGTTCTCTTTTATTAAAGAGACTTATATTCTGAAGGGGCTTAAAAATATGATGTATTATTCATTATTTATCACACTCTATAAAATATGAGTTGGAATGTTAGCATTTCTAGTCTTTTGCTCAGACTCTCCAACACTGTGGCACATGGTCCTGGAAGGAACTGAGGACCACCAAACCTGGTGATCAAATGGAGTTGGGTCTTTTCATTTCTGCAATTAAGACAGCCCATTCCAAATTGTGAGGGAGTATTACTGGCATAACAGTGGTGTGAAAATACTGAATGCCAAAACCAAAATGAGAAGAACTGAGTGCTGCCCATTAAGAAAAAGCATCCCAGATGATTAATTATGTTGACAGACTACATCCTTAAAATATTTGCCCTCCAAATGGATTATGCCAATTTATACATTGTGTACTTGTTGATATTGTTGGTTTAATAGTGGCAGAATTACAACTTTGAATCAGACTTCCCCAATTAAACTGTTGATTCAAGTGGTCTTAACTGTCTCAGTGAGTTGTACCTCCCTTTGGCAATGCTTAATAAATGCAAATCTAAAATGCTGGCATTGTAGCTTTAAAAATATGCATATTGTCTGGCTGTTGAGGAAAGTAAAAAGTAAACCTGAACATTTGGATTTCAACCATTGAAGCAAAGACAGAAAGATGATTGAATTCAGTCTTAAATTTTATAGAACTAAATTTAATGGTGAGCACAATCGCGCTTGGTGGTGATTGTTTTCAGTCCTGCTTTATTAAGTTATGTAATGGCAGGAGTTCAAACTCAGTGATTGCCGAAATGGTAAATTTAAGGAGTATTTGAGATTGCCTGCCAATATGCAAGTGTAAGGGTTTCAAAGTGCAGAAAATATTATTTCCACCTTCCTATTTCTGTAGCTTAGAATTCTTATTCAAATAGTTTTTAGGGATTATATTTAATACACTGCTTTAAAAATGTTTAAAAATCTCATTTTATTCCCCAAAGATTTGTTTTTTGCTGTTGCGATTAGATGATGACAGCTAGCTGGCTTTTAAAATTGATCAGGAAGTATTCTGGCAGTCATTCAGTGTTGTAATAGCACTTTAATGGATATGAGCTATTCACCCAGATCAGACTCAATGTCAAAACAGGCGAAAATACAGCTGTCACTCTGGACAACAAGATACTCATATGCAAGCAGCTGCTTAATACACTGTAGAAAGGCAGCCTTTTAGTAATATGTAAAAGGTGTGTCAATGCCAGTGTATGAGTATACTGTAAAGTCGGTGTATGCCATTTAGAATGGAGGACGAGGACATGCATGTATTTTGTCTGTACATATACACAAGTGCATTCTGTGAAAATAACCTACGTATGCACTAGAGACAAGCAGGAGAGCCTTATTTCTTCTTTGTTTTAATAGACATTTTTTTGTGTTTAATACATGCAAACACATGCACACCCCCACACACACTTGTTTGACTGTGTTGGTGGAAGCCTGGTGTTAATGAAGTCAAGGTTCTTTATTCAATCTCCGTATGAGGCCAGTTAACCCCGTTCTGAACTGAACTCAAATGCTGAGCCCTCTCTCCAGATAGTCAACTTATACATGCAGGCATTGATTTTAAGGAGAGCCAAAATTGAGGAAAGCACAATCAGGACAATTACTGATAAAATTACTCACAGCATTTCAGCAGCAGACTGGTGTTATTTCCATTATTACCTGAAGGACAGTACCTTGCTATGATAATACCAGTAACTTCTCATGTTCTGTCACTAAACATCTTGAAACAACTTCATGGATATTAATTTATTTGATTCTCGAGTTAGTTATATGAAATGTATAGCAAAAGGAAGTTTATTATCCAGTTTTATGATGAGGGAACTGAACGGTTAAGTGGATGCCAATGTCATATGCCTAGTTATGGCTACAGCTTAGATGTCCAGACTCCAAGTTCAGTTCTCTTTTTATGACGCATGGCACCTTCCTACATTTGTAGTTGTTAACTCACTATGTGCTTTTCTGTTTGTTTGTTTTTTTAGAGACAGGGTTTCACTATATTACCCAGGCTGGAGTGCAGTGGTGTGATCATGGTTCACGGTAGCTTCCACCTCCCAGGCCCAAGTGATCATTCCACTTCAGCCTACTGAATAGCTGGGACCACACGTGTGCACCACACCTGGCTAATTTTTTATTTTTTGTAGAGATGGGGCCTCACAGTGTTGCCCAAGCTGGTCTCAAACTCTTGGGTTCCCGAAGTTCCCAAAGTTAATCCCCCTGCCTTGGCTTCCCAAAATGCTGGGATTACAGGTATGAGCCACTGTACTTGGCCCTTGCCATGTGTTTTGTGAACATCTATTGCATGCTCCAGATTGTTCTAGGTAGGGTAAATGATACAAAGTGATTAAAACAAAGATTTTGATCTCACAGAGCGGAATGTAATAGACATATAATTTGCTGCATATAAGTAGACACAATTCTAAGCCAAATAAATGCCAGCATAGAAAGGGAAATCAGATGCTGTGACAGTATGGAAGGAAAGCCCATGTGAAGACTCATCTTAGATGACTGTCGGCACCCTTTGAAGGAGACTATGATAAAGTCTAGATTCTGTCAACTGAACAGGAAGTTGAGAATAAGGACAAAAATTTGTTTAGGTGAATAGTGACTGCTCATGGTGACCAGAATGCAAGATAAATGTAGGAGGATTGTACATGATGCGGCTGAAGATTGCCAGACTGAACATTTGACTTAGTTCTGCAGACAAAAGGGAAATCATGGGAAGGTTCTGAGCAAGGCAATGACAGATTGGAACTGGGTTTTAGAAAGATTAATTTATCAGTGGTGCATAGGAGAGATAGAAATGGAGAGAGTAGGTACATGAGAAGACCAATTAGAAGGTAGTTACAACATTCAAGGCAAAAGGAAATGAAGGCTTCCAGGAGGATGCCAGCATGCCTAAGGGTTATTTCTTTATGGAGCTTTTGAGTGCATTAGAACACCACAGCACATGTGATTAGTGACCATAACTTGACTTCTAACTGCTAGCATTCTTGCTCCAAGGCTTTCTCTGACTGCTGAAGTCCTGGCCAGGGAATTAACACAGTCTGCATGGACTGACAGAGATGGTATGTAAGTACACCAGTTTCTCCACTCTATGGATGCGCTAATCCTTATATGCGGTTTACACGGACTCCCAGAGTTCCTTGGCAGGATTGAGCTCCAGTGGTCCACAGTGGTAGCACTGACTGCATATTCTTACAGGCTGCCTTGTCTTCCCTGTGACACTTCTCCACACCCTTCCAGTGCTTCTGTTATTTCCAAACAAATTATTTGTACTTAAATCTTGAGCTCATGGACTGCTTCTGGGAGATCTTAAACAACGATAAATGCGAAGTCCCAATTTGATCTTGTGAGCTTGTATTATATATAGGGGTTTTCTGAGTCAGAATTTTTACTGGCACCACATTCAAACTTTGGTTCAGACTGGAAATTACAATTTGTTTCATTCTTGGTCCCCAAACAGTTTCAGCTTGCCTATAGTCTCTAGATATCCAAGGCAGACTGTCAAATCAAATAATAACTCTAAGAGGTGATTTGGCCCAATCTCTTTATGTTGACAAAGAAATGTAGATTTCAAAACATTTTGAAAAGTAGAAACAAAATTAAATTTTTAATTGTAATATATTAATATCATAATTTCACTTAAATATATAGGCCTATTTGGGCCAGGTGTGGGTGACTCACATCTGTTATCCCAGAACTTTGGAAGGCCGAGGCAGGTGGATCACTTGACGTCAGGAGTTCGAGAACAGCCTGGCCAACATGGTGAAACCTTGTCTCTACTAAAAATACAAAAATTAGCCAGGGGTGGTGGTGGGTGCCTGTAATCCCAGCTACTCAGGATGCTGAGGCATGAGAATTGCTTGAACCTGGGAGGTGGATGTTGCAGTGAGCCGGGATTGCGCCACTGCACTCCAGCCTGGGCAACAGAGTGAGACCCTAACTCAAATATATATATATATTTATATGCCTGTTTGTACATGTGTATATACTACATATTGTCTTTGTCTTCATTAAATCTGTGAACCAGTTAATGTCTATCACCTATTAGAAAATCAGTAGATCATGCCCCCAGTGTCACATATATTCTCTGCCCAATGGTTCATTTGCTTAACTGATGACCACTCTCTCTAAGAGCTGTCATACATCACATAATAATGATACCTTCCATATTTGCATTCCACAGCTATATCAGTTACCTCTCATCACTTTCTAACATTGGCCAAGTGTCAAGCTCTGCTTATGTCTACTCCTATTGTTGGTATATTGACATTCCTTTAGTGTGTTAAGAACATGCAGTAAATTGTTAAATTAAGAACAAGATTGTTATTATAGGCACAATTATCCACTGGCCTTTAGCCTTTGAAGCTTATGCATAATACACAACTACATTTATTTAATAATGTTTAGAGGTGTTATTTGAAAACACAATATCAAAAACAATTTATTATAAATTGAAGTGATGACAAATTTAAATCAGATAATCAGTAATTCTGAGGATAAATAAATGTAATGGCTTTTAATCACTGCATTTTTATGTTTACTTAATGGAGATTTTTCTTCTAATTTGAATAAAGTGTTATTTTTATATGGGGTTAATGGTTATTTCTTATTTGCTTTTTTTCACTTTAAAGATATACTACAGAATTTAGATTTGAAAATATTATGTATTATTACATGAAATCAGAAGCTAAATTACAATATGTTTCTAAAGTAGGATTAATAGTTTAAATTTATAAAAACATTTTGTCTTAAAATATTTCCAAAAAGATTATGTAACATTATAAATGAAACCTTGAGTCTTCATGCTCATTCTATTACAATGTGATAAATATTATTTATACTTGTTGGTATAAATAAACCAACTTGGTACACTCAGCTAAAACATAAGAAGAAAGATGATCTGAGTTATATAAGGAAATATTCTTCAAAGTTAGAATTTTAATATGTAAAACTATATATTAATAGAGTTAATATATACCATATATTAATACATATTTATTAATATATAGCTGTTGCTTTAGGTATTTAAAATGAAAGTGTATTTACATTTATATAGTCTACATAATAGAAAATAGAATATATTTTAGTAAAGTAAAATGCACTATTGGGCTTGGTATGGATATTTTGAAGGAAAGTGTTTGTCAACCCTAAAATAATTGTATTCAACTTAGTAACCCCAGATAGTCCTTTCCTGGAACAGTTACAGATTATAGTACTCTCAGAGAGCACCTAACGCAGTGATCTCATTTCATAAATGAGAAAACTGGGGCAAGGAGAGGATAATGACTCAACCAAGGAGGCCATAGGACCAATGATAGCCCACCTTGGGACACTTTACTCCTTGTCTTTGAACATAGCAATTCTGGTTCTTTGGAAAAGTTGTGTTAAGACAACTTATTATTTTCTTTTAAGATCATCTGTCAGTTTATAAGAAGTCAATTTCATAGAAAAAATATCACATTGCTTGATATGTGTAACCAATGCCAATCACATACATCTGATACATTTCTTTCACTTAATGACTGATCAGTTATTTTGATATTTTGCAGACATCTAATGAAAGGGCATCATTTAAAAAGTTAGTCTTATTTTCTGAATGTATTTAGTGAATTTTGCATATAAATTAAGCTTAGCAAATGATCTCTTTAATGCATACATAATATTCACTAAATGGGCAAGCAAAAATCAAGGGCCTTTTAGAGGACATTTTCTAAATTGACAGTGATCTCTTTGATTTGTTTTTATGTGTGTTATTATTACCTAGAAGCAGATTTTTTTTTATTTTGATGGGGCTAGGACTTGCCTTTGGAGGATAGTAGCCTCACTCCCTGAGATGGAAACAGTTGCTGGTGTTTTTTGACATTTCAGATATTTTCATGCTGTATTAGAGCTTAACCTTGGCTGTGCACACGTCTGATCTCCCCAACTAAATTGTAAGCTCAGTCTTACACATCTTCAAATCCCCAAAGTTCCAGCAGAGTGCCTCATAGTTGTTCTTCAGTAAATACTTGTTGTTTATTTCAGAACTAGTTTTAATCTTGTTTTGCAATTCAGGGCTTTGAAAACTATAACAGACATTAGGCAGAAACTTGAAATGCTTTTTATCACTTGGCACAGCATTTTCCAATTACTTTGCAAAAGGGATTGCCAAGGGATATTTTGGAACTGTCTAGTCTACAAATGTGGCTTTAAGGATAAACAGACTTTCCATTGACATGAGTTCTTCTCTTTGTACCATTTGTGTTTTGCCCTCCTTAGCAGCATCTTTACACTCTGGGCTTTGGGTACGGGGGACGCCTTTACAATATGGAAGTTGCCGGTGCTCTTTGGTCATTTCCTAGTGGATGTGTGGCTTTCATAGAATTGTCACATGGGAGGCCAGTTTCTTTGGTCTCAGAGAACAGAAATAGGATGACAAAAACAAAAGCATCTTGTGCTTTCGTAACTTATTTTGAAACTGCCCTAGAAGCCACATCCTTTACAATCTAGGTACAACCTACAGCCTTTTGGTGGGACTTCCCTGATGTTTGAGCTGAAAGATCCTTGTGTTATGCCACAGCCATATTCTTCATCTTATTCCAAGTCTCCTTCTAAGGCAAAGAGCTCTGGAAAGCAGAAGGGTCAGAATTCTGGGTTAGGGGTGGGGGCTGGTGGGTACTGTAATCCTTGTTTCTAGCAGTTGCCTCAGTAGGGTAGGAAGCCCAAGGGGCTGTGAGTTCTGGGCTAGTTTCCAGAAGAGGGAGAGTTGTATTATTAAAGTATATAATAACTGCTGGCAGCTTGATAAGAACAAGGTGCTTGCAGAGAACAGTGATTAAGGTGATAGAGGAGGCCCACCAATAAGGAACAAGGAATGATAGCACTGTTTGGAGCCCTGTAGGGTTGCTACTGTAAAGGCCTTGGACCAAAAAGAGGGAAATGGACACCTAAAGATAGTAGAAAGAAAAAAGCTGAAGAAGGCAGTACAGAAAGCAAAATTCCTGGACTCCATAATTTTTCCAAGGCCAGAATAAAGCACAGTATAGCATTTATTATTGTGGGAAGTAATACCTGAAACAGAGATTTTCTTAAAGGTAATTTGAAGATTAGTTTTGTGAAATACAGCTCTCTGTCTAGTAAGTTTATATCTAAAATTAGTCGTCATATAGTATGGAAGGAAATGACTTCGTCTACTTCTAGGTTAAAAACAGTTAAAAAAAAATCAGACCTTTACTGATAAACTATAAAAGACTTTTTGAAGGATGCTGAAAAAAATGATGTTTTCAGGTACCTGAGTTGAACAAATTACATTGGCATATACTACTGACTTGTTCTGTTTCAGACCCATCCCATCAAGGGGCTACCTGCACACAGATCTAGGTATCTTACTTAAGGTATCATAATTATTGTTGCAGAAAAGCTACAGCCATCTTATGAACTGTGGATGCAGTTGAAAGCTAGAATTCTGACTTATCATCCTCTTATTAGTTTTGTAGATTTTTGTTTGGAAATTGAACCACTGTGATTTTGCATAGAATGTGTTTAGATACCATCACTCTTGATTGAAAGCTCATACTGTCGCTTGTGTAGAGTAGGGGAAATATAAAAACAAAAGCCAAGAATTAATATCTCAGGAATGAATATAAGAACTAGCTACTTTAATTAGGTTTTAAAAAATGTTAATATATTTGTGAGTTCTAATCCATATTAGAGCATCATTAATCCTTTCTGCATTCATATTGTGTATTAAGATAGGTGGTTGGGACTTTGCCAAACTTCTCGAAATTATTATACTAGCCAACATATTTGTTGGAGAAATGAATCCTACTGTATATATTAAAGATTCTTGGCTGAGCATGGTGGCTCATGTCTGTCATCTCAGCAATTTGGGAGGCAAGGGCAGGAGGATAGTTTGAGCCCATGAGTTTGAGACCAGCCTGGACAACATAGTGAGACCCCATCTCAGCAAAAAAAAAAAAAGAAAAAAGAAAAAAAGAAAAAATTAGGTTGGTGTGGTGTTGCACACCTGTGGTCTCAGCTGCTAAAGAGGCTGAGGTAGGAAGATTGCTTGAGCCCAGGAGGTTGAGGCTGCAGTGAGCTGTGATCTTGCCACTGCACTCTAGTCTGGGCAACGGAGGCAGACCCTGTCTCGAAAAAGAAGAAAAAAGATTCTCAAATAAATACATTTCCAATAACAAATGTTTTCATGAAAAGCCAAGGGAAATTGGATTGATGCTTTAGATCATTTGAAAGAATTGGTGAAATATCAGCCAAATTTTGTAAATAATTTAAGAGGACATTTCTATGTGACTCATCTCAGTTGTTTTACTCTATTAAATTGATGTTCTTCCCAATAACTGATTGGATTGATTACCCTTATAGATTTCTGTGGATGCTTAGACTTTTCTTTGATACTTTGGATTCAAAATCAGAGGCATCGGGTCTATAGAAGCACCATGTCACTTGATTTCCATCTAACTTCCCCCTGCCTGTGTGTAGATTCTTATTTGTCAGCTTCAGTTGTGGAGGAAAGATCTATTTCCTCTTTTCTGTTTGAACATTTTTCCCTATCTGAGCTTTTTAAGTTTTCCTTTGTAGGATAAAAAGAAAATGTGCTAATTCCCTCTCCATTTTTCCCCCTAGGGATGAAGGCTTGGGAATAAATGAAATGATTTTTAAAAATCTATCAAGATGTATGCTTTAATTTCCATCTCTTTATTTCCATGGCAGATAGCTAACTGATCCTTACTTACAAAATAGCAAAGGAGAGGTATACAGGAAGAAGGGGAATGAAAAGGTCTACCTGGATGCCTAGGATCAGGTTAATACAAATAATGATTAGGTGGAGAAATAATTTTAAGAGAATGTTCCTGTGCTATTTCTAATATAATCTTGGTTTTCTGAAAAACAAACAAACAAAAAAACAAATATTTCTAAAAAGTCAGGAAAAACCAGTGTTTCAGAAATAATGTTAAAGTATCTGTCTATTTATACATCTACATCTATATATACACACATATATACACATATATATATATAAAATGATATAATGTGTAGTGAAATTAGCTTTTTAAAGGGATGTCATTATTATTAAAAAGCAAATTGTTTTCCATGATAGTTGGATAGCATTTGGGGTTAGCTGTAGTATATGTTGGGTACGCACACTGGAAAATGGGAGGACAGAGAACAAGGCTGCTGTGTTTGCCAGTTGTTTAGATTATATAAACATCCAATCAGATATTTTATATTCCTAAGCCCACCCAACTGATCTAAGTTTTGAAGGTAGAAAAATGCTAAAAGGCATAGTCAAGGCAGTATACAAGGTCATTGTTGTAAATTAATGGCATTTATTGGGAACAAACATTAGAGTTCATCAGTTATCTTAGGACAGCTTGAACCAGGATGAAGTTTGGTATGAAATGATTCTCTGATCCTATTGAGTATGAGTGGCTTTTCAGAGATGAGGAAGAAAAGACTATGTGCAGTGTGGGAAGACAAAATGACATATTTGGATGTCATCAGTATCCCATGTGTGACATCAAAGATTTACCCATGAAGCCACGACCAAGAATTCTTTTTTGAGAGGTTTATTTCTGTTACTTAACTTCTTTCATTGAGTGATCTATAGCATCATTCTGGCTTTGTAAATGATGCTCATTCTGAGGTTATTCTGCAGTTTGTCACTTGCATACATTTTATGCTTTTACATTCATGACTGCTTTTATTGCATTTTAATAAGTGGAGGAAAAGAACTTCCTACAACATAGTTACATTTTTTTAAAGATACATTCTTGCTACCAATAGAGGCCTAATTTCCATTATATTCACTCTGCTACAGAAATACTTAATGCCAGGAAAGGAGATATTTACTGGAATCCACAAGTCCAGAATTCATCATGATTCAGTGTGAAATCCACTGCCCTTTGCTCCCCACCCCCTCTTGGACTGGAATGAAATGTGCCTTAAACTGAAGTGAAATACATCACATGCAGCAACAGTGGGCCCTCGCTTTGCCTCTATTCCTGGTGTGAAATCGATACACTATCTTTCCTCCTGACCTGTTTCGTGACCTCCATTGCAACTTTCATGCTGAACAGCAATTGCTTTGAACAGTCTGGGTCTGCCACAGCTCACAAATGATTCTCAGCTTCTGTCTAAAACTGGTGCTGATAACAAAGGCTTGATTTTAAATAATGCAGTTGTAGTCGTCTTCTAATTATGAATTACATGAAAGTGCAAGCTCCTCTATTATTAAACACTTTCAATAGCAGGCATGGTACATGTGCAGACTGCACACAGGGGCCTGGGGTCTGGGAATCAGGCCTTTAAATTAATCTGGCTAACTTTAGATTGATAGAGAAGGGGAAAGAGACACAAGGTATATTTGTATGTTTCAGTCATTTCCTTGATAGAATTCTGTTTGGTGATCTATTTAATTATTTTTTTCCATGTAAGGCTCTACTTTTTCCTTATGGAAATATTTTTGAATACCAGATTACAAGGCCTCCCTCAAGAAAAGGCTGTTTGACAAATATTTTCTTTTTTTCTTTTTTTTTACTCCAGTGAATTTTATTAATGGGATTCCAGGGTTAGGCTGTTAGGATTGTGACTGACTAGAAGTGGCAGTAACCTGCAGGGGTATTCCCCTTTTGATCACTCTGTAACTGAATCGGGGGAAACAGAAGTATCTTAGGATGTCATTTTAGCTGTTTTCAAGAGGCTATTGAATGGAGGAATTTATTATTTCAAGGAAATAATAGGCATTTTTAAGTATACTAAGAAAACAACTGTATACTTAGCTGACTTGCTTTACTTGTTTTTGCCAGACTAGAAATCAAAAAGAGAACTGAAGTGCTGGGTAGGAGTGGAAGTTTTCCAAAAACATCTTGATATGAAATGAGGATCACCACAGATATTGGGGTACTTTATATAATAATTGTGTATAAAATGAGTCATTCTTACATGCATTTGGTTAGCACTATTGAAAATGGACTTTGCATAACCACAAAATAGTCTACAGAATGGCAATTGCATCAGCAATGATACTTTAATACCCGCCCCCCACAGATCTACATACCAGGAGGCACTAATACACATATGACTTTGTTTATTACTTCATTTCATGAGTTGAGTGGAATCATGGAGGGAAGCAATGTTAAAGCCCCAAGGTTGTGTTCTTAACCCACCCACCTCTAACAGGTATGTGGCTTTATACCTAAGTCTTCTAACCTGTCACTTTGCTTTTCTTACATGCAAAATGTGGTTAGTGAATGACATTTAACATCTTTTTCCCTTTGCAGACTTAGGTAATTAAAACACTAATAATAACCCTTCACATTTGCATAGAACTTGCATTTCACAGTGATGTTTTTCCCCCAAGCACCCGAACTTCTCAATGACCCTGTCAGACAGATGGCTTGTTACTGTTCCCAATTTCTTGAACAGGAAACCACAACACAGAGTAGTTAAGTGAGTTTGTCAAGGCTGCACTGTACTACGTGGCAGAACTAAAACTAAAACTGAGTCTACTGACTGCTGGTCCAGAGCTTATTGGTGTGGAAGTAGGAGGTGAGGATCATTATTAGTATTGGAACTTAAAGGCAGGAATTAGCTATAATAGACTCCATTTCAAATTGTTGAAATCAAGTAATATATTTAAAATTTAATACATATTAATGGCCTCTAGTGATTTGTTCACTGTCCTGTATATCTAATGAAAATAAGGTGCTATCTCAGGACAGCTTCAGGTCAGTTAGTTATGAAATGTTTATAAGTACATGAACATATTTACTTCCCTGTACCAGTAGGAAATGAAAAGAGATATTTATGAAGGTAATAACACACAGTCAAAGCATGACCAAGAGTTTACTAAGACCAAGAAATTTTGCGATGATGACAATTTCTTCAACAGATATAATTTGAATTAGCAAATTGAAAGTTCTCAACAACCTGTCATATTCTTTTTCCAATTACATACCATTTTCTTCTTGTGGGTACACATAAAAAGTGTTTCTCAAAGTGTAAATTAAAAATGGTGAGGTACCTGTGACCATATATTAGCCAAAAAGAAGGAAATACTGTTACCGAAACACTAGGGGTTTGGTCTAGGTCCCTTTGCTTGCTTGCCACATAGGAAACCAATCACTGAGACAAGTATTGCCAGGGAAGAAGGCTTTAATTGGGTGCTGCAGCTGAGGAGATGAGAGATCAGCCTCAAATCTGTCTCCTCAACACACTAAACTTACAGGTTTATATAGCAGGGAGGAAATGTAACCATGTTTTGGAAAACAGGAATTAGGGATGGGTAAGGAAGAGGAGTTGGTCAACAGGGAGCAGGTGGTTAGTTAGGCAGTCATGACGGGTGAGGAGTCTGGTGTCTCACTGTCCAGATGTGGTGATCTGGTGAGTTTCAGTTCCTTGATACCATCTTGGGAAGCATGAGAGTTGGTTTCCTGAGAAAGGAACTCAGATAAGACAAATATAACTTTCTCAAGTTTTAAGACTGGGAGGGTTAACTTCTATGTTTATTAAAAAGAAACCATAAATATCAGTTCTATGGGGCAATTGGGCCGGTTTCAGTACCAGATAGAACATGAACAATTATATATGTCCACATCCTTTACAGGTAAAACTGTGGGCACTGAGTCCTGGAAAAATTTTGACTTCCCATTATTCCTCCATGCAGCACAATTCCTGTTTTACTAAGGCTTCCTCAGTGCACCTCTGGGGATATTCCAACTAGATGGTTTCCTAAGTTATTAGAAATCACATATGGAAAGGAAAAGAGAGTGGTGGTGAAATGGATGTTTGTTTCCTGGGTGTTGAATCCTCTATTTAGAAGCACCTGTGGATGTATAGATATGTTTCATAATGGGAAAGACGAATATGTTCAACAAGGACTTGCCCACCCACCAGGTATATAAGGAATTTTCATGTCATTTTGTGAAATTTTATTAAGATAGAACTATCTATTCAAATTGATGTAGAAAGCTCTGCCAAAATAAAACCTTTGCCAAAATATCAATGCAATTGAGGCACATTTCTTGCTCTCTACCCCATTCTATTTAATTATGTCCATTATTGTCTTAATTCTTCAACAGGCCACTTCACACAACCATTGTGAACCTGGCCTCAGCATTAATATTATCCTTGATCACACTTTAGCATTTCAATTTTAAAGTTCCAATTTGAAAGCCTGCTATTTCTGTTAAAAGTTTTTCCATGAAAAGAGTAAATCTTGGCTACAATTCAACGGTAATTCAGCTTAACCAAGTTAAGAAAAGCCTTTTATTCACAGTGTTTATTTAGAGACAGTTAAGTACAGAAATGTGGGTTCTAGAGACAGAAAAATACAAACTTTTATAGAGAGCCATTTTTTTCCTTTAAAGAAGACAGTGCTAATAAATCTTGTTGAATCAAGACCTTGAAAGAAACTGAAAATATGTACAGATCTCAAATATACCCAGGAAAAGTACTTTATATTATCTTGCTGCTGCTGCTTCATAATGTAGTTTTAGTTGAATGTAATCTCCTCCACTCAAATTTATTTTTGAGAAATTGCCACACTGAAAGTTAAAACCATTTTTGTCATTCAAAAGAAGTAGAAGATCAATACTGAAGCTCTCCTATTTGTTGGTACAGTCTACTTTAATGTTAAAAGATTTATGATAAGAACACATTTCTAAATACATATTACATACCAGTGGTACAGTCAAACCTCAAAATAAAACATTGTTTTTTAGGAGAAGGAGGTGGTCTATTTATTATTGAAATGCTATACTAAACGATAATTCAGTGATACTTTATTCCAATTAAATTCTCCTTAGTAGTAATCCTTTTTTATGATAAGCAAAACTGAATAATACAAGGTATGTTCCCTCCAATGAATTGTTGTGTAACAAGACTTGATGGTAATTCTACCTTTTCCAAAATCTGATATCAGGCAATTTATCTTCTAAATAATACTCCTGAGTACCAAAGCTGAAATGTTTTGGCTTCAACCCAAATGAAACTTGAGGAAGCAGATTCTCCAGAGCATTTGCCTAACTCTGTAAATTTAATTGTTATAATGAATAGAATACATGTGTCAAGACTACTTGTGGTTCTACCTGTTTACCTTTCTTCCTAAGACAGAAAGAACATGACAAAGGCTGTTAACTCTTACTGCAGTTTGAGGTGGGAACAAAGACTTACACAGCACAGGATTGTTAAATATGAACTAATTTTAAAGGCCCAATTCCAGTTAATAATCAGAGCAGTTCAGATTTAAAAATGTATTGTTAGTCCACAATAGACTGATGGAAGTTAAAAAAAAAAAACAACTTCCCAAATATTTGTCTGTAAGACACAAAATCTTCAGATGAAAATATTTGCATATCCAAAGGAATATCATCCAGTACTCTACTTCATAGTAGTTACATTGCCTCAAGTACAATTTCCTTTCTTTCACACATCTGCAAACATGATATATTTCTTACATTTGACTCTTATGTAATATTTGTTCATAGAGTGAAATCCAGTGTAGTACTTGGATCAAACCAATGTTAGTATCACTTGCATTCATGCCAGAGGTCAGATAGAGGTAAAGCTATTACTTTTTTGTCAATGATGTTAAAAACTGAAAAGATGATTTATTGTGGAGGAGGCCAACGTTAACTATAACCCATTGCCATGAATAGTCATATTAATTTTCATAACCAAAATGATCAACATTAAATAACAACTGTTGCTGATTGGGGGTAATTTATTGAATGTCATTTTTGTCATTTCTTTTCCTCCACTCAGTTGTAGTTAGTTCTCAGTCTTCATTACTGTGATACATTTGAACCACGGTTTTTAGATGAGGGCAACCATTGTATTTTGCTCATACTTCTATTAGACACAAAGGCCATGCCTCTTGAAAAACCTGAACATTTTTTTTTCTAATGGTTAACATTGCATGATTAGTGTGGAGTGTGAGCTGATGGATGTGTATAGCAACAATTCTTATTTATTTTCAGACAATTTAGGGAAGTCTGTGTAGTTTCCAACTTGATTTATTCACTTAGGATTTATTAAGCCACAAACTTGTGCCAGGCTTTGTGCAAGACATAGGATATGATGAATTTCTGCCTTCAGAATTCTAAGAGTGAGTTAGTTTGTTTTTTTTTTTTTTGGCGGGGAGGGCAGAAGAGTAAACCCATTGAAATGACCTGTGATGAGTGTTGTGATCGAGATGAGAACAGTGGGCTCTGGGAACTCAGAAGAAGGGTACATGCGCCTTGGGAATCTCAAAAGGAGTTGGATATGTGTGTATTAGTTAGGAAGCTAACAGGTTGTAGCAAAGTGACTATAAAATACAGTAGCCACAGGAAGTTTGGAGTTTCTCTTTCATTTATCAGCCTCAGGTGAGTGGCCCAGTTGAAGGTGGCTCTGTTCCACAGGTTCCTTCAGTTTCCAGAGCCCTTCTCTTCTATTGCTCTAACATCAGCATTTTTCTTGTCTGCATGGAGAAAGCTGAACCATAGTTACTTTGACACAGCTTGAGGGAAGGAAGAGCTATGAGGGAGCCCATACCCAGTACATTAAGGCCCAACCTGGAAGTGCTGCTCATCACTTCTCTCCCCTTGCATTGGTGAGAATATAGTCATGTGGCCTGTAGTCATAGCTGCAAGGGAGGCTGGGTATCTAATTACAACTCTATTACTATTGCCATCAGTAGACAGAGGCCAGATCACCAAGGATCCCAGATGTCATCCTGAACTAGGAAAAGGAGTTGGAAAGTTGCCTATTTTCCATCTGTATCTTTATTTCTGAGATTTGCTGGAGAAATCTTAGTATTTGTTTCCTCCTCCCCACCTTTCAAATCTTAAACTCTAAGTTGTGACCTGCTATGAAGTGTTATCCTTCCGATTAGTCTTTCTAGAGGGCTTTACATTTTGTATTTTGTTTTTGTTCACTATCATATATTGATTTAATTCATTTAGTAAGTGACCAGAAGCCTCTTAATCAAGTCAGATAGTAAACGAGTATTCCTGCTAATGGTAGCAAGTATGCCATTACTTCAGGTTGTATTGACATCTTGCATTGATGAGGCTGGTCCATTTTACTCTCAGGTTTTAATTTTCATTTTAGTCAGGAATGTTGTTAAGCTTAGTTCAACTGGCAAGAGGGCTGCGAAGACTTTTATGATCAGTTCTAATTTGAGTTGATGGTATTTTTTTCAGCTAAAAATAGTATGGGGTAAAGGCTTAACAAAGATCCTCTGATTAGTTCTTAAGGCTATGTTGGAAATGGTTAGAGTAATAGCTTTATAGGGAAGGTACATTTATTTTCAGAACCTTTAAATTAAACGAGAAGGAAACCAGGCTGAGTTGACTCTTCTGAGCCTATTCTGAGGTGGTTTTAGATATAGAGGATCTGGACCATATGGAGACCAACACAGACCTACTTCCTGTACACGTCACTGACCTTGTTAGTTTTATGACAGTTTTTAGAAAAGCAGAACCTCGACTAGAGTTCACACTTTTTAACAACAGAACAAAACAACAAGAAGATTTATTAGGGAAAAAATTGGTGGTGGATGAAAGATAACACTCTTGTTTCTGATGCAGGTCAAGTAAAAGTCACGAGCTTGGTAAATCCTGAAAGGTATATGTGGGTCTGCCAGGGAAGTACAAGTGAGGACCATTGTAGGAGAGAAAATGGCATGTTCAAAGGCTTATAAGCACGTAGAGTGTGAGGCTGCGAGTGGTGTGGGTTAGTGATGAGCAAAGGGTAGGTATGAAAAAATGGTGATGTGTGAAGCTGCAGAGGTAGGCAGGAGCCTTGCATGCCAAGCTGTGGTTCTGGAAGAATCCTCAGGGCAGTGGTCTCACCAAACTTGCATTTAGAAAGCCCATTTCTGACAGAGGTGTGACTGATGGAGTGAAGGAAGGTGAGTTTAAATCAGGAGAAGTTGGAGGAGGATACTGCAGTGATCCAGAAGAGGTAACCTACCTGAACTAAGAATAGGGCACTGTGAATAAGAAGTGACTTTGCCAAGATGTAGGAGACAAGTGCAGAAGGGCTTGGTGACTGCTTGCAAGTGGAAGGTGATGGAAGGGAAGAATCAAGGGCCAGTTCTATATGTGCTATCTGGAAGAAGGTGTGGGGCTGATCTCCAAGGTACTTCCAGCAGGGTATATAAGAACCAGTTAAGAGCCGGGAGCAGTGGCTCACGCCTGTAATACCAACACTTTGAGAGGCCGAGGCAGGTGGATGACCTGAGTTCAGGAGTTCAAGACCAGCCTGGCCAACATGGTGAAACCCCGTCTCTACTAAAAATACAAAAATTAGCCAGGCATGGTGGCACATGGCTGTGATCTCAGCTACTAGAGGCTGAGGCAGGAGAATCACTTGAACCTGGGAGGCGGAGGTTGCAGTGAGCCGAGATTGCACCACTGCACTACAGCCTGGGTGACAGAGTGAGACTCCATCTTAAAAAATAAAAAAAGAACCAGTTAGGGAGGCAAGGTGATGGGTTCTTTAAAAAGATCAAGTGGGAATATACAGGCCTTGGGTTTGGAACTAAGATGAGAGCTGACTATACAGAATTGGGAGTCGTTGGCATATAAGGTAAAATTTGAAGCCGAAAGGTTGAAATTAGCCTGAGAAAGGGTATTGTGATTGCTAAAATAATTCTTAAGCTACTTATATACATATTATCTTTCTATTGATACTTTAATAGTATTAATAAGCCAACCAATTTTATTGTCTAAAATATTTCTTCAAGCATATGCAAGGTTAATCAGCAATTAGGTAAAGTTGGTTAGGAAGAAGATAATTAATATGTGATACCCACCCAGCTGAAACCCAAATCCCCATTGTGCATGCTGCCATCCTTTCCTCCTCAGGACAGGAGCTGTAAAGAGATCAGATGGTACCCAGAGGCCCTGATATCAGGGGATAGAATATGGATGTATCTTAACTTATGCAATTGGACCTGTTTAATGATTTGTACCGGTTTCTAATGAGCCTTGGACACATGTTCATTCACAAAGTAAGGTGAAAAGCAGACAGTAAAACATTGGTAGATAGGAACCTAAGTCTCTGACCATTTCAAGACAGATCCTGAAGAATGTAGACAAGCCTAGTAGATGGTCATCAGGAAAACCTCCAATATAAATGCTGAGCTTTCTTAAGCATATAGTAAAGTTTTTTGGTTTTGTGGAATGCTTTTTGGTAGTTTACACAAATGTGAAGGGTGCTGTCCTGGAACTCTTACAGTGTATGGTCTATATCCAGCTCGGTCACTACTTTTCTGGTTGCAATCTGCATGCCTCTCCACCTTCCTGAGTCAGTTTTCTCAGTGGAAGGACAAGTTTGTGCTAGGTGTTTCTTCCATTGTAACTCTGAAAGCTATCCATCTGAGATTTGCTGTATAGGATACTCTTTTAATGAACAAAAAAGGTTTATGAAATCTGAATAATTTAGGGATAATTATTTGCATTGCAGGTGGATTTCTCTTAAAGCAGAATTTGCTGGTAGGAATAATAGTGCTTTTCAGAGATTTGACTTGCTTAGAGAAGGAATTTTTGAACTTGGGGTCAGAAGAGCTGATCTGTAAACTAGGCTCTACTCATTTATCAGTTGTGTGACTTAAATGCTCTAAGTCTTAGTTTCCTCATTTAAAAGTAAAATATTAATAAAATGCATGGCTACTGTGCAGATCATTTTGAAGGTGGTCAGGTATTACAGAAATGTAAGTTATTCTTGCCCAGAGAAGACTGGTCATCCTAACCTAACATGTATACACATAATACTTTAGTGCTGGGGCCTACTTTCTGAAAATGGCCTCCTAGAGGATCAGCATTGTAGGGATCCACTTACTACGGTGTAGCCCTTAAGGACAAAGGGTGGGCATTTTACACTGGAAATTACTTTTCCTTTCCTTTCAGTTCCCTGAAGTCAGGCTGCGCCTTCAGATGTAGCTTTTTCCCCAGGCATTGTTCCTGCAGTTGTTGGTTCAGCCTCCTGAGCTGCTTTGACTTTGGGAGGACTCCCACCAATCCCCATTTGCCTGCTGTTCTCTACACACCCTTTCACCACCATTAACAGGACAGTGCCTCAAACCATGTAGAACTTGCATTTTAATGTCTTTTGTTTCTTTGTGTAGTTCCAGGTATGGTACTGGCATAATTTCATCAACCACTTCCCAGAACCCCAAAATAATGACAAAATAGAGGTCACAGTGGTAAATAGCCCATTTTGCTGAGCACAGTCATCTCAAAATGAGACCAAGAACACTCTGGCTGAGAGGTTTGACAATATGGTGTTCTAACACTTACTGGATGAAAGTTCCAAGTATAGTCTAGTACGCTTGCTGCCATTTGCTAAGAGGGTGCACAGCATTCAGCATGAAGGAAGATGATGTGTGTACACGTATTTAGGAAGAGAAGCTTTCGATGGAGGGATTTCAGCTCCTTTCAAGACACTGATCTTCTTTTACAGGACCTACAAAATGTAGATCAAAGCCAGTCTTGGGGCCACCCTTCTGTGATTAGGAGCTTTCTATATCTACTGAAGTTATAATTTCTGAGTCTAGTAGTGTCTGTAGGTTTCATGAATATAGAGCTATAGAGTGTAGCCAGCACACTTTGATATACCTGCACAATGAATAACAAAGATAATTTTCAGTAAATGTTTATTGAGTGAGTGAATTCATAGTTATAATGGATACAACCCTTTATGTTGTTCCAGATACTGTGGTAAGTGTTTTACATCACCATCTCTAACCCATGTGAAATAACATTTATTGTTGTCATTATAGATTCAGAGAGCCAATGCTCCCTATCCGATGTCTATATTAGTCCATTTTCATGCTGCTGATAAAGACATACCTGAGACTGGGCAATTTACAAAGGAAGGAGGTTTAATGGAGAACTCACAGTTCCACATGGCTGGGGAAGCCTCACAATCATGGGGGAAGACAAGGAGGAGCAAGTCACATCTTACGTGGATGGCGGCAGGCAAAGACGAGGGCTTATGCAGAGAAATTCCCATTTTAAAACCATGAGATCTTGTGAAATCCATTCACAAGAAACAGCACAGGAAAGACCTGCCCCCATGATTCAGTCATCTCCCACTGGGTCCCTCCCACAACACATGGGAATTATAGGAGCTACAAGATGAGATTTGGGTGGGGACACAGAGCCAAACAATATCAATGTCATATAGCTAGTAGCGGCAGAGCTCCAAGTTTGCATTCACATCTGGTTCCAAAGCTTGGGCTCCTAAGCATTACTTGGACATGTCTCCCAACAGATGGACAAATGCTGGGACCCTCAGACATCAGGGAGGTAAGAAGACAGAGGAATAGAAAGCAGGACCCATCTAATTACTTCCCTTTTGTCTGATTCACTGGAGGATAATTGCACTAGGTTCAAATACTTTCCAAGTTGCCCTCTTAGTTTTTTTGCTGCTTTTACCTTAAGGTTTCTTATCATGTAAAGCTTAGTAGCTTTCCAGAATTAGCAGAAACTGCAGGAATATTTTGGTTAGCGCTGAGGGAGTTCTGTAGGTATGTTACAATCTAGGGGGGAAAGTCTAATTGGAATCAGACTCCTAGGTCACGTTAAAAGTCAAAGTCAACTCTTCCAATCATCAATTTGGTGCTTGGGCCCTGTGTTTCAGAACCTGGTCAAGTGGGTGTTCACACTGATTCAAAACACTACCATTGACAAGAACTCACTCATTTCACTCCTAACTAGATTTGGCCAGTTGGGTTTTTTTGTTTTTTGTTTTAAGCTGGAATCTATTTTCTTATGTCTTCAACCCATTGGACCCAAGTCCTCTCTGTGGACTCATAACAAATAGGAATCATCTCCAAGCCAACATTTTAGATGTTTGAGGCCCAGCAGTCTTCCCTAGGTCTTCTCTCTGGAGGATCTAGTTCCTTCAATGGGTCATCACCTCCCCTGGCTCCTTGTCCCTCACTGTGATATGGCTGTCTCCGAATTCTGCTCCATCTTATCTGCATACCTTCTAAAGGGGAGGGCCTAGAACTTAACACATTATTGCTAATGACAGAAAAATTCATTTATGAAGCAAATTTATTCTGATAAATGTTATATTAATTTAATTGCCATTAGAGATGATAGATTATCATGAAACAGAAGTCTATCAAGAACATAGCCTATCTACAAGAAGAATGAAAGCATCACAGTGAAAGTCTTAAAAGATCACAGTGCAAAACACATTTCGAATGAAATCTCTTGTTCCCTGTTTTCAGCCTATAGTTTATAAAAATATTTGACCCTACAATGGGTTTGCTAACTTTGGCATGTAGGAGGATAATTACTGTTATTAAAAGCTAATGTACTGTGTTCTAAGTGCAAGTTCTGGGCTAAGCACTTTACACAATTATCTCTTTGGGCCATCCTCAGCA
The DNA here is from genome assembly GCF_000001405.40 of Homo sapiens. Lineage (NCBI taxonomy): Eukaryota > Metazoa > Chordata > Mammalia > Primates > Hominidae > Homo > Homo sapiens. Next base: position 33,050,921 of record NC_000014.9, read on the forward strand.
GGTAGTGAAGTAGATCTTTTTATTGTTCCCATTTTTCACATGAGGAAGCTGAGGTTAAAAGAGACTAAAGAAGGCCGGGCGCGGTGGCTCACGCCTGTAATCCCAGCACTTTGGGAGGCCGAGGCGGGTGGATCACGAGGTCAGGAGATCGAGACCATCCTGGCTAACAAGGTGAAACCCCGTCTCTACTAAAAATACAAAAAATTAGCCGGGCGCGGTGGCGGGCGCCTGTAGTCCCAGCTACTCGGGAGGCTGAGGCAGGAGAATGGCGTGAACCCAGGAAGCGGAGCTTGCAGTGAGCCGAGATTGCGCCATTGCAGTCCGCAGTCCGGCCTGGGCAACAGAGCGAGACTCCGTCTCAAAAAAAAAAAAAAAAAGAGAGACTAAAGAACTTCCCCACTACCACCTACTAAGTGGCAGACCTGAGATCCATCAGTCTCAAAAACTCTGATTATAGAGCTTGTACTCTTACTTGCAATGCCATCTGGTGTAACATAGTAGTATACTCATGTTGTTTTTCTGAAAAACTACCTTTCTATTTTGAACACACCACAGACCCTGTTTCGTTGCATTTGTAGCTATGAATGTCCACATCAGAACTTTACAGGGCAAAAAATTTTGTTTTGTGTGATTGATGCAGCTTTCAAATTCCATAAACACAGGAAACATGAAAATACTAGTCACTGTCATTCAGGGAGCCCTTGACCCTGGCTATCAGAAAACAGAGAACGGATACCTTGGTGAAGAAACTGTGTTTTCAAACCCTCAAAGAGGTGAAAACTAAAAGTTATACGTGAAATGGTTATTTAGAATACCAATTTAGGGGTACAAATAAAGAATTACATTTTTTTGTGTGTGAGATGGAGTCTTGCTCTGTTGCCCAGCCTGGAGTGCAGTGGTGCGAGCTTGACTCACTGCAACCTCCACCTCCCGGGTTCAAGCGATTCTCCTGCCTCAGCCTTCTGAGTAGCTGGGACTACAGGCACATGCCACCATGCCTGGCTAATTTTTTGTATTTTTAGTAGAGTCAGAGTTTCACCGTGTTAGCCAGGATGATCTTGATCTCCTGACCTCATGATCCACCCACCTTGGCTTCCCAAAGTGCTGGGATTACAGGTGTGAGCCACCGTGCCTGGCCATGAATTACATTTTAACCTGAATTCAGTAAGATAGTTCAAAATTATAAGTAGGTTTTGAATTTCTCATCTAATAGCCATAAAATTTGCAGTTCAGACACCTGTATAAGAAAGTACCATCCCCAAGAGTGGCAAAGGATCCCTGTTGTCCTCAGAAATGTCTTTAAAGGATGGCTTTGTAAATTTTAAATATTTCTAAGCATGGGATTAAAAACAGCAGTGCAATCCTTAGGCTGTCAGTTGTTCTCTGGTAGCTTATCTTCCCTGATACATATTAAATAACTACCCTACCACCCCCAAAAACTACTCTGACCAATCAGGAACAGAGCTATGTGCATTATAATGGGGTTGCTGGGGGATATGAGAGAAACTGCCCAAGTCCAAAGGTAAATATTAGATATACTCATCCTATTGTCTTAAAACAATACATTAAGAAAAAACCCTACATATTAATTCAAGAGAATGGCCAGCGCTTATGCTTAATAACTAGAAAATAAAACCCTTTAAAAACGTTGCAAAATATGATGTGTTGGGTTTGTCCCTCACTACCAGGTGGAACTCAGCTTAGATAATGTATTTCATCCTTGCTCTTGTTTCTAATAATACTGCCAGCAAGGGGAGCCAGTACTGGCCACATTTGCTCCAGGAAATAATCCCCTTTGCTACTACGGTGGCAATACCTAGGCACAAGAGGGTGAGTCCATGGCAATTTCTTACTTCTGGTTTTCTGTCTATAATTTTGAATTTCTTTGCTTTTGTGATTTTCAAGCCTGCCATTTATATTACTTGAACTTTTTTTTTTAAGGAGGTTTAATATCTTACTTATCACTGAAAACCAGGGTCCAGTTAGTTAAGGTTTCAGTTGAACGTGAAATGTGACTTCCTAAGCTTGTCATGCATCAAACTGTTATGGCTGGCAATTGTTTAAAAAAAATTCATTTTGTTATGAACTAGCCTGTTTTCAACTGGGCTGTTCAGAGATGGATTGCTTTCTGGAGTTTTTGACAGGTGTAATTGTTAAGGCGTCATCTGTTCTTGTTTGCACAAAATACATTTTAGCCAACTGTAGGACTTGCCCGCTAATCTTTCTCACATCATTCCATTCTTTGCTTGCCACTAGACAAATCCCCTGTTATTTGACCAGATGGTGGAAAATCCATTCTCATGATAAGTTGCTTCTAGTTTGCATTTAGATTACCTGCAAAAATGGAACAATTTACTACTCTGCCTCTAACCATCTCTTTCCTCCTTTTTCCCTTAGTTTGACTTCTTGTAACTAATTATTTAAATTCTGCCCTGAGTTAAAATTAGTCATAGCTTACATGTTTCACATGTATGTAAATGCACTTAAGTCCTACCTCAAGCTGTATGATGAGTCCATCTAGACAGAAGTGACAGGAAGGGAAGGGAATGTGGATTGTTTGATAGGCAGAAGCCACAGTTTATAATAGTTTCACGATTGAAAGGCATATTTGAACTTTTTCCTGGCAGTGTTTAACCTTTAAAAACAAAATCAGGTGGAGAGAATGAACTCAGTAGCTTTTTGATGATAACATATTGTAGCAAGAAAGGTAAAACACAAAGTGTTAAGTAAATGATGGTTTGGGGATTTGATTCCTATAGATGTCTTATCTGTAATTTTTTAAACCTGACAGTTTCCTCTATGGTACACAAGATGTAAATGAAAATTACATCATAACATTTTCTGTCACGAACAAAAGAGTGGTAGTCCTTCTTTTCCCCCCTTCCTCTCTACCCAAAACCTTTTCTGGGTAAGTTTATTTTCAAAATTATTGAGAGCCAGGTAACATTGACTATTCTTTAACTGCTTCAAATTGTTCATAGTCAAATACTTCTCAGTACTTTAATTTTTAATTTAGAGCAAAATATAAGAAATCAATTTTAAAGCATAAAATGACACTGAACAGAGATATAGAGTATTTCAGTGTGATCTTAGGTCAAACCAATTCTTTTAAAAAATCTGTAACATATCATCTGCTGTCACTGGGGCTATCACATGCTCAAAACAACTTCTCAGGATTTGTTTTTGCAAACTTAATGGCCAAAATTAATTTGTCAGGTGGGCCTATTATTGAATCTTTTAAACCTGGGCTTCATTTCAAGCTTTTTTATATCTCTTGCTTTCTTGTAACAGTTTTACAATAAAATGCCACATGGGTTAATGTAAACTTTTGAAATTCCACTGATAGTTAATGAGTATGTTTAGGTTAGAAGTTGAATACAATAATCAACATGGGGCTTAAAAATCACTTAAACAAGGGGTAAATGGTTAATTATAAATAGAACTGTTGGCCTACAGAATTTAATGAGAGATTTGAGTATACATATACTTTATATATAAACTATGTATACTTTATATAGTTTGAATATAACACAGAGAATGTGTTTAAATAAAATCTTATTAATGCAGCTAAATAAAGTTCAAAAGTAGAACTTAAATTATTTGAAAGTATTGTCACTTAATATGTTGGGCTTTATGAAATATTAAGTAAACTTAAAAAATTAGAAACATAGAAATTAGAAAAAACTTATCTGAGTTTTTTTTTTTTTTTTGAGACGGTGTCTTGCTCTGTCACCCAGGCTGGAGTGCAGTGGCAGGATCTCAGCTCATTGCAAACTCTGCCTCCCAGATTCACACCATTCTCCTGCCTCAGCCTCCCAAGTAGCTGGGACTACAGGCGCCGACCACCACGCCCGGCTAATTTTTTGTATTTTTAGTAGAGATGGGGTTTCACCGTGTTAGCCAGGATGGTCTTGATCTCCTGACCTCGTGATCCGCCTGCCTCGGCCTCCCAAAGTGCTGTGATTACAGGCGTGAGCCACCGCACCTGGCCTTATCTGAGTTTTTATAAAGTAGCATGATCCATCACATGTTTTTAATTAATAATTAAGAAGATATTAAGTATCTACTGGCTTAGGGATTAGACATTATACTTTTCTAATATGCTGGTATTAGAGCGAAAGGATTGGTACTCGTACTGATATTGTGTATTGATTAAATGACATTACTTTCCTCTAAATTATGAAATGATAGATTCTTTAAATACTTTTTTCCCTGAATGAAGGGATTTTCAATAGAAGGAAATGGCCAGAAAACATCTCAGCATTTTTATGTCTATATAATGCAAGGAGTCTCAGATGAATTTATATGCTTAAGTAACACAGATGAAAATTGTGTAAGCTTTTTCCCCTTTTTGCCTTAACTGCCAAGAAACCTGGAGCCACTGTAATCAGTTCATCTCAGGTGCCTGTTAACATCTAACCCGTGTTCCCGACGGCCTTGCTTGTGTTTTCATCCCTAATTGGGTTTAGTTCTGTAAGCTGAATCGCATTCCTTTATAAGTCCATAGCAAACTCTATATAAATTGAATAGAGCTGAAAAATATATTAACTCGACCAAGGTTTTATAGCTAATTTACAGTTGCCTACAATAGTAATGCATGATTGAACTAATGACAGTCCTATAACAAAAACACTAATGACATTTGTTTTTAACATTTCCTTTAGAATATAATCATGGGAATTGAAGAGTGAGTTAAGGTTTAGACCTATGTCTCTTTTCTTCCACTTTTATGACTCTGAGATTTAAAAAAAAAAACAAAACAAAACTGTCCTGATAAAGAACTGAAAAAGTTGCTTTTCTCTGACTGCAGTTTTCTAAAAGTGGAAGTTAATGTTCTAAAATGTATGTACACATTGCAATTGTGTGTAGAGCTCAAAAGCGTAAAAAGCAAAATATATTGAATTTCAACATACTTGTTATCCTGCATTCCAGTTGACTGTAGAGAATCTCTAGTCATGTCTATCTGTTTTTGATGCCTCTACAGAATAACTGCCCAGCATCCTCTGCCCAACCAATCAGAATGTAGGAAAATCTACAGATATGACGGAATCTACTGTGAATCTACCTACCAGAAGTATGTTGAAATCTTTGTGAGTCTTCCTTCTGGCTCGTACATCAGTGCTTGTGGTTGCCAGCTATTCAAAAATATCCTTGTATTGAAACCTTCTTTTTATCTAATTTAGTGGGGGAGAAAAAAAAACAAAAAAACAAACCAACAAACCAAACCAAATAAAAACAACCAAAACAATTTGCCTCTGAGATCAAGACAGAAAAAAAATGTTTATTTTTTTGAAATTGTGGTCTAAAAGTTTTTTTTAACGACTGTATTAAAGCTCTTAGGTAAGCTTCTTTATATTGCAATAAACAAGTACTTATATGCAAGAAAATCTCGGCAAAATACATTGCACAGGTGCTACGCATCTTAGGGATTTGAAAGGTGTGTTATGTATAAATTAGCTGTCACTTTTTTTCAATCCTGTAATGGAATGATGAGTTGTAATTTGCATAATCCTTTAAGAAGTCAAATTATACTGTCATGTAGCAGACTTAACATGCTAGCTAAGATTTCAGAGCTTTGCAGCTAATTACTATGTACCTTACAGGACAGTTAAATTGAAGTTGAGTCCTCTGTCTTTGCTGCCATTTGCTTTGTCCATTACTTAACAGAATCTGCACTTTGGGTAACGAGGTGTTGTTACTATCACTGAAGTAAACACTCTGCTCTGGGAGGAAATGGCATTTTAATATATCATAGTTGGACTTGTATTGCTTTTGCTGTGAAGAAAGTTTTCTTCAAAAACAGTAATCCAATTGGAATCTTCCCCAAAAAAGATGAAATTTATGCTTTCCATAAAAGTTATGAAATATTGATTGAAGCAACATTAACCTTTAATTAAATTCTCCTATGGAAAATGGAAAGTAATGTAAACATAATTCCACTGAAGGCATTATGTTTTCTGGATATACTTTGCAAATATACTTTGTTGTGTTTTTGTCTTCACACTCTTAACTTCTTTTGTAGTAGTGTGACTATTGAACAATACCATTTTTTTCCTTAAAAAATCCTTTGTGAATGCAAGCTGGTGAGTCCTACTTTCATTTACTCCTCCAACTGGTTGTAGAGCACTTTCTTTCATGGTTTCCATTTTTAAAAAATCAGAAATTCTGGTGGCTGTGAAGGCTGCTCTCTGAAATAGACACAAAGTGGATACTGGATGGAGCTGGGACTGTTCCCTACCTAGCATGGTTTAGGTGACTGTATCACTGTATCTTTACTATATACATGTAGTTATCTCTGGCTTTATTTATTGATATTTCACTGTCTAGATAGTGTTACTAGTTTTATCCGAACTGGTATAATTATAATGCAGAATTGTTACTGATCATCATTTTAAAAAATTCTTTGTTATCTGTGAGTCATTTATTGTGGCTCTTGGTGGCCAGGTTTCTGTAATTTGTTAGTGATTTGTGGATTTGTTGTATACTTTGAAAAATCCTTTTGTTGTATAAGAAGAGGGTCCTTTAAGGACCAAATTAAAGCAGGATTTGATTACTGACCATTCAAATAAGTGCATATCAACAATCAACTGTTGTTTATTTTTAATTAAGTCAGTTTCACGTGTCTGAAATTACTGTTGGCTTAGAGGCTGAGATTTGTCAATTAGGAGCCCGGATGGGGCCACCAGGAATTTGGCGCATAGTAAGGCTTCCCTGCTAGCTGTAGGAATCATCTCAAGGGCTTGCTTTTTAAAGAATTGGTGTTATTTGTAGTCAAGGTAGACACAGTAGGCAGCACAGCTGTGACTGCCAGGGAAAGTCACTATGGGGATATTCATAACAAGGAAATATTGGCAAATAAATGATGAAGAAGGGGAGGAAATCCCCAAGATGTTGAATTGGAGTACTGTCACTGAGATGATTAATGGTGTTGTGTATTTTAGTGAAGATGCTTATCTGAATTGTCTTGAAACTATAGTGTACATTTAATAGCACCTATAAAAAAGCATGTGGTACACAAGCACACTGAAGAGAAAAGGCCGGGTATTCCGATTTTATCTTCCTATTTTCTCCAATTAAGTTTTTGGCTTCTGTTTATTAGAAAGCTGGTGTTAATATATATTATATAAGGAGTATGTTTATTCTATATATTTATTACTCATCAGCATTTATATAGCTACTTTCCCTAGAAGATTGAAATGTATTGTAAAAAAAAAAAACATGGATAGTATTGTAAAAAACATGGGTAGTTTTTCCACACTCTTGTTGGGTGAATATTATCAAGAGTAGGGAGATGTAGGCAAACAGTCAGGGTCACAGGGCTGCAGTGAGTAAAGGGCTACACTTTTATCAATGATGGAGTCAGTACAATTTTAAAAACATTTCTACATCAATTTCTGGTGAAGGGGTAACTGTTTTGGAAGATCCTCTAGCTTTCAGTGTCAAACCATAAATTTCCTGATTCTGTGGTGTGAATTATCACTTGCCTGGAGGGATTGTTATCCATGAAAGCAGGTGCATCTTTGGGCAAGTTACTTAATCTCCTTGGGCCTCAGTAATTACTAGTAGATATAGGAATAGATACAGACAAATGACATATCATCCAATCTTCAATGAGCTTATAGTCTATTACAGCGACGTTTTTCTAACTCTTGGTTACTATTCAAACAGTTGGATATGTATCCAATTTAGTGGATCAAGATCCTAATTTTAAAAATGAAATGGAAGAGAACAGAAAATTTTATTGTATTGCATTTCAGTAAGAATGTGTCTTATTTTGTGAGGCTCCCTTTTTAGTTTCATATTTGTGTATGTGTACATATAACTGCACATATGTGTTTACTGGGTAGATCATGAGGTAATATGTGTTTCTACTGTGTTTCATATCCAAAAAGAATGGAAGCCACTGTGATAGAGTTGAGTAGGTAAATGTATAAACAGAATAATATATAGGTGTTGTCACTTTGTGTTCAGGGTACACTGGATTATAAAGAAAGAAATGGTCAGTCTTATGAAAAGGGTTCAGGAATGAAGAGGCTACGCTGTTTGGTCTCTCATATTCAGGGATGTGCTAGAGCCAACTTGGATGGGTTTGTGAGAGTCAATTGTATGCACCTCTTTCTCACTTTGTTAGTTCTGGCCTCACGTTAGTAACTTGAAGTTGCAGAAAGTACTTGCACCATGGAAATTGGAAAATATTGCAATTCTGGTGCTCTCTAAGCCCCAAGTGATTGTTATACATGTACCAGCATGTCATTGCTCATATTTGTTCCAACTATAATTCTATGGTTTTATAATTATTTTGAATTACATATTTAAAGACATTATTTTCTATGTTGCATTTAGATTTTATTGGTAATTATTTAAATGATTAGACAATTGTTTCAATAATGAAAGTTTAAAACAAGCAGGAATATAAAACCTGTGATTATTTTAAAACGTCTATAATTAGTTCCAAATAATAGTAATAGTTACTCTAACTTCTGTTAAATGCTTATTATACTTTCAATTTAAAATTTCAAGTTTAATTGGTAAGATCAGGTTCTTTGGTAAAGGGTAGGTATATAGTGTTTTAAAAAATACACCTCATATTGTAAATATTTTACAAATTGTATCATTTTAAGTTAGGCAGTTATTTTGCTAAGTATTACAAATTTTGGGCCTCAGACCCCTCCTTTCCTTTTTAGTGGTCTTTTACAGTTTACAATAATGTCTGTGTTTTCGCAAACACATCTGTAAAGTAGTGGATTTCATCAGAAGATGCAAAAGTTCTTTTCAAATTAAAACAGTTGTCAATCTTATAAAAATATTTTCAAATACAAAAGTAAAAGTAGCATAGTCTAAAATAGGAGAAAAGACACCCCTTCCATACTAACTATAACTTTGAACTTTATTGTTTTTTATTTAGAGACAGGGTCTTGCTCTGTTGCCTAGGCAGTGGTGCAATCATAGCTCACTGCAGCCTCGAACTCCTGGGCTCAAGCTCCCAAGTAGCTAAGACTACAGGTGCATGCCCCCATGTCTGGCTTTTTTGTTTTGTTTTTAGTAGAGGACAAGGTCTTACTCTGTTACCCAGGCTGGTCTCGAACTCCTGGGCTCAAGCCATCCTCCCACCTCAGCCTCTAAAAGTACTGGATTCCTGGCCTGAACTTGAAAGAAAATATTGGGTAAGTCAGAGGAAATAAAATATTCATAGACATGAGATGGAATAGTAGTAGTAAGTTCAAAGGAAATCACCTATATTAAGAAGAATATGAGATAGTGAGGAAAGATAAGTAGGAAAGAGTCAACTGAGCTAGGTGTTTGTAGCTTCAAAACTTAAGTTGCAATTCAGCCATATAGTTGGACACTGCCATAGAGGGATTTGAGGAAGAGTGGGGTGTCTTTAAAGCCAAGAACAATCCGTTCACCCGTATTTAGAAAAGATGGAGTGAGTCTGAGATGGCAGTTTCAATTACTAACGTTTATTGAGCACATGCTATGCCATTGTAATAGGCATGGCAGTACCTATTTTAAACAACGAGGTTTAATCCAGGATTCCTAGACTCCAAGTGTAACCAAGATTGAGAAGCCCTGATTGAGAAGGTGTTTGTAATGGATTTAGACAGTTGTCATTGAAAGCAGAAGAGGCCATTGGCAAAATTGTAAAGTTTGTCTTTGTTTAGCTGTCTTTTCCATCCTTTGGAACCCCATCCTTTTCCAAGCCCCTTTTTCTCCTTTGTGAAATTCATTCCACCTGGATGCCTGGTTAGTGTTTCAAACCTGTGCCTCATCGGCACAGAGTTGTGATTGTCTATAGCCCTCATTGCAGATCAGGTGTTGTTAGCTGATGGTGTTACTGTTCTCAGGACGATTTGCCTTTTCATAAGCAACTCCAGGTGAACAAATTCAAGAAAATGGGTAGTTTTTTCCAACAGAATAATTTCAGACACCATGACAGGGCTTGGATAAATTCATATGGGGCTAGAGGAAAGTTTCTTTCTTCCTGAAAATACAAATCCAGAATGTGGGTACTCTACTCAGTATATAGTGTTAAGGCTGGCCTTGGCCAAGAAGCGTGGATTTGGATTCACAACCAAAAGAGGGAAGGAATTAACAAGTTCCAGGGAAGAGAAGAGGAGAATGAGTGAAGAAGGAGGGAACGTGCCAGTCTTTATCAGCTCTTTTGTACAAGACAGAGTGCTAACCACTTTCATGTGTTATCCCAATTAAGGCGAACAAGACAGGCGCCTTGTCAGGGATTCTGCTGGGGGGAGGATGGTCACCTATGCTGAAGAAAAGGGAAAGGTCACGGAGGCTCCAGCAGCAGGAGTGAATTCTTTTGCTGGTTGTTTAACCTGATTGACTGATTGCTATTATACAGTCATCTTCCCCTCACCTGCACAATAGAACAACTTATGCCAGTTGTGTTAGGATCAGTAAATAACAAAGGATTGAGAAAAGAGTTAGAAATATAAAATGACCTTCATAAAGAGCTCTAATGCTAAACATGTTAAACAGACATTGAACTTTGTAGCAAGAACTGCTTCAAGCCTTTCGATATCCAAATGAATTCTAATTTCCACATCATGCCTTTCAGACTTCAGCATGGTTTCTGGTGGTTTCTCCCAGTTAATTTTAGCATCACACGAATGCTTTTGCCTATAAATGACTTGAAGTAGCATATGTTGGTAATGTGGATGGCATGAAAGTGTATTATTTAGGGGTTATTCTAGACTAGCCTAGAAGTGAGTGAATTTATTCATTCATTTAACAAATATATTTTAATCATCACCCACGGGTCAGGTGCTTTTCTACACGAACTGTTCTACACTAACTGACTTATTCAGAGGTGACTAAGAAAACCTCTGCTCTCTAGAAGCCTAGAAGACTGAGATATCAATAAGTAATTGACATTCTGCCTGGAGCGGTGCCTCAGGAGAAATAAGTGTCAACTATGGAAGCAGCACCACAGAGGGGCCATTTTTAATAGTGCAGGGAGCCCAAGGTCTTCATGGTGGAGGAGGAGCTATCTGAGCTTGGGAGGGAACCCGAGGTAATGGTTTGGGCTAAAAGGCATTTCTGGTGTGGCAAATTGCAAAGGACACAGGCAGAAGTGGAGGGCTGGGGAACGGTGACAGGAGGTGAGGCTGGAGAGGAAGGGAGAGCAGAGGCCTCAGATCCCAGAGGACTGCCATCCTGGGAGAGCCCTGGCAGGAGTTTTCAGGAGTGTGACAGAGACTGCATCTTCGAGAAGAATTACCCTGGAGGTGGATTAGGCCTGAGGCTGCTGTGGGAGTGTTCCATAGCTTCCTCTCCTCTTCTTTGTTTCACAACTCTTGTAACTTGCTTTGCAAGAAGGAATGTGATCTCATTGTTCAATTCCCACCTATGAAAAAAAAAAGAAAAAAAAAAAGAAGGAATGTGAAATTGTGGTGTTTGTTAGTTTAAAGTTGTTTTTTATTGATAAATATCTTGAAGGACTCTCCCAATGTGAAATCCGGTTCAGGATCTGTCTGCAAACTCATTGCTTTTCCTGGCTTGAGGTGCCCACCTCTGCCTTTCTCCTCACAGACCACTTGTAATTCAAGATAAACGAATGCCAGAGAGTAAAAATGGATAGGCGCAGGCAGCATGATTTAGAATGAAAGAATATTAATTGGTTTCACCGGAGTGTATATTTTCATTATGAGAGAAGTGACTACCTAGATTTTAAAAAATAATTGGTTGGTGACACACCTGCAGTGTGCATGTGACCTCTAGAAACTTGAGAACGAAAGTAAAGGTCAAGATGAGAGGTGTAGCACCACAACGAGCCTTTTGTAGGCACGCTGTTGAACAGCGGCGTTCAAAAATCGCTAACAGGTGGTTTCAGAAAGTCAGTGATACTAATGTGCTTGTGTCCAGACTTTAGAAATACTACAGCAAACTTAAACTGTGGTTTCAGTAAATTCTCCTTACCTTATGAACAGCTTCTTCTGTGTATTGAGTTTACAAATGTGTCTTTAGTGAATCTTTGGACTTAGTTTATGCATTAGAGTATAATCATTATGCTTTGTTCTTTGACTATGAGCAAGCTATTTTAAACAATTAAGTCCATGCAGTAATGTTTAGTCATTGCTAGCGGTGGTTAAATCTCTTGGAAATGGATCTGGCTTTGATCCTAGCCCCACAATTATCTGTTACATGTGGGACAGTGACTAAGTTGCTTAACTTTAAGCTTCTGTTTGCTTATCTCTAAAAGTAGGGGCAAAACAATACCTCAGAGGTTGTTTTGAGGATGAATGTGATGATTAGGATGGTGATAATAATGAACATTACTGATCTTTTACCAGATGCCAACGTCAGGCACTGGGCTAATGGCTTAACATACATTTAAAAAAATCCTTACAATAAACTTATGCCTTAGGTATGATTATTACCACATTTTACAGATAAGGTAACAGAAGCTTACAGAGCTGACAGAACTAACTCAAGGTTAAGAAGGCAGGATGTGGTGGAATTAAGATTAGTATCAGCAAATTATGATCCACTAGCCACATCTACCCCCAACCCCCCAGTTTTTGTAAAGTTTTATTGGAACAAGGCCATACCCATTCATTTGTGGTGGAATTAGGATTAGTATCACTGAATTAGGGCCCATTAGCCAAATCTACCCCATCCCCCTCCATTTTTGTAAATACAATTTTATTGGAAAATATCCATAACCATTTAGGTATTATCTGTGACTCCGTTCCTGCTATAAGAGCATAGTTGATAGTAGTGACAGAGACCATATGGCCCACAAAGCTGCAAATATTTACAATCTGGCCATTTATAGAAGTTTGCTGACCTCCGCATTAGACCTCAGGCTATCTGACTTCAGAACCTAAGGTCTAAACCATAAAAACACTAATCATGGTGCTTGGCATATAGTAAACATACACTAAATGAGTACTACCTTGTTGCTCATCTAACTTACTATAGAACTGTTAACCTCGCAGAATTAGTATCTGCAAAATGGAAATAATAAGCATTCAACCGCCAGCAAGAAAAGTCATAATGACTATGGAGATGTTGAAGAACTTAAAGTTCCAAAAGGAACACACGCTGAATTATGTGTTATAGTTGTTGTTTATTACTATGCTTTATGTAATATAAATGAGAAATTCCATTTTCACACCAAAGTACAGTATTGCCTTAAAGGAGATCATTGTGAATTTTAGTGACTATTCAGGATATCTATTAAAAGAAATTAATTTCATACATGAGAAAATTTTATAATTTTAGGAAATTTAAAAAGTATAATTTTCCTTATGAAAAATACATATTATCAAAAAAACTTACAGTATTATGATCTGTATTATTTAAAAAGTATATAAGCAGTATCTTTACAATAAGAAAAATATGCAGCAAGACATCTCTTTTAATGAGAAGATAAACAATTAATATACCTCCCTTAATTGTCCTACCAGCAACAAAGGAACGAAATTATGGTTTCCACTTTACCCTACTCATAACTTTTATTTCCATATGTTTTTCTGTTGATTTAGGGAATTCCCTGTCCTCTGCTCTGTAAATGGCCTTGGATTTGTGTTACCTTGGAGCTCACAGAGCAGGCTTTGGTGGGCCTTCAACTTGTGTTGAGGGAATATTCTTGGAATTTCTTTCACCAGGCCCAATGTCATGTTTCTGGGTTGGTGAGTGGTGGGCGGGGAGGGGGAGTAGTCGTAGATTAGTTACCTCATGACGTTTATCCTCTTCCCTTGCAAAAGCTCTTTTTGAATAGAGATGCAGTACATTTTCATTCTGGAACACTTAGAAAACACAGGTAAGCATAAAGAAAGAACATCAATGTTTTTGTAATTGTCCTACCCACAGATCACCACTGTTAACAATTTGGTGGCTATCCTTGTAGTCTTCTATACAATGGTGTGTGTTTCTATGAATAACACTTTTTATAGATGTATATCCATGTATATAGGTATTTTCTTGTGAATCCATACACACCTGACTCGGCTGGGAAATGTCTGGGACGAGGTGTTCTAATTTGTATATGAGCAGCTTATTTGGGGGAAGCTGGAAGCTACATGGTCAGTTTCCATAGAGAAACTGTTCCACAGAGATTTCCTTTTTGATGTGACACTTATATTTTTCCTGGTGTTGAAATTCAGGATTTTTAGCACTTTTGTTTTCAAAAGAATTTGTTTGAATTTAAATTCAAGCGAGAACTAGTGATATACTCATTAGTGATAGGATTTTCAGCAGACAAATCTTTCCGTACCACCTTAATATTTATTTTTATCTAGACATAGTACACATTTAAATGTGGAAATAGTTTTGCAGTTATAGAACGAAGCTAGTGGTGAGAAAGGTGTGGTGAGAAGGGTATGGTGGGTTAAAGAAACATACGGCTTTTTTAGGTCAGATACATCCATGTATGAAAAGTTAAACGATTAGATGGAGTTTTCTGGTTGCTTTCCAAACTCATCCTGTCACATATTATGTCTGCTGCATTATCCTCTAGGTTGCTTAAAAATAATTTTATTTACTGTGTTTAGTATTGAGATGTTTAGGTCCAGTTCTTAAAGCAGAGAGAGGGCTGGGTCCTTCGAGGATTTTGGTTTAGTGACCAGCATGCAACGGAAGCATTGTTGGGTTATTTTTTCATTGGCAAATTTGAGACGTTGTGATTCGTATATCAATTTGAGAATTCTTTGGAATTGGGTGCTTGGGATTTATGTGGTTAAATAGACTATCACCACATCTTATTTAAATCCTAATTTCCCTGTCCCTCCCTCAAGCCAGTTATAAAGGATCTCTGGGCCTTGCTCTTTGCTTGTTCTCATGTGTTACCAATGAGAAGAGGCCTATTTCTCTTACTAGCAATTCCCATTACTTGCATTTCAACCATCATAAGCTTTCATAACAGCATCATTTTCCTGACTATTGCCTGTCAGGGGTGCTTACAGTGAATCACAGCCAACTGCATGCCTTGGCCTTGACACTGGAAGGTATACAGTCTTTTTGATGATTCTTCTCTTTGCTTCCTCTCTTCAACTCCACTTGAAAAACTGTTTTAGGAGTAAAATTGAATGAGCATGGCTTGGTTGGGCACAAAGCATCCTGTCCTGTGTGCTTGAGGCACCATCTGGATGTCTTGGTGAAGAATATATTTTATGTAGTTGTAGGGGAGATCCTTGTTCACTTCCAGGGGAAGCAGCATGCTTTTCCAGAGACTCCCTTAACTGCCTGATGGCTCACAAGCAGAAAATGAGAAGCAGCAGCTCGGCTTCTCATCCCCTGGAGAAATTCATCAGGTGTTCTAAGTCTTGAATTGCTATCAGTGAAAACAATGGTATTCATGGCACCACCCTTTTAAAAGGAGAGGTTTGGAGAAACATCCAGCGGAGATGAGGATGGAAGGTCGAGGGCATTCCTGAACTCTTGTAAAATTCATGGTCAATACATTCATCTGATAGCAAGATTGTTTACCCTCTGTTCTGAATGCTGCTTGCCCAGAGGTAGTAACAATTTATATGATGCTTGTAGGAATAAAGAATGTTGTGTTTTTTATTTTTTAATTTATCATGGTACTTGGGAAATGCCTCAGGGAAGAGAAGACTAGAAAACTAAAATTATGGGCCAGCAGATTTTAAGTAGAGTATGTTTTTACAAGAGTCTGGTGGCAAGTTTGGTTCACTTGTACCACAAATACCTTTATTGGGTCTGTTCAGGAGAAATTTGCAGGACATAAATGTTTGCTGTGGTACAGAGTGTCCTGAGAATGCAAGACTCTGAAACAGAGACAGGAGAATGACTATAGCCACATTTATTCTGCCGTCAAAAGGAAACATTCTTTGATGCCAGGGCCTTTTATTGTGAGGCTAAGTTGATCCTTCTGGGACAACAGAAGCATTAACTCATGACGGTGAAGTTACCTTTCAGGGGCCCCATTCCTACTTCTGTGTTGGCTGGTTTTCTATGTGCAATAATGCATAGACTGCATAGGCTGCAGTAATTGATACGGCTGAAATCCGGAGAAAAGGAAAGAACATGCTCCAAATATGGGGTGCTGTGGTCTTCAAGCATTATTGTAATTGACCCAAGCAACCATGTTTGAAATAGACAATATTATTCTGAGTTTGCACTCGAGACAGTGGAAGCTCAGAGAGGTCAGGCACATTGCTCAGTTCACACAGCTAATGAGGTGCAATCTGGTAACTAACTATTGGAGACCCTCTCCGGTCTGTGTGGCCCAGCACTTCTTCCCTTTTCAACTGGATGACAGGGTCCCTTGGAGCAGGATGACACTTTACCTTAGAAAAACATCCATCCTCTATTTGAGGATGGTCTGTTGAAATCTATTTCTGCAAAAGAAGAAGACCCTAAGGAACTTGAAGCCATGCCCATAGAAAAATTGAGGTTTGCCATATTTGAACATCAGTCATTTAAAGAACACACAACCAGTGTCCTGTGAGTGTAAAGCTGTGTACTCTCCAGCATGGGACAATTAGGTCTCCCCCTTGGGGATTTCATCTGTCCTTACACTGTGGTTATCACATAGAAATGGATGAATGTCAACTTTTAATCTTAAGCCCTCTTTCCAAACTCTAGTTTTCTATTTTCAAACTACTTGACCTTTGCATTGTTTCACCTCACAACAATCTCCACATGTAATGACCAACAAGCTTGTAAGCACTCCCATGAGCATTCCCAATTAATCCTCAAAGCAACCTAGTGAACTGTGTTTTGTCTGTTTTACATGGAGAAAAACAAAAACAAGCCCTTGTATTACAGAGGTTAAGTGATTCCAAGTATTTCACACAGCTCGGGTGTAACATGGCTGGCCCACAGATTAAGACCTCTTTCATCTCCCAGTTTAGGGCCTTCTCCAGGACAGTGCCACCATTACTCCAAAATAGAACTTGGGGTCTTCCCCAGAAAGATCCTCTCCTACCTTGCACTTCTTTTGCTTTATCTTCATTTATATAGTAATTCAGTCTCATTCTTGACATTATCTTTTATTCTGCCTCTCTCTTGTCTCAAATATTCTTTTAGTAGCATATTTTCTTTTAAAACTTCCCTTCTTTTCACATCCCCTTAATTCAAGCTATTATTTCAGCCTAGATTGTTGCAGTCTCCTAACTAGTGTTCTTATCTCCTATCTTACTCAGTTTGGTTCAGATAAATACTTGAGTCCTGCTCTATGCAAAGCACCATGCTAGGGAATGCAAAGATTTTCCTTTCTGGGCTGCTTCATAAATAGTTACCAGATTGAAATACTGTTTCTAACATATTTTCCTGCTCAAAATCACTGACTGCTCCATCTCACGTCAAGCTGTCTGTAATCTTAGCTTAGTGTTTAAAACTTACCAGTGTAGCTCCATTCTGCCTTTCAGCCTCCCTATAACACCAGACATTTCTTAGCGCGAGTTCTGTGCTCTGTCCATGAAACATTTCCATTCATTCTTGTTAGGCACAACACATGCACTAAGTCCCTGCCTTTGCTTGCTCCTTTGTAAAGTCTTTCTAACCTTGTTTTATCCACAGTGGTTTCTCTCTTCTCTTAACACATTAATTGAGTACCTTCTATAACCAGGAACTATTGATTGGTATATATCAGTGGACAAAGGCCATAATCTTTGTTCTCAAAGTTGGATGATTCTCAAAGTTGGATGGCATTAGAAACAGCCACTAAACAGCAGATGTTAAAAATGAAGGAAATCATATAGTCTGTTACATGGCAGTCAGTGCAGTGGAACAAAAATACAGAAGGTTAAGAAGGATTTAGGAGTCCTGGGGTAGAAGTGAGTCATTGTGGTTATAATAGATGGTGACCATTAAAAGAAAGATGACATTTGAGCAATGACTGTAAGGAAGTGAGGGAGTTAGGCATTCACATAGCCAGGCGAAAACATTCCAGGTAGAATGGACAACCACTACAAAGGCGCTGAAGGGTTCCTAATGTGTTCAAAGCACACCAGGGAGGCCAGTGTGGTGGGGGCTGAATGAGCAAGGAGGACAGTGGCAGGAGACAGGTCAGGGAGGCAACAGCACACGGGATGCTGGCGGGCCAGGGAGGGACTTCGGCTTTTGTTCCACTCGAAACAGAGTCTTGGGAGGATTATGAATTGAGGAGAAATGAGACCTAACTGATTTTAGTATCAGTCTAGTTACTGGCTGAGCATATGCTTCAGGGGGCTGAGGGTGGAAGCAGGGGACTTAGCTCAGAGGCTATCAGCATAATCAAGGTGTGATTTGTACCAAGACGAAGTGGATAAAGAAGAGAGAGAGAAGTCGATATTGAATCCAAGATTAAATACTAATGTATCATTGACTTTGTATTCCATGTGGTGGCACTCAATCACATGTATGCAAATAAGTACCTTTCCCTCGTAAACTTAGAGATGAAGCATGACAAAAACTTATAAAAGTTAAATGGTAAGAGGCTATGTGTATGTACGGATAATATCTTCTCAATAACATTGCAAGTTCCTTAGAGATATTTATTCATTTATTCAGTCCACAAACTTTTAAAAAGGTACTCGTTAAAGGCCAATGATTGCCTTGCATTTGAGCAGTGCGGAATGCAATAGGAGAATGTCAGTGTGGTGGGTAAGTGTGCAGGCTATGATGGAGACGGATGTATTCAAACCCTAGTTCCATTACTTATTTGCTGGGTGATCTTGAACAAGTTACTTAAGCTGCCTGTTTCCCACCTTTCTCATTTGCGAAATGCTGATGATAGTATCTCATAGGATTTTCTCTTAGGATTTTCCATAGGGATTAAATGAACTAATACATGTAAAATGCTTAGAAAAATGCTTCCCCTGGAAGTGCATACTAAGTACTCAACTACTAACTCAAAAAAGTTAGTGCTGTGGAAAAAATAGCTAAAAGAGGATTTAACATTTAGAGTGACTTTTCACCCCTGTAACTACCCATGTTCAAAACCTGTCAAGTTACCTGGTTAATGAATGTGAATAATAAGGTCTCATAGTAAGCCTTGTTCTCTAGTTGATAGTTTAAAAATGACAGAGAATTGCATTGTGATTAGTCTGATTACGTGCCTCTTTTTGAAGGTGGACATGGAAGCTGGTCAGTAACCCTTCTGGGCACATTTTGATTGACAGACTGGCAAACAGCATTTAAATCTCTAACACATAAAAAAGATCAATGTTTTCTTATTATTTTTTAGCTTAAAATGTTGAATGTGTATTAAAATGAGAAAAATAATTTTCAGGATAGATATGACTCCTAGTACATAAAAGCAAGGAGATCACATCAAGGAGGGAATATTATTTTTTTGACCAAATACAGGAAATTACTCCTCCTTGTTTATATTATATTTATAAAATTCTCCTCCATGTTTATATTTTGCTACCTAATATCTCCTTTCTTTTTTTTTCTTTCATGTAGTTGTTGTTTTTTTCATCCCTCTTATTATCAGCAACTATATGGCCTCCAAATCCAGGAAAGAGCAGTGCATTGCTACTGTGGAACTCATGCGGACATCTTTAGTGTCAGAGGTAGTTTGAAGAGCAGCTTAATTCTGCTTTCATTGTGCCTGGTACTTCTGTGAGGCACTCAGGTTCTGTCTGAGCTCAGTATTACTGATCCCATCCTATACGTCCTAGATGGCAGTGCAGACAGTGGCTGTCAATGAGTAACAGGTAAATATTGAACAGGGAAGCCCTTTTGATTAACTTTGTGGATCATTGTTTGAAAGTAGCGTACAGTCAGAACAGCACCATCACTCATGATCATAGCACATGGCGTAGGGGTCAGAGCACCAAGCTGCTGGTTTGAAAGCTGAGATTGCATTCTTTGTTCTACACATGGGCCTGTATTCATGTACTGCTGGACTAGTTACAACTATCCAGTGAACAAAATGCTGACTGTTTAGCACAATATTCATGCAAAATATTTAAGATGGTAAGGCACAAAGAATGCTTGAGGGACTTTGTGCGACATAGGTATAAATATGTTAAAGCGTGTTTATAATTGCTTTTTGAAGGGTTTAACACTGGGTGCTTTTACCTTTTTATCCAGGTTCAGAAACCTTTTTCTAATAAGGAACTTAGAGATGTGTGGCAGGTTGAGGATAAATTTTTGCTCTTATTAGTATGTACTGAAAATAAGTAATTTTAGCCTCTATCAGTTTTCCTAGGTTTGTTCTACGCTACCTATGGGTACAACTTACCCCCATGACACATTTACCCAGGAGGTTGGTCCATACCTGATTTGTCAAGTGATTCATTGAACCTCATGATAAGTTAATGGTTTATCATCATTAGGAACAATACTATTATCATCATGATTAATATTTTTGAGCAACCATCAAATAATATGCATGGAACTTGTTAAAAGGCATAAATGAGGTTGCATGGAAAAGAACAGCTTTCTGTTCTCAAATATTTCTAAATAACACTTACATGGTCATAAAAAGGCACAGATAAAACATGATTACGCTGCTTATGCATTTCTAGGAGAAACTTAATTCAGTAGTCAAGTAGGCAATTCCAAAACGTTTTCATAAGCCAAAGATTTTAAGTAAATCTTTTAATTGAGACTTTTAATCATACCGAGCTATAGAAATAATATTCAGATAATTATGTTCAATAATTAAGATCATCAAAACAACTAATCATTAAGATTATTAAAACAAAGCTAATCTACATCCTTCCTACCCATATTCTAGAGCAGTGGGTAAAAAGGTAAGCATTTTATGGCACTTTAAATATATAATTGCAACATTTACTGTTTAGCATATACGAACCACAAAAGTGACAAAATCTATATCCAGTGTGCTGGATAAGGTCTTAATTTTATGTATCACTTAAGTGTTAAATTTATACAACCTAGTCAAAGTGGTAACAGCCCCACAATAAAGAATAATAATTTTATTCTGGAAAATTATTCAAATGAAAAAATACAAAGTAGTCATGCTAGTTAGAGCTGTAAATGACATGTTTCCATCAAATTTCTGAAGAAGAGATTCTGTGTTTTTTTTCTTTTCTTTCTTTTTTTGAGATGGAGTCTTGCTCCGTCACCCAGGCTAGAGGGCATTGGTGCAACCTCAGCTCACTGCAATCTCCGCCTCCCAGGTTCAAGCAATTCTCTTGACTCAGCCTCCCCAGTAGCTGAGATTACAGATGTGCACCACCACGCCCAGCTAATTTTTGTACTTTTAGTAGAGATGGGGTTTCACCAAGTTGGACAGTCTGGTCTCAAACTCCTGATCTCAGGTGATCCGCCTGCCTCGGTCTCCTAAAGTGCTGGGATTACAGGCGTGAGCCACTGCGCCTGGCCAGATTCTGTGTTTTTAAAAGTGTCAACTTTGCTTTTAAATAACGGTGGCAAATAGCAATATTCTTTCTTTTAATAATATTCTAGACTAATTTATGGGAACCACACTTCCTTTGGAAAAGGACGTGATTTAAAATTTCATTTAGAAAACAACTTCAGTTGTTCTAGTATTATCACAGAGCAGTGTATTAGAAATCACTGTATTATATTTTGAAATTTAGATCAACCTATAATATGAACACGAAAAACATAAACATGAAAATGTAATTTAACAAAGGTGAATTTTTCTTTACGATAGAAATACACTGAAAGCTTTTGCCAGTTAAAGAACAGCGTGGGCTACTGTCCTTGCCTCTTTCCCTAGGGAACCCAGGATCTAATCTGGATTAGATTCCAAATGAACATGTGTTAGGTGGTCCCATCATAACCCTGAATGGATATTTTGCTACACCACAAAACTAGAACATAATTTGACATAAATCTTTGTTTAGAAGCGAAATAGCAGGGGATGCTGTGGGTCAGGGTGGAACTGGCAGGGCTGCGTGGGAACCTGCCCACATAGCCTGGTGTCTAGCAGAGCTGGCACTTTTAGGCCTTTGGTTTCCTTGAAATTATAGGTAATGAATTTAACATCTAGTCTCTCTTTCTCTGGGACAGTAACCTTGGTACATAGTGTTCTTTCATGTCGACTTGTGACCCATATTTTTGGTATTTCATTTATAAGAAAAATATACATATATATAATTTTTAAAGTTGCCTAATAATTGCCACAACTTAAAAAAAATTTTTTTACTTTATTATGTTTGTACCCTAACAGAAAATAGAATGGGTTAGGCAAGCATTATTTAAATGATGGTGATGCCATCACTGCTGGGTTTTAATATTCCATTTTAATCACTGGGCAAATTGGTCGTGTTTTATTTGGGGAAAATGGAATATGTTGAGGGAGGATGTGGTCATTTTGAAAGTCATTTGGTTTAGTTCAGGAACAAACACTCATTTATCAAGGAAATATTTATTGTCTCCTTTTGGGAAAGTGTAGGCATCCTCAGTCTCAAAGAAGTTGCATGCCAGTGGGGCAATGAGGCATATAATTTATTGATTTAATAAATATTTAGTGAATGCCTACTAAGTTCCAGTTCCTATAGCATAGAGTTTATATTAAATTGAGGGGAGCAGACATTATGCAGATACATGTGGAGTTAAAAAGGTAGAACTCTATAGTATACAGTAAATTAAATCAGGGCAAGGAGATAGAGGGTGGCAAGTGCTTTTTATACAAGATGGGACAGGTGAAGTGCCTTAAGAAGTGCCTAAGTTTTTCAGTTCTGTACAAGTCCAGAGAGCAAACTTATTTGTGGCTGTCGAGAATTGAGGGTCTCTTCTTGGAAAGTTGGAACTTAAAGCTGGCCCGTGAATGAACAAGGTAATGAACAAGCCACGTCTGTACATGACAAACAAAAGATGGAAACAATTTCTATTCAGGATTGACTAGAAAGGGTTTAGGCATACGGAGTCTTGAAGAAGAAAAGAGGAATTTGATTTCGACATTTTATTTAGTTTCAATATACTGAAGTATTTGGGCCAAAGAATAATGGAATGTGTGGGATTTTTGTAACCTCTGTGTTTGCATGGAGTGGATGAGAGAGAGAGGCCAGCTTACAGGCTTTTGTGATAATCATAAAGTGAGGAGACTATATAAATTTTTTATCTGCACAGGCATAGATTGTTTCGTGTTTTATTTTTAAGGGCTGTTGTGTGAACATGGGGTGGGGTAGAGGCATCATGTCATCTCCTGACTTGTGAAAGTGATTTGCTGACTGGAAAGTTTGAGGACCACTGTTCTAGTCCCAGTATGCTGGCTGTGGTTTATGTGATTACCTACATGCTTCAACAGGATTCAATCAGGAAATACTTTTTAAAATTATATTTATTGATAGAGCACCAAGAAGAACTTATGAGATAGTGAACATTGTTGGGCTGGAATAGGCAGCCAGAAATGTTTCTGCAGATGGATTATTATAAGAAATGGCCAACATTTAATTCATATCCTACTATATAGGAAACAAATACATGTTAATGTTATAGGATAGGTATATATAACATAAGCTAGTGATATCAAACAGATGAATTTAAAGTTTGTATTTGTTAGTGAATGCTGCCTGTGCATTAAGGTACCAATCAGACATGACACATGCATGTTGTGGGTGATGGTGCAGGGATAACACATTCTTTCTTTCTTTTTTTGAGACGGAGTCTTGCTCTGTCACCCAGGCTGGAGGGCAGTGGCATGATCTCGGCTCACTACAACCTCCGCCTCCCAGGTTCAAGCGATTCTCCTGCCTCAGCCTCTTGAGTAGCTGGGATTACAGGTGCATGCCACCATGCCCAGCTAATTTTTGTATTTTTAGTAGAGATGGGATTTCACCATGTTGGCCAGGCTGATGTGGAACTCCCTATCTCAGGTGATCTGCCCACCTTCGCCTCCCAGTGTTCTGGGATTACAGGTGTGAGCCACGCGCTCGGCCAACACTTTCTTTCTTAAAGGCAGATCCCATCGCTACATGGGAATAGCTACGTAAATGTGTTTGCTAAAAGCAGAACCAACTTCTGTGATTAGTATGCATTTTCTGCTAGTTACCATATTGAGAAGAGGTGTTTCATAACATTTTTCTGAACTGTTCATTATGAACTACAAGATTCACACTCTTATTAACCTGATTTCTACCTCCATTAGATGATACAGAGGAAGAAAAATAAATCCTATTTTAGTCATCATTTCCTTAGAACTTGTAATTGAAATACTATATTTTCTGCTTCAGTATATAAGCTCTTCTTGAAAGGTGTTCCATTGTATAGAAAGTAGATTTTTATCTTTTAAATCATAAGAGTATGTTGAATATTGTAACACCAGAATCTCAGCATCAACCCAGTTTTTGTAGGAATTCTGACTTAAACAATTTAAGGTCTTACAAGTGAGGTTCACACTTACTATACTTATTGTTACAAATAATGTTTGATTTCTTAAAAATATCTTGGTTAACAGGATTTTCTTAGGGTCCCTCTATATTTTTCGTCATGTTAGGTGACTATAAATAATATGAGCATGAGTATCCTGAAATGTAAGCGGATTCTATTATTAGCAATGTGTTAAGTATCTTAGCTTGCATCATTTAAAAACGTTTCAGTTATTTTTGCAATTTATATTTTATTTTTCATTTCACATCTATTGTACCATTAAAGTTCTTCATGATGTTTGTTTATAAAGTAAGTCCTACATATGCTGCGTTTTCTCTCTTATATTAACTGATAAAGCTGATATTACCAAAGCATAACTAGTACTTGATTCTCTTGAGATTAGCAGTGTTGTTGGCCTGGCTGGCAGTTATCTGCAAGTTGCTAGAACACATTTTATAGCAGCTTCTATTAGTCAACAGAAACGCTTAGAAAACTGCCTCCTGTATGCTTCGTATTAGGCCATTGAGCTGGCAAAAGAGGGAGAACTTAAAATTGTAATTTAACTTCTTTAAAATATTTGTTTAGGGAGATAGTCATATAATGAATTTTCATAAATAATGTTAAAATTTAGGAAATCTTCAGTAAACTGTATTTTCTGAGTCCATAAGAATATGTAGTTTAAGTTCTAACATTTTAAGATTTGGTTTCATATTTTGTTCATTGGTAGGATTGGAGATTGGATTATATTAAAAAATTAAACTGTTTTTAGATCATTCTCAATTCTATGTGTCTGTTTTTATAACAATTAGAATTGGCCTTTAAAATTCTTACCCACTGATATCATAATACAATTTTTGTAAATAATATGTATTTTTGCATTTTCCATCATTATTTATCACCAGGCTTGAAGTAGTATTAAGAAAAAAACCCATCTTGTATTTCTATCTTGACCTTTCCCTCAGCCCTCTCACAAAACCTGAAAACACGGGTCTTTATTTTTTATGCTCAAATTTATAATAAACAAAGGTTGATAAGGAAAAACAAGACCTCACACCCCAAAGAAAAAGGACAGGAGGGTCGTGGAATTGCTTAGCGTGTTGCATGGGAAATTCTGTGTAAGGAAGTAAAGAGCTTTTTGCTGAAAAGCCACCTAGAGCCCTTGGGCAGGGGCATTTTATTTTCCCATAGATACCATGTTACCAATTACATAAAGAAGAGTATAGACTTCTTGTTAGTTGATAAATAGAGATTGCAATCATTTATTAGGTTATTTTATGGTATTTGTTAACGATATTTACCTTCCTAAATTGATTCAGCATAATCCTTAGAACAGCTTTCCTTCATTTCTGGAAGACATATAGATAATGTGGTACTTATATGAAAGCTTACATGTCACTGAAAAACTGTGATTTTTGCCTTAGCTCAACGGAGCAGCAAGATTATATTAACATAGACTTTGGGCCATTTGAGTTCCCATAGGGTATAGAGTGTAGCTGATATGACATGACTTGCCTCCAACAGTTGTTTTAACAAGATATCCTTCATATACAGTATATTGAGCTGAAAGGCATAACTGAGTAATGTTAGCAAGAAACACTGTTGGCAAAATGCTTGACTTTCATCTTTATCTGATTAATCCAAAGCAATGTGTTAGTACAAAAAAGTATTTTCAGCTGAATATATATGACAGAATATTTATTTCTTTTTAATGTCTATAACTTTACAAGAACTATTTTTGGTGTGTGATATTTTTATTCTACAAAAAGTTTTTCTATATCCATTACAAAGGGCAAGTAGAAAAATATCCAGGACTTTGTGAGGCTTGATGAGGCTTATTCATTTGTATAAAGATTTGTTGAGCACCTACCAGGTACCAGGCAACATCCTAGGCATCGTGGGGATACAACAGTGGGTGAAACGGGCAAAGGTATGGGCCCTTGTGGTGTTTACTGTCCTGTGGAGGTAGCAGGCACTAAACAAATAGGTCAATTATAGAATACCTAAAAAGGTGATAAGTACTACAGAGATAACAATAAACAGGAAAGTGGGCTAGGAAGACCTAGAGGTGGGGTCAGGTTTGCAATTCAAAATGGGGTGGTCAGAAGAGGTCTTGCTGAAAGGGTGACAATGAGCATAGTTGTGAAGGAGATGTGGGAGTGAGCTATGTGGATACCTTGATTTCCTTTTGGAAATTATTAGTTCCTGTCAGCTGACTGTATTGCCAGTGCTTGCTCTCTCCAGGAATGCTCTTTCCTGTTTCCTGTGTTTAAATTTTCTCTGTAATGCCTTATATTCTATTTTATATTCTACTTTGTTGGAGGAGGAATGTATTTGACAGAGCAGTGAGCTCATTGGATGAAAGGTTCTGTGAATTTCTTTTAACAAAGCATAAAATCAAGCTTCCATAAATACTCCAAATTGCACCGTATCAAGAATTTGTTTTTTGTAAATGTTTGAAAGTGTAAAAGAAAGCTTTTGCACTCTAAAAATGGTATTTTTACTAATTTACTAATTAACACTTTTCTTCTGCTTAGCACTTTCAAGACTTGATTTAATTACAGTTTCTAGTACCTTAAATAGTGTTTTAAAGTGAGTCAGTGTTGCTTTGCTCAAAACATTGCAGTAAGGGTTTTTTTTTTTTTTTGCCCCTTTTGGCTTCAATTTATATGAAATAGATTTTTTATTTTCCCTGCCAGAATTCTCATTGAAAATACATATATGACCGGGTGCAGTGGCTCACGCCTGTAATCCTCGCATTTTGGGAAGCTGATTGCCTGAGCTCAGGAGTTCGAGACCAGCCTGGGCAACATGGTGAAACCCCGTCTCTACTAAAAATACGAAAAATTAGTTGGGCGTGGTGGCGCATGCCTATAGTCCCAGCTACTCCAGAGGCTGAGGCAGGAGAATCGCCTGAACCCGGGAAGTGGAGGCTGCAGTAAGCTGAGATCGCGCCACTGCACTCCAGCCTGGGCAACAGAGCAAGACTGTTTCCAAAAAAAATAAATAAATAAACAAACATAAAAATAAAAAAAAGAAAAAGAAAATACATATAGTTCTATTACTTGCCTGACGGAACTGCGGACAATCAGGGATATATTAGATGGGTATTTGTTTCACAGACCCAATGATAGAGTTAATTGAACACATTTTCCTTCGTAATACCCAAGTATTTCTGGTTTGATTCTGGGCTTAGAAATAAAATGGAAGAAGCTCCAATTCTCTTCTTTATTCTGGGTTTGGAGAATGCATTTAAATTGGCTTCCAAAATATTGAGAAGATTCCTCCCCTGGAGAGGTGCCTACATCACCATCTATGGTAATGTCAGAGCAATGAATCAATTAGATTTGTTTGGTAATGTATACATTAATGTCTTACAAAAACAAAACCAAAAAAAAAAAAACAAACAAAAAAACCCACATGTGAACCACAGATTTCCAAAAACAGTAGAAAGTCAGGTATCAGTTAAGAAAGAGATTGAAGAGTTAGATTTTTAAGTAGAGCATTTTTCTCTTAGAATGAAATAACCTTAGAGTAACACAATTGATGTAATATTAAGTCTATTCATATTTAAGATTGGGTAGAAGAAATTCTTGGAGAGCAAACTATTCTCAGTATTGCTTCCTTCCTGGCAGAATTCACATAGAAATAGGGGTAGAGAGTTTCTTGCTGACACAGGTGTGCAGTTTCACATTTCTTATGTTGCTTAAACCAGTAAAGTTTTAGAAAATGAAATTATTTTAGAATAAGAATTTATTTTACAGAGTTAAATAGATTTAATATCAGAAAATAATTGAGAATCACTAATATTTTCAGTGAATTATATGACATATCTGGAATTACATTCCCCAAAGTAAATGCATAACTGCTGTTTTGCTGGTAATAGTTGACTTCCCTGAGTCTCAAACCCCAATTTGCCTGTGCTAATAATTGTGCATGCATGTTCAGACAAATCATACTCAGAGATGCTTCAGATGGCTTTCTTCTGTGTCCATTTTGGGGTTATTTTCAGTACCATTTTTCATTGAAGGGAGAAATAGCTGTTTATACAGAAGATGCCTTCCTTTTATTACCATCTTTCCTCCTCCATGTAGAACTCTTTCTCTCTCTCTGTCTTCCATACAGATACCTCATGTATACATATATTTTCAAGGTTCACTTGATTTGTACTTTTTCTTTTTCCTTTTTTTTTTTGAGACAGAGTCTTGCTCTGTCGCCCAGGCTGGAGTGCAGTGGCATGATCTCGGCTCACTGCAACCTCCGCCTCCCGAGTTCAAGCGATTCTCCTGCCTCAGCCTCCCGAGTAGCTGGGATCACAGGTGCACGCCAGCACGCCCAGCTAATTTTGTATTTTTAGTAGAGATGGGGTTTCACCATGTTGGCCAGGCTGGTCTTGAACTCCTAACCTCCAGTAATTCACCCGCCTCGGCCTCCCAAAGTGCTGGGATTATAGGCATGAGCCAGGCCTTTTTTTTTTTTTTTTTTTTTTTTGACAATTTCGCTCTGTCATGCAGGCTGGAGTGCAGTGGTGCCATCTCGGCTAACTGCATCCTCTGCTTCCCAGGTTCAAGTGATTCTCCTGCCTCAGGCTCCTGAGTAGCTGGGATTACAGGTGTGTACCACCACGCCTAGCTAATTTTTGTATTTTTATTAGAAACGGGGTTTCACCATGTTGGCCAGGCTGGTCTCAAATTCCTGACCTCCAGTGATCTGCCCCCCTCAGCCTCCCCAAGGTGCTGGGATTACAGGCATGAGCTATCGCGCCCAGTTGAATTGTACTTTTTCTTTCAAATGTTCAGGCACTGAATTTTTCCTGTGTGCATAGTACTGTTGGGCAATAAAGGTTTATAAAAATTTAAAAATATGTTTCTCACCCATAAGAAAGTTACATATAGTGTTGCTGAGGAGACAAGGTACAATATCAGCACTTTTGAATGGACATATAGTCCAATCTGATTTTTATTTTATTTTTTAATTTTTTTGGGACGGAGTCTCACTCTTATCACCCAGGCTGGAGTGCAGTGGAGTGATCTCAGCTCACTGCAATCTCTGCCTCCGGGGTTCACACCATTCTCCTGCCTCAGCCTCCCGAGTAGCTGGGACTACAGGCGCCCGCCACCACGCCTGGCTAATTTTTGTATTTTTAGTAGAGACGGGGTTTCATCGTGTTAGCCAGGATGGTCTCAATCTCCTGACCTCGTGATCCGCCTACCTCGGCCTCCCAAAGTGCTGGGATTACAGGCGTGAGCCACCGCGCCCGGCCCCAGTCTGATTTTTTTAGGGGAATAAAGTAAGACCCAAATATGTAAAATAGTTGATAAATAAATAGTAGTAGACAGGCAAGTAAGTGTGTAGTTAAGTGCCACAGTGACCATTACCACTAATAAGAATAGCCAAGTTCAGAGAAGCATGAAATCAGTTAAAGTTGGAGAAAGTCTCTAGAAGAAAATGAAACCTGAGTTCACCTCAGATGTTTTGGGGCATTGAAATAAAACATTTGAGATGAGAGAGCTGCATGAACAGAAAGTTTGAGGCAAAACCTGGGCATCGCCTGGTTACATTCTAACATGATCAGGAGATGCCAGAGAGCATTGTTGCGTGAAGTGTGAGTGACATCACAGGAAAGCGTGTAAGAGCTGAAAGAAGAGACCACAAGTAGGGAGCCCATCTAGAGGTTTTGCAGTCTTTCAGCACTTCTGTTTACATTTTACTCTGATTTTTAGTTAAAAGCTGCTTAACAAAGAGAATGTTGTTCTTTCTTTTTCACTTGCTTTTGCTGTCTAAATACTATTTCCTGAAGTGTTTCCCAGAGGCCGTTTGTTAATAAGTGTTATTTGGGAAGTAGGTTAGGTGATTTGGTAAACACTTGGTTAAATAAAACTAGCCAAGTTCTTTACCAGCAATGTACATCACTAATAAGCTGATGTACAATGTGAAATGATGAGGGAAGCCTTGCTGTATAGTATTTCCCCATAATAACGTTTGTCCATAGAGCTCTATTATCAGATGATATTGGGCGTGTTCAGGGTGGTATGGCCGTAGACTAGAGCTCTATTACCTTAAATCATTGCACCAAGGACTAGTGTTCCTTGGAGCATACTCTGCAAATGGTAGATGAGAAATCACTTCTCTCATTTCAGAACCTTGACAATAAAAATCTAGAGCAGTCTGTGTAGACATAAGAATTGAAATATCTATCTGGTTTAAGAGAGAGGAAAAGAGACCAACTTTTTTTTTTTTCCCCAGCTTATTCTCAAGTACTAAAGTGTGTGTGAGCAATCAGCTGCCAAACAGGAAGAGCTGTTCCACTTCTAATTTTAGCTTGCCACCTTGCATTGCTGTAGGAGTGGTTCCCACATGCTGCAAAGAGGTTATTTTGTGTAAATAGAGACTTCTTCTATGTCGTCAAGTGGGAAAGAATCATCATTAGGCCTCCCCACCATTTGCACAGTTTCTGCATGTTGAAGATGATCTGTCCAAACATTTAGACCTGGTTTAATTCTTTTGCATTCATAATTTAAACTGGATCAAGGATTCCTGCTGTCCAGGATCAGTGAACTGATGCAACTTATCTCTCCTCTTTATTCCCCAGAACTGGACAGCATTTGCTGTCTAGTCTCAGCCAAAAGGAACCACTTCTTCACAGCTCTGGGTGTCCATGAATCAATTTGTATTGAACCACTTTGTATGACAATCCTTGGGGCACACTTGTATATTTTGGGTTATTTTGGTGATAGCAAAGTGGAATGCCCTGGACGGCAAACTAACATTGTTATCTTAGGCTGATTTATAGGACTTTTCTCCTGGACAGCCAAACGTGCAATGATTTCTCTTTAAAGATTTATTAAAAGATCAATTGTCCTCGATGATTGGTCATGCCAGTGAGAAATAAGCACTATTAAAGCATCCGTGGAATGGAGAATTGTGTTATAAACACAGTTGGTTCTCAGTGAATAGTGTTGGTTGACTGGCCCAAAGAGAATCAAGGTGAACCCAATGAGAATTGGAACATATGCCTGACTGAAAATTTTAAAATGCTTGGACTCCCGTTTGTGCTCCTAGAAACAATCACATTTATAAGACAATATTGGTTTGTTTGCCATAGAAACACATAAGGCCTAGTTGTAAGAAAGGGAGACCTAGCAGCCGCAAGGCACACACGGCTGGAGTTACCTTAAAAAAAGGTAAAGTTAAGGTGACTTTGGAAGGCCATTTAGACTTTGTTTTTGAAAATTCAGGTTTTCTGAAGACGTTTTGCAAATTTGATTTAAAAGAATTTTGCTGACTCTGTCCAGTTTAAATGTAAACCCTTTTTGTTACTCTTGTTTCATTGAAGTATATTCTGCCACTACCATTGTGTTTTACCGTGTCGATTTGACACTCCCTTCTTGTGAATTTTATGTTGTGACGTTTAGAAGACTGGAATAAGTTGTATTTATCAAAATTGCATTATATGGAATTTAGCACTATACCTCAAACAAGAAGTTGCTTAAGAAATGAATTCTTAGGATAGGAAGTATAAAGCAGTGGTTATAAACACCAATTTTAGGGCTGGCCCAAGTTTAGAATCTCAGCTCTGCCACTTGGGGCCTTAAAGCCCAACTTATTTTCTCATTGGTAAAATCCAAGTAATAAAGTCTGCCTTATAGAGTGGTGCGAGGTTTTAATGCCCGGTTGTATTTAAACATTTAGCAGAATATATGACATTTAATACTCTTTAAATTATAGCTGTTATTATTCAAAAGTGACTTTGGGCCAGGCACAATGTCTCACATCTTTAATCACAGCACCTTGGGAGGCTGAGATAGGCAGATCATCACTTGAGTTCAGAAGTTCAAGACCAGCCTGGCCAACATGGCAAAACCTTGTCTCTACAAAAAAACACAAAACATTAGCCAGGTGTGGGGGCGTGTGCCTGTAGTCCCAACTACTTGGGAGGCTAAGGTAGGAGAATCATTTCAACCTGGGAGACAGAGGTTGCAGTGAGCCGTGATCATGCCATTACACTCCAGCCTGGGTAATGGCGAGACTGTCTCAAAAAAAAAAAAAAAAAAAAAAAAAAAAAAAAAAAAGAAGGGACTTTGCCTTTGCCTCCACTCCATGATAGCAGAGAAAGAGACAAACAGCTTATGCAATCATATGAGGGTAGAGATAATAAAATGTGGCCATTATAGTTATGTGCCTAAATCACTGAAGATCCAACTGGACCTTATTATGAGTAGTAGCTATATTGGCAACTAAGAAAGTCTCACTTTAGAAAAGGAGAGGGTTGTATTCCTGAACTGTGGGATAATGAGAGTCTCCAGTTCCTAATCATGTATACCTCCTCACTAGGCTTAACCTGCCATAAGTTTACTTCCATTTTAAAATGTTGCTTCAGAAGGATGGGGTGATAGAATTATGTTACTTCTAGGGGAAACAGTGCAGGAAGAGGAGGTGCAGGTGGCAGTTCAAACAAATTCTATGCTCTATTTTATTTTAAAATCTTAGGACTTTTTAATCTATTAGTCATTCTGTCATTGGGAGAAAATTGCCATGTCTAGAATTTAGGAGCCTCTCAAATATTTGAAGGGTATCCAGTTTTACTCTAGAGCTAGTGCATTTCTGATAACAGAATCCCCGTGGGATCCCCAGTGTGAGAAGGTACCACTGGGACCCCCAGAGGCTCTGGGTAAGGATGTTAATGACTATCTATATTACCTCTCTATCCACAGTAATTGAGCAAGAAATCCACACTTCTCCTTTTTCCTAGAAGACCACTGAAAGTTCTAAGAACTGGAGTTAATACTATCATTTCCTTGATCATCTCATCCTTTAAGTAATGCAGGAATGAAAGCCTCTTCTCAGGGTAATCCCAAATGAGAAATTTGGAAATTTGATGTTTCCGTCACCATGGCACTGTATTTTCTCAGACATTAGAAACTTTAGTAAAAGTATATCAAAAAGAGTGGGGTCTTTGGTGTAATCACATCACCCAAAATAAAAATAGTCTATTTCCAAACTTATTAGACTATAACACCTGTATTGAATTGGCTTTAACTAGTTTTAATGCTGTTGGCACCACTATAAGTTTGAATTAAGGCTAGTCCCTAATCACTTTTAGTTACACAAATTCATGAAGTACATAGCTATGAGATAATCTCAGCATTTTGTCCACTATATATGCTTGGGTCTGCATTAAATACAGAATGTGGGACTAGTCATAAAAATTTCCTGGTTCCATGGGAACTTTCCTGAGGTCAGTGCAAAGGAAGGCTTGCATATGAATGAGGGCACCATTTTTTCCTAACAGGTAATCAAACGTAGTATAAGAAGACCTCAGTTCAGGAATGGGTTATGTTCTAAAAGTTAGGAAGTTAGTGGTTTGGCATCCTAAAATAATTTTCCCACAAAACAGTGTTATAGGTGGAAGGTGGCTAACCCTTCCTCCTATAAAAATAATGAAAATTTCCTTGACACTCTATCTTGAGTCCCATGGAATCCCTCTGGGCAAGGGAATCCTGGGGACCTGTGTGATCCTTGGAATATACAAGAGAGGAGGTCGGCAGGAAAGAGGGGAGACCCTTGAGGTTATTTTGAGTGTAGAGAAGGAATATGTGGTCTTGTGGCCGTGAAATTGATGATGAAAATGAAAAGGAGTATCAGGTACCTCTGGAAACCGTCTGCCCTCATATGGGATAGCATCTAGTAAACAGATGGCACTGGAGAGCACAGTGTTTATTCCTTGGGAAGATCCACATCAGTATAGTGTGAGTAAAGCAAAACATTTATTTTAATGGGGATGTTTTGGCGTAAGATATGAAAAGTATATGGCACTGACCAGGGTGTTTCATAGTAGCCAAACTGAAGTTTGACCTCATCTGGAGAAGTTTTATAATTTTTCTAACATTGATACCTCTACAACTTTCTTAGCATTATAAAAAGTTCAAGGCACATGAATATGGACATTATTCTGGGCTTCCTTCTCCCTTACCTGCTTCTTTGGTACCATGTTGCGTGAGATTTGTCTATTCCAAGATAATTCTGATATTCCAGTTCTTTCCAGTGATGAAGGAAGTTGAGAAATAATTTAAAAGAGAAACAAATCCTGTATAGACAGGAGTGCTGTCAGTCATTAATATTATTATCTGGCTTATTTGTAGTCCACTTCACCTGTTTGGTTTAAAATGAAATATCTGGAATGTTCTGTCCTGGAAGAGGGTTTGAGGAGGAGAAAATGGCGTAATTATTTATTCACAATCAGCTAATTGTGCTACAAATCCCTTTTGCTCCCAACTGAGTATGATAATCTCCTTCAGAAGGGAAGGATTCATTGGTCATTCTTAGAAAACTCACTGAAATGCTTGGGAAATTTACATGGGAAAAATCTATTCTCTCTTCTCGTAGAATGATTCATTCACAGTGGCCCCCAGTGGGCTAGTCGTGTGATTAAACCAAAGGTTTCTGGATCTTTAATGCAAGCTGAGCCCCCCCAACACACTTTTTTTTTCTAGCAGATTTGTGCCATAGAAACTGAACTATTAAAGTACTAAGCATGCCGTTTTTCTTGTGAAAAGACATTTTATGTTGATATTGTTTCATTTTTTAAATATAGTAAGATACAACCAACACTAATATGTGAAAAGACATTTTGAACTGAATTCATTATCTTTTATTTTAGATTTATGTTGAAGTATTATTACGATTGAAAGTATTATAGTTACTTTCATATGAGTTAAAACTCAGCTGTAACAATTCATTGACTAAATATTATGATGGTAGTCAACTTTCAGTTGGAAGTGTTAATTATTCACCTCATAGTGCACTCATAAAAAAGATTTACCAACAGTCTCCTAGGAGTAGAAGGCATATTGTCTCTTGGCATATTTTACAAACATGCTTTCCACACACTCCCAGTACAAGGTTATTATACTTTCTCTTCTGTGACACTCAGAAAGGCTGTAGATACTCACACAGGATTGGACATGTCATTATATGTTAAAAATGATGTGTATTTTTCTTCCACTTAATGGGCATTGGAAGCTTTATTTAGTTGACTGCGTAAGTTAAAGAACATCTTGATAAAGCAATTACAAAAAATATTTTTGCTTACGTGGATAATAAAATGCATATATGCTATGTTTTGATTTAATGGTTGTTTTCCATATATTCTTGTTTTGGTTTAATGTTTGGTATATTCTTGTTTTGATTTAAGGGTTATTTTCCATATATTCTTCTAATAATTAAAAACTTTTAAAAGTTTATTTATATAAGATTATTTGCTTAATGATATTAGTATTGCAGAGGGACCCCTTGTTTTTTAAAAAAGGGTCACAGTATACTTAGGATGTTTGTTACTGAGTTAGGGTTTCACTGAGTTATAATTTCAGTTGTACAGAAAGAAGCGGCAGAATTTAACAGGACAGTAATGTAAGACAAATAATGAAAGCAAATAAATGTTGTCAAGCACAATCACGTAAAATCTGAAATGTGGATTTATGAGTTCTTTTACCATTTTGTGCCAGATACCCTTTATTCTGACCTAAAATGAATTCTAATATTTGACCTTGTAAGATTTCTTGTCATTTTCTTCCAACCCTTTTAAATGAAATATAACTTTCTCATCTCTTCTCCTATCCTACCACATAACCTCTCCTATTAGTATGGCCTAGTGAGTAGAGACATTCATCTGGGGTTATTGTAAGACAGAAGTTGGAGAGGAGGTTTGTCACTTCTTTTAATTTGCTAATTCTCCATGCATTGCACAAGATTCTGGCATTACCTGAAAATAGAGCCCAAGAGATGGGGCCAGGGCCTCAATTTTAGTTGTCTCTCAGAAGTCAGACTGAAGTTAGATCTAGGTCCATGTTAGGGACAAAGCCAAGAATTTTCCATTTAAATTTCAACAAGTGTGGCAAAAACATTAAATGTGGCAGCAGAACATAGATATTGTATAATTGTATAATATGTTATACAATATAATATTGTATAATATAGTATACAATATAATATTGTATAATAATATAGTATACAATATAATATTGTATAATATATAGTATACAATATAATATTGTATAATAATATAGTATTATTATTATTGTATAATATATATTATACAATATTGTACAATATTGTACAATATTATTATGTATAATTCTCTTCCATTAAAACATTTATTTAAAATTAAAGACTTCAAGCCTAACACTTGTCAGAATGAAATTAAGCCAAACTTAACTTACTGTGTTAATTTGATACAGGATATTTGTTTTCTGATGATGTGATTATTACCAAGTAGGGAACAAAAAAATAAGGACTTCTGTGCAAATGATACCATTAATGCTAGAAAGTAATAAGTATCTCACCTCACTGCACTACAACTATAAAAAATAGATTCATGTTTATCAAGTGATTAACTGGAAATTCATTTGTATTGGCTAAATGTTTTAAAGTAGGTCTCAGAAATGACAAATGGTTTTTACATAAGGCAGACTTACAAAAAAGTAGTATTATATTGTTAATGCCAGTCATGGTTGGGGGAGAAATGTAATTTTATTTATACAAGTACTAAGTCATTGTGCACACATAAATATACTCTTCAAGCAAAGGGCATCTCATTGAATAGAGAGTGAAAATTCTGGTATTGTGTTTAAAGTGTGTCATTTTAATGAAAACTTAGTATATCAAATAGATCAGTTTTCTTGGAGTAAGAGTATATTTTAATACATCCTCAGTGTACTCACAAACCAAAATAAGAAATGTGTTTATATTCATAATTGTTTTCATACTTCAGTAAGTACCTCACCCATCTGGAGACTACTGTGTTTAACAACAGCAAACATCTCCACAAGTGAGGGGGGAGTCTAGATTGTAACTACCAATGAATAATGATTTGAACCAGAGAAGACATTACCATTTAACAATTGCCCACCACGGTGCGGTTCCAAGATCGCGGAATAGGAAGAGCTCCAGTCTACAGTTCCTAGTGTGAGCGACACAGAAGATGGGGGATTTCTGCATTTCCAACTGAGGTACTGGGTTCATCTCACTGGGGCTTGTCAGACAGTGGGTGCAGGACAGTGGGTGCAGCCCACTCAGCGTGAGCTGAAGCAGGGAGAGGCATCACCTCACCCAGGAAGTGCAAGGGGTCAGGGAATTCCCTTTCCTAGCCAAGGGAAGCTGTGACAGATGGCAACTGGAAAATCGGGTCACTCCCACCATAATACTGCGCTTTTCCAATGGTCTTAGCAAACAGCACACCAGGAGATTATATCCCGTGCCTGGCTCGGAGGGTCCCACGCCCACAGAGCCTCGCTTATTGCTGGCACAGCAGTCTGAGATCGAACTGCAAGGCAGGAGTGAGGCTGGGGTTAGGGGTGCCCGCCATTGCTGAGGCTTGAGTAGGTAAACAAAGCGGCCAGGAAACTCGAACTGGGTGGAGCCCACCGCAGCTCAAGGAGGCCTGCCTCCACCTCTGAGGGCAGGGCATAGCCAAACAAAAGGCAGCAGAAACCTCTGCAGACTTAAATGTCCCTGTGTGACAGCTTTGAAGAGAGTAGTGGTTCTCCTAGCACCGAGTTTTAGATCTGAGAATAGACAGACTGCCTCCTCAAGTGGGTCTCTGACCCCCGAGTAGCCTAACTGGGAGGAACCCCCCAGTAGGGGCACACTGACACCTCACATGGCCGGTTACCCCTCTGAGACGAAGCTTCCAGAGGAACCATCAGGCAGCAACATTTGCTGTTCAGCAATATTTGCTGTTCTGCAGCCTCTGCTGCTGATACCCAGGCAGACAGGGTCTGGAGTGGAATTCCAGCAAACTCCAACAGACTTGCAGCTGAGGGTCCCAACTGTTAAAAGGAAAACTAACAAACAGAAAGGACATCCACACCAAAACCCCATCTGTAAGTCACCATCATCAAGATGAGGAAGAAACAGAGCAGAAAAGCTGAAAATTCTAAAAATCAGAGTGCCTCTCCCCCTCCAAAGGAACGCAGCTGCTCGCCAGCAATGGAACAAACCTGGACGGAGAATATCTTTGACGAGTTGAGAGAAGAAGGCTTCAGACAATCAAACTTCTCCAAGCTAAAGGAGGAAATTAGAACCCATCGCAAAGAAGCTAAAAGCTTTGAGAAAAGATTAGATGAATGGCTAACTAGTATAACCAGTGTGGAGAAGTCCTTAAGTGACCTGATGGAGCTGAACACCATGGCACAAGAACTATGTGATGAATGCACAAGCCTCAGTAGCTGATTCAATCAACTGGAAGAAAGGATATCAGTGATTGAAGATCAAATGAATGAAATGAAGTGAGAAGAGAAGTTTAGAGAAAAAAGAGTAAAAAGAAATGAACAAAGCCTCCAAGAAATATGGGACTATGTGAAAAGGCCAAATCTACATCTGATTGGTGTACCTGAAACTGACGGGGAGAGTGGAACCAAGTTGGAAAACACTCTGCAGGATATTATCCAGGAGAACTTCCCCAACCTAGCAGGCAGGCCAACATTCAAATTGAGGAAATACAGAGAACACCACAAAGATACTCCTCGAGAAGAGCAACTCCAAGACACATAATTGTCAGATTCACCAAAGTTGAAATGAGGGAAAAAATGTTAAGGGCAGCCAGAGAGAAAGGTCGGGTTACCCACAAAGGGAAGCCCATCAGACTAACAGCAGATCTCTCGGCAGAAACTCTACAAGCCAGAAGAGAGTGGAGGCCAATATTCAACATTCTTAAAGAAAAGAATTTTCAACCTAAAATTTCATATCCAGCCAAACTAAGCTTCATAAGTGAAGGAGAAATAAAATCCTTTACAGACAGGCAAATGCTGAGAGATTTTGTCACCACCAGGTCTGCCCTACAAGAGCTCCTAAAGGAAGCACTAAACATGGAAAGGAACAACCACTACTAACCACTGCAAAAACATGTCAAAATGTAAAGACCATCGATGCTAGGAAGAAACTGCATCAACTAATGGACAAAATAACCAGCTAACATCACAATGACAGGATCAGGTTCACACATAACAATATTAACCTTAAATGTAAATGGACTAAATGCTCCAGTTAAAAGACACAGTCTGGCAAATTGGATTAAAAGTCAAGGCCCATCAGTGTGCTGTATTCAGGAAACCCATCTCATGTGCAGAGTCACACATAGGCTCAAAATAAAGGATGGAGGAAGATCTACCAAGCAAATGGAAAACAAAAGAAGGCAGGGGTTGCAATCCTAGTCTCTGATAAAACAGACTTTAAACCAACAAAGATCAAAAGAGACAAAGAAGGCCATTACATAATGGTAAAGGGATCAATTCAATGAGAAGAGCTAACTATCCTAAATACATATGCACCCAGTACAGGAGAAGCCAGATTCATAAATCAAGTCCTTAGAGACCTACAAAGAGACTTAGACTCCCACACAATAATAATGGGAGACTTCAACACCCCACTGTCAACATTAGACAGATCAACGAGACAGAAAGTTAACAAGGATATCCAGGAATTCAACTCAGCTCTGCACCAAGCAGACCTAATAGACATCTACAGAACTCTCCACTCCAAATCAACAGAATATACATTCTTCTCAGCACCACATCACACTTATTCCAAAATTGACCACATATTTGGAAGTAAAGCACTCCTTAGCAAATGTAAAAGAACAGAAATTATAACAAACTCTCTCAGACCACTGTGCCATCAAACTAGAACTCAGGATTAAGAAACTCACTCAAAACCGCTCAACTACATGGAAACTGAACAACCTGCTCCTGAATGACTACTGGGTACATAACGAAATGAAGGCAGAAATAAAGATGTTCTTTGAAACCAATGAGAACAAACATACCAGAATCTCTGGGACACATTTAAAGCTGTGTGTCGACGGAAATTTATAGCACTAAATGCCCACAAGAGAAAGCAGGAAAGATCTAAAATTGACACACTAACATCACAATTAAAAGAACTTGAGAAGCAAAAGCAAACACATTCAAAAGCTAGCAGAAGGCAAGAAATAACTAAGATCAGAACAGAACTGAAGGAGATAGAGACACAAAAAACTATTCAAAAAATCAATGAATCCAGGAGCTGGTTTTTTGAAAAGATCAACAAAATTGATAGACTGCCAGCAAGGCTAAGAAAGAAGAAAACAGAGAAGAATCAAATAGATGCAATAAAAAATGATAAAGGGGATATCACCACCGATCCCACAGAAATACAAACTACCATGAGAGAATACTATAAACACCTCTACACAAATAAACTAGAAAACTTAGAAGAAATGGATAAATTCCTTGACACATACACCCTCCCAAGACTAAACCAGGAAGAAGTTGAATCCCTGAAGAAACCAATAACAGGCTCTAAAATTGAGGCAATAATTAGTAGCCTACCAACCAAAAAATGTCCAGGACCAGACAGATTCACAGCCGAATTCTACCAGAGGTATAAGGAGGAGCTGGTACCATTCCTTCTGAAGCTATTCCAATCAATAGAAAAAGAGGGAATGAGGCCAGCATCATCCTGATACCAAAGCCTGGTGGAGACACAACAAAAAAAGAGAATTTTAGACCAATATCCCTGATGAACGTCGATGCAAAAATCCTCAGTAAAATACTGGCAAACCGAATCCAGCAGCACATCAAAAAGCTTATCCACCGTGATCAAGTGGGCTTCATCCGTGGGATTCAAGGCTGGTTCAACATACGCAAATCAATAAATGTAATCCAGCATATAAACAGAACCAATGACAAAAACCACATGATTATCTCAATAGATGCAGAAAAGGCCTTTGACAAAATTCAGCAGCCCTTCATGCTAAAAACTCTTAATAAATTAGGTATTGATGGGATGTATCTCAAAATAATAAGAGCTATTTATAACAAACCCACAGCAATATCATACTGAATGGGCAACAACTGGAAGCATTCCCTTTGAAAGCTGGCACAAGACAGGGATGCCCTCTCTCACCACTCCTATTCAACATAGTGTTGGAAGTTCTGGCCAGGGCAATCAGGCAGGAGAAAGAAATAAAGGGTATTCAATTAGGAAAAGAGGAAGTCAAATTGTCCCTGTTTGCAGATGACATGACTGTATATTTGGAAAACCCCATCGTCTCAGCCCAAAATCTCCTTAAGCTGTTAAGCAACTTCAGCAGTCTCAGGATACAAAATCAATGTGCAAAAATCACGAGCATTCTTATACACTAATAACAGACAAACAGAGAGGCAAATCATGAGTGACTCCCATTCACAATTGCTTTGAGAAGAATAAAATACCTAGGAATCCAACTTACAAGGGATGTGGAGGACCTCTTCAAGGAGAACTACAAACCACTGCTCAGTGAAATAAAAGAGGACACAAACAAATGGAAGAACATTCCATGGTCGTGGATAGGAAGAATCAATATTGTGAAAATGGCCATACTGTCCAAGGTAATTTATAGATTCAATGCCATCCCCATCAAGCTACCAATAACTTTCTTCACAGAATTGGAAAAAACTACTTTAAAGTTCATATGGAACCTAAAAAGAGCCCGCATTGCCAAGTCAATCCTAAGCCAAAAGGACAAAGCTGGAGGCATCACACTACCTGACTTCAAACTATGCTACAAGGCTGCAGTAACCAAAACAGCATGGTACTGGTACCAAAACAGAGATCTAGACCAATGGAACAGAACAGAGCCCTCAGAAATAACAACACACATCTACAACCATCTGATCTTTGACAAACCTGACAAAAACAACAAATGGGGAAAAGATTCCCTATTTAATAAATGGTGCTGGGAAAACTGACTAGTCATATATGTAAAGCTGAAACTGGATCCCTTCCTTACACCTTATACAAAAATTAATTCAAGATGGATCAAAGACTTAAATGTTAGACCTAAAACCGTAGAAACCCTAGAAGAAAACCTAGGTAATACCATTCAGGACATAGGCATGGGCAAGGACTTCATGTCTAAAACACCAAAAGCAATGGCAGCAAAAGCCAAAATTGACAAATGGGATCTAATTAAACTAAAGAGCTTCTGCACAGCAAAAGAAACTATCATTAGCGTGAACAGGCAACCTACAGAATGGGAGAAAATTTTTGCAATCTACTCATCTGACAAAGGGCTAATATCCAGAATCTACAAAGAACTCAAACAAATTTACAAGAAAAAAACAAACAACCCTATCAAAAAGTGGGCAAAGGTTATGAACAGTCACTTCTCAAAAGAAGACATTTATGCAGCCAACAGACACATGAAAAATGCTCATCATCACTGGCCATCAGAGAAATGCAAATCAAAACCACAATGAGATACCATCTCACACCAGTTAGAATGGTGATCATTAAAAAGTCAGGGAACAACAGGTGCTGGAGACGATGTGGAGAAACGGGAACACTTTTACATTGTTGGTGGGAATGTAAACTAGTTCAACCATTGTGGAAGACAGTGCGGCGATTCCTCAGGGATCTAGAACTAGAAATACCATTTGACCCAGCCATGCCATTACTGGGTATATACCCAAAGGATTATAAATCATGCTGCTATGAAGACACATGCACACGTATGTTTATTGGGGCACTATTCACAATAGCAAAGACTTGGAATCGACCCAAATGTCCATCAGTGATAGACTGGATTAAGAAAATGTAGCACATATACACCATGGAATACTATGCAGCTACAAAAAAGGATGAGTTTTTGTCCTTTGTAGGGACAAGGATGAAGCTAGAAACCATCATTCTGAGCAAAGTATCACAAGGAGAACAAACCAAATACCGTATGTTCTCACTCACAGGTGGGAAATGAACAATGGGAACACTTGGACATGGGAAGGGGAACATCACACACCGGGGCCTGTTGTGGGGTGGGGGAAGGGGGAGGGATAGCATTAGGAGATATACCTAATGTAAATGACAGTTTAATGGGTGCAGCACACCAACATGGCACATGTATATATATGTAACACACCTGCACATTGTGTACATGTACCCTAGAACTTAAAGTATAAAAAAAAAAAATTGCCCACCACCTTACAAAGCTAGTCATCCTCCTTTAGAAACACACTTTTGGGGGGAAAACCATCTATTTATTTTCATCTATTCAGATAATTTACAACTAAGGTTAAATATTCTCTGTTTTCATATAACCCACTATATGGACAATAAATAATGATTAGAAAATGGGAATTTAAAGATGCATTTGGGCTTTTAGTTATTCAATTTATTATCTTTAAAAATATCTTCTGTTTTATTTATGGTAAACCAATATTTTAATATCGAATAATTTTAATTTAAAATCTTTGATCTTCCCTCTGCATTTGTGGCTGCATGTTTTATCTTACTCAACTGTATGATAAAGGATTTTTTTTTTTTTTTGAGATGGAGTCTCACTCTGTTGCCCAGGCCAGAGTGCAGTGGTGTGATCTCAGCTCACTGCAACCTCCACCTCTTGGGTTCAAGGTATTCTCCTGCCTCAGCCTCTCGAGTAGCTGGGATTATAGGTGCCTGCCATCATGCCCAGCTAATTTTTGTATTTTTCGTAGAGATGAGGCTTCACCTTTTTGGCCAGGCTGATCTCAAACCTCTGACCTGAAGTGCTCCACCTGCCTTGGCCTCCCAAATTGCTGGGATTACAGATGTGAGCCACCGCGCCAGGCTGATGAAGTAATAACAGACATAATTGTTAGCTTCTAATGAAATTAGGAATGTACAAATTTATTGCAACTATTATTATAATTTTGAACACCTCCAAAACTGATTTTTGCTTTAAATCTTGGTGCTTCCATGTTACCACATGTGTATCTTGTTTTCACTATGTAACAGGTGTTTTTCTGAAAGATTTAATGGATATGGTTCTGCAAACTTAGAATTATTCAGATTTTAAAAATAGTGACTGCAGAATTGTAGAATTACCATTTTTATTTCAAGTTGGCAAAAAGCAGTTAACGTATACGTTGGGACATTGAACAAGTGACAGCAGAGTTCCAGATGACCATCAAAGTGACATTTAAAAATATTGCTAGTCTGACTTTACAGTCCTCGAGTTTTAAATCATTATAAAATTGGAGGCTGTGCGGTGTGTTCTTTACCTTTTGTGGTTGAAAGGTAGGAGTGCAATGAGTGTGTGTGGTCTGAGTTTTTGTGGACGTGATCTACATTTAATCTGGGGAAATTAATTCCCTAAGCTGCTGGCAGGCAGCATGTACTTGTTAATTATTCAGGTGGATGACAAATGCAGAGCAGAGGTT
Source organism: Homo sapiens (assembly GCF_000001405.40). Taxonomy (NCBI): domain Eukaryota; kingdom Metazoa; phylum Chordata; class Mammalia; order Primates; family Hominidae; genus Homo; species Homo sapiens. The sequence continues at coordinate 33,095,356 of NC_000014.9, forward strand.
CTCGCAAAGACAAAGTTTGTATGATGCATGTTTAGTAACTGATAGGCCTGACATTCTGTGGTGTCTTATTCAGTGCTAATCCTAATAAGCTGCCTGGTGCGATGAACGCCTTTTCTCCTGTCCTCTGCAGAGAAAACAGAGATCTGAAAGAACTTCATTATGGCAATAAATCCTGTACTTCATGGTATTCTTGGTGAAAAGGTATTTTGTCCAGATGAAAAACAACAGAAAGTCTGGATGTTAGTATGGTATCAAGTCCTAAAGCAAATAAAGCCTTACACAAAGGCGTGGGCATTCTCTGCTTTTATTTTTTTATTTTTTTTTTTTTTTTGAGAGGGAGTCTCGCTCTGTCGCCCAGGCTGGAGTGCAGTGGCGCGATCTGGACTCACTGCAAGCTCCGCCTCCCGGGTTCACGCCATTCTCCTGCCTCAGCCTCTGGAGTAGCTGGGACTACAGGCGCCCACCACCATGCCCGGCTAATTTTTTGTATTTTTTTTTAGTAGAGACGGGGTTTCACCGTGTTTGCCAGGATGGTCTCGATCTCCTGACCTCGTGATTCGCCCGATTCGCCCGCCTTGGCCTCCCAAAGTGCTGGGATTACCAGCGTGAGCCACCGCGCCTGGCCGGTCATTCTCTGTTTTTTGTGTGAAGGTGATCCCAGCTTAATTTTGTTAATCTAGTGTGCATGGATACATGGACAACAGGGGTTTGTTCTGAGTCTGGCAGTAGGGAAACTTTCACCCTCCCCTTTCTAATCTAATATCGTTAGGTTTAGGAAGATTTCATACATTTCTATGCCAATATGTTTTATTTGTAGGGAAAGATTTCCCCTGGAAATACTGGTGTTATCTTTTTAAAAACTTCTCAACCAGTTCTTCTCTCAAAATCTGCCCCCTTTCTGCCATTGCTAATTGAACTGTGTAAAAAGTTGAATAGCTCAGCTAGAAAGTACTAGAAAGTACTTCATGGCCAATTCTTAGTTCTTAGGTGTATTTCATGCTTCCACTTTACTTCCCTTTTTTGTTAAATGTTCAAAGACTTGATTGATGTAATATGCAAATCATAGTTTATCTAAGCCAATTTAGTTTCAAAAACGAAGCTATTTTTTGGACACTAAAGAGAGGCAATGTGTTTAGAGAGAATTGGGAACAGGTTTAGTATTGGACTGTTAACTCAGGGTTTGTCAGTCAAATCTGTGACCTTGTACAAGTCACTTAGTCTCTCTGTGCCTCAATTTCCTTGTATGGGGAGTAATAAAATTGAACTAAATAGGCAATGTGTGTTTCTATGATTAAATTATTTTGCTTCTAGTTATCATGAGCTTATATCCGTAGTCTGGCAATGTTAAAATAAGCAGTTTCTGAGATGAAGAATTCTTTCCGTTCCTGCAAGTATGTATGGCTGCAGAATGTTCCAGTAACCTTCTATGACGGTCATTCATGACTATGGAAATCTCCTCAGCGGCTTCTCTACATTTGGCTCCTCTACTTGTTATCTTAATGTTTGATTCACTACTTGGTAATATTTTAAATGTCACTTTAGTCATCTGAAACTCTGCTGTCAATTGTTTAATGTCCCACTACTTATGTTAACTACTTTTCTGACAGTTTGAAATAAAAATGTAATGCCTGCCTATAGCCAGCACCTTAATCAAGGAATAAAACAGCACCAGTACCATGGAAGACATTCTTGTTGCCACTCTTTGTGCAATTTTTTCCCCCCATTCTAAGAGTAATTCTGGACCAGGTGTAGTGGTTCATGCCTGTAATCCCAGCACTTTGAGAGGCCAATGCAGGAGGATCGCCTGAGCCCAGGAATTTGAGACCAGCCTGTGCAACGTGGTAAGACATCATCTCTGCAAAAAAATTGGTAAAAAAAAAAGTGTAATTCTGTCTCTGAACACAGATAGATTAGTTTTATCTACTCTTGAACTTCCTATAATAGAATCATATCATATGTAATCATTTATGTTTGACTTTTGTTTTGCTCGACATTGTAAGATTTAGCTATGTGTATATCATTGTTGTTTGTTCAGTCTCATCACTGCATAGTGTTTCATTTTGAGAATATACCACAGCTAATCTGTTTTATTATTGATGAACATTTGGGCATTCCCAATAGTGTAGATATGAACATTGTTGTACATGTCTCTTTGGTAACATGTACTCATTTCTGCTGGTTATATATGTAGATGTGTAGTTTGCTCAGTCCTAGGATATGCATATGATTATCTTTTGTAGATAATGCCAATTTTCCAAAGTGGTTGTACCAATCAGCAATATATGAGAATTCCAGTAACTCTTTATCTTTGCCAAGATCTGTTTTCTGTCGTTCATTTTTAGCCATTCTGGTGGATGTGTATTGCAATATGCTTTTAATTTGTAATATCCTAATGACCAGTGAGGTTGAAAACATTTTCAAATGTTTATGAGCCACTTAGTGTTAGTTTTGTGAAGCACCTTTTCGTGTGTTTTTTTACTAATTTTTTTCTACTGAGTTATTATCTGCTTTCTTGACTTACAGTTCTGCAAATATTTTAGATACAGATCTTTTTATACTTTTGAGATACAAATATAATCTCCCTTTCCTCATATTTTTCCATTTCACTCATTTAATTGTATCTGTAGAGGAAAAAAAACTCTTAACTTTAATATAGTGCAATTTATATATATTTTCCTATTTAGAAATTTGTGTCCTATTTAAGAAGTTATTGTCTACTGTAGCATCATGAAGATGTTTACACATATTTTCTTTTAGAACCCTTTAGATATGCATTCCATCTAGAATTAATTTTGTGTATGGCATGAGGTTGAGGGCTCTATGGATATCTAAATAATCCAGCTCCAGTTGCTGAGTTGGCATTATCTTTTTCCCACAGCACTGTAGTTTTGCCCTATCATAACTTAGGTTATCATATGTGTGCCTCCAATACAAATTTTAATTTTAGTATTTTATAGAATTTTTTTCAGATTTAGTATAGGATTGTAGAGAGTCAAATTATAAATGGTAGGCATTTAACTGATTCAAAGATGATGATGACAACAATGATGATGACAATGGTGAATACCATATATTGATTACCTACTTATTGCTAGACTAGTACTGTCCTAGACACTTTGCCTAGTGATGTATTTCAATACTCAAAATGACAGTTTTAGGAAACTGAGGCCCAAAGAAGTCACACAGCTGGTAAAGTGGGAAAACATGGATTCTAGCAAAGTTCTAACTAATTTCAAGACTCTATTTGTAATTGCTGTTTTAAGCTCATCTAAGAATGCTACCAAAGTTCCGGTCTCTACAGTCTGAACAAAAGCAATTCTTAAAAAGAAAAAGGCAGGAAAGTATAACTAGTGTATCAAACTAGACTTTTCATATTTCACATAACTTAGTATACTCAAGTTGACTCTCAAATGAGACTAATTTAGAAATAAATCAGTGAAGCCATATAAATTTCAATGATCTCCCATTTTCCTTAAGAGTGGTGGGATATGAAAACTGCTATTAACTGAAGTTTTGATTCATTCTTTAAATTGCCTGAGACCAAGACCAGTTGTGCACTTTGAGTGCTTCACAAAGGTGCTCAACTGAGGGGGCTTTTGGAAATGGAAACTTAGTCTATGTTCCAGTAGCCAATCCTTGTATCCGTGGAGCCGAGTCTATCCAGAGAAAGAACCTTGCGGCCTTTTTCCAAGTCACACAAAGCCCTGGCAGGCAAGGTCAGGTCTAACTCAGCTCAGATCCTCAAGGTGTACATAGAACAATAGCAGTTTCCCGAGGAAAGCTCTGGACAATCCACTCATTTCTGAGCAGGCAGCATGGGCACCACTACTACTTGGCTCTCCTGTGACTGCTCAGCTTTAGCAAAGGTGCCAGTATAAAGATTATAATCAGTGTTTTAGTACCGTCATACATTTGATACTAAATTTGAGGACATAGATTAAAAAATCTCATGAAAGCCATGGACATCTTAATACTATGGTACCATCTTTGCGTATTCATACATACATACAAAATTCTGCATGTATTTCAGGAGGCCCAAGGACTAGAGGATCCATTCCATGGACTCTATGAATCTCAGGTTCAGAAGCCTTGCTTTAAAATTCTACATTAAATGTAATGAAGGAAAAAAAAATGTAGTTTGAATGAAAGAAATGGCACTAGGAAATGGTGATAGAGTTTGAACATGCTTTGTATAAGGTAAACTCTTCTCTAAAGGGAATTACTCGATATTAAATAACTAAACATTATAATTAGCTCAAGAAATATACTTGAAGAGGACAAAGTATAGTACAAAGATGTATAAAGTTATATAAGTTGTTCAGAAAACTAATCCAAGGGATAGTTGGGAGTCTATTGTAGGGAAAAAACAAAATGCAAAGAATCTGATATTTAGAAATTATATACCTATGTATATACCCATCTCATTAAGAATAGCTGGTTTTATACCATTTTAATAAATGGGAGAGAAAGGACTAGCAGTGGCCACACCTTTACCTGGTTTATATTCTCAGATTCTTGTATTTGAAAACACTGGTGTCCAAATTGAAACAATAAGGTGAGAAATAATCCACTAAAGAAATGGTTAGATTTCTAAAATTTAAGTTTTCCATTATTTTGTTGTCCTTTATAGAAAAAGAATGAACAAGTCTTGGTTTATGAGTAATTTGCTAAGAATTTTTAAATATTTCAAGGCAACTATATGTAGCCCTACAAATTATAGAACTGGTTTAAGTCACTTCTCTGTCGTTGTGAAAGGTCTGATGTGGTCAGGGCTGCAAGAGTGTTTTCTGAGTTAAGAAAGGGATGACTTTGTTTATAAGCAACCTCTATCTAGATCACTTCTGATTGGGCAATTTTAAACATTCTGAATTGTAGCTAATGGGAAGGTAGGTTTTTCTTGTGCTGAATATTAAGATACAAAGTTGGGATAGAAAGAGTTCTTCTCTTGACCCATTAATTGAACCACTTTTTGAAAAACTTTTGTCATGATGAGTTTATTGCTAAGAGTTAATTTTACCTGCAGAAAAGAAGCATTCTGAGCTATGGGGATAACTGATATCTATAGTCATCATTTTTTAAGGTACTTGATACATAATAGGATCTATTGCTTCATTCATAATAGAAAAGCCTACTTAGACATTTGTAGCTACATTTATATTACAAGGGGTAAAATATAACTTTGGGTAAACTGTTACCTATTTTTCTCTTTCAGTATCAATTGAGAAATATAATTATACAACGCTATTTAATTTGCGTAGTTAACTTAAAGGAAAACTTCACTAGTATGAGTTACCTGGAAGATATGTCAATCTGAATTAGTGAAAGTTCTGGAACATAAATTATTTTTAGTGCATATTGTCCCCTGATCTATGTTTTACAGTGTGAGCAATTAGGTCAGTTTTAATAAATGTGGGAATTATTTTTAATTACACTACAACATTAGCCTGAAATTCTGGCTTCTGGTTACATTGTATTTCTGCTATTGCTTATAAATGGCTACTTCCAAAGAGAGGAAATATGTTATGTTTGAAGGTAAATGTTTACCTGAATATGTTTTTTTCACATTATTCTATAATGTGAGGCTGAACTTCAAATGACCTTGAATTATCAATTATTCTGATTTACTGGATCCTTTATTACATTTGAAGGGTCATCAGTAAGGTGATAAATTGTAATGCTGTGTTCCTAGTTACAGAGTGTTCAGAAGGATGGGACTAGTTCTTTGTGAAATAGGTAGACCCTAGATGGATTTCCCCAGACATACCATCACCGCCCTGCCCCCCACACACACCTGCACACACACTGACATACACCTCAGTATCTAATACTTGAGCATTTCTGAGTGTTTGCCAATTTAAACCTTTTCCAGTCTCTTCCCTTATTCAAAAATGCCCTTTAATTTTAAAAAGTTATGCCTAGTTGTTACTGGGACTCTTAGCAGATATTATTTAAAAAGGGAAGTTATAAATCCTTATCTTTAAAAAATATATAATTTAGGGGAAAAAAGAGTGCAGGTGTATTGTAAACAAAGGATATGTTCAGATGGCAACATATGAACAACAATAACTTGTAGTAAACCCTGACTAGAAAAGGGTGGCACAGGTTTGCTGATTGTACATGTAGCGATTGAAAAAGTTTTTAAAAATTGTATCTTTAAACCTGTGTGTACTGTTAGAAATTATATTCCTAAAGTAATTGCCTCCTTAGAGGAAGATGAATGATACCCTGATCAGGTAGAGAAAGCATATTGGCAGTGGAGTCTGTTGACCCTCTTAGTGGAAGAAATGTCTAAAATTAGGGCCAGAGTTACATTTATGGGATCTGAGCCAACACCATTCATTCCTAAGCTTACATTATTATGCTTAATATGCCCTAATTTATGTTAATGCCCCCAGATCTCTCTCCTGACTTTCATAGGTACTCATCCAATATCCTGTTGTACATGAAGATCCAGCACTCACCACGGCCTCCATTCCTAAGCTGAACTCTTGAGCTCCCTGCTAAAACCTGTTTTTTCTTCCCTATCTTCTATTTCAGTATATGGCCAGCACTATTCACCCAGTTTTACAAGCCATAAACTGAGGCATCATTCTTGTAACTCCTGTCCCCCACCATTTTCTCTCATACTCATGTTGCATCAGGCAGTAATCCTTGGTGATCCTACCTCCCGAGTACTTCTCAGACCTACACAGACCTCTGTTCCCACTACCATGCCAGCTTAGGCCAGCATCATCTCTTGCCTGAATCAACCTCTTTTTTTCCCTTCTCCAGTCTTGCCCTCTCCCACAATTCATTCTTCATATGGTCACCTGCCGTTGGGACTTTACTGTGGATGTGTTTATGAGGTTGGTTCCCATCGTGACAGTAGGCAAAAATTAGCTAGGGATAGAACAGAGTACACAAGTAAGGATTGATTTTGAATAGAAAAACTAGGGAGAAAGGGGGAAGCCTTGGAGAAAACTGCCTTGCCACACAGAACCATATCCATAGTGATTAAGACTTCTGACTCATAGAACACCTGGGTTCAAATCATGGCTCTTTTGTTAGTTGTGTGGCTGTGAGATCTTTGCTTACTATTTAGAACCTTGGCTTCTTCATCTGTTAGAGGTAGATGAAAATAGTAACTCATTCATATAGAGCTGCTTACCGGACTAAGTAAATAATCATGTGAAGTACCTGGCATATAGTAAGTGCCCAATAAATGTTAACTGTTTGTATTATTTTTATTGGAGTGCCGCCTAGGAATAAGAGAGTTAAGACAACATCATGAGACCCCTGAGTAGCGAAATAGGAAGGATGCAGGCATATAATGAAGCTGCTATTGCCAGCATAGCTAGGAATGGGAATGGAAGTGGGAAGAGGGGAAGGAAGACACTGACTATGTGAACAAGTGGCTGCTGAAGACAGCAGTTGTCATGCACTTACAGATTTTTCTAAGATAGGCTCCAATTTAAACCAAAACAGAGAAAATTACCTTAATTATTTAGAAGTTTCTGGTTCTGCCTCAAAAATCTTATTTACCAAGGTAACTGCTTAAGTTCTCCACTTTTTTATTTGTGTTAACACAAGGGTTTTTTTGCATGGAGAACTATTACCTTACAGTATAGCAGTCTGCAGGCATTTAGTAAGTGTCTGGTTCCTTTATTTGCAGATGGGCATGGTTTTCTACTAAAGTTGGTGGTGACTAGTGGTAAGTTTATAAGGAATTTAAGTTAAAAGAAAAGTATACATACCAATACCTTATGAGGAATGTGTTTTGTGAATGAAAATTCAGGTAAAGTATTGGGAATATGGTGTGACTTCTGCATGCCCTGATTCAGTGGTCCTGCAAACCAGGCTCTCATGACAAATAGATGTTCCCACCTGGGGACCGGCCATAGTCAGTAGAAGCCCTGACCCTTCTACTTTCCCAAGAGCTTTGGTGGTCTCAGAGCCCACTGTCCTCACCCTCTTGTCTGTGTCAAGAGCTCACCTGAAAGTCAATGGACATGGAAGCTCTGCCATTGCATCATGTAGACTTACTATCAACCTTCATGTGCTGTTCTGTATATTATTTCTGGCTTACTTAAGTGGTGTTACTGCTGAGCTGAATTTATTCTACATATTTAGGCTTTTACAAGCTTTGGTGTCCTTGAGGGTAAAGGTCCTAAGTACCATTTATAGCGATGATCCAGTTGTAGAAAATAGCGTCCTTGAAGATATTGCCAAAGAGCAATTGGCAAGATTTATTTGCACTGTGAAATTTTAATTGCCTCAGCTTTAGACTTTCAACTTTTATTTTGAGGTCAGTGCTACTCAGTCATAGAGGAGCAGCACTTTGGCTGTGTTGAGAGTGATTGGGTAATAATGAAGGGTGTTGGAACAGCTTCACCTAGAGATTAGCTAAAGCATATGTGTGCAGAAGCACAGGATGACTTTGTCCGGAGATTGTGTCTTCCAGAGAGGAGGAATATGAATGATAAGATTTAGGCTTCTTTTAAGAGAGGCCATGCCTTTTGAGTTCAGTGAGGGTAGAGCTGCAGCAAGAAAAGCACTGGGTAGGTAGCTCATGTGTGGCAGAAAGGAGGAAGGGATATACCATTAAAGGAAAAGGGGGAAAAATACAACTTCCAGAATCTTAAATATGCTGTTGACAAAAAGAGCTCACGTTTACCCCTAAAAGCTTATGGCGTCTGGCTTCAATAGGGAACATGAAAGGAGAAAGGCAGAACTACAGAATGCTGTAAAAAAAATCTGTATGGGTATCAGCTACATTGCAGACTCACTATAATGTAGACTATTGCATCTCCCTGTGTGCTGAGTTCATTTCTGTAAATAACAAAAGGACCTTGTTCTAACACCTTCACTTATAACAAGGTCCTTGAGTATAAAGTAGAGTTGAGCATTGCAGTATGGCTTTAGTACCATTCCACACATTTATTGAAGGGTTGTCATGATTTTTAAAAGTCTTGTTCTTATTTTCTTTTCATGCTGCTTCTATTTCAAAGGATGATTTCATTTCAGTTCATGTGGGTAAAAGTCCGTAAGTTACTACATTTGTGATTAATTCTGAGAATCCTCTTCAACTACACTGTAGTGAGTTGTAGAAATTTTATATATAGTGAACTTGTCAAAAAGAAACTACAAATTTCTTCTGTGGCTTTTTATTTTTAAAAACTACTGAGCATTTTAGTGAAAACATCTTACATTCAGAGAACATGTGAAATAAAAGTGTATTAGCCAGAGGCCAAAATGGAACATTAGTGGCTTGTGTGCCTGTACTGACGTAGTGTTGGATGCCAGTTGGCCAGACATGGGAACATTTAGATTTTGTTTCTGAGAGGAAGCAGTGCATAGCCGTAAGCCACATTAAGTTCATTAGGTGCAATTGCTACATCACACAGTTAATATAGTGAGAGAAATAAACTCTTCAGTGACTCAATTCTAGTGGCACCAATTTTAACCAATTTGTCAGACAATTGAGTATGTTCTGCATTTAGTATGGATTTAAAAAAATATGGTGCCCATTTTCATGTTTGGTTTGTTTGGCTTTCCAGACATAGTTCAGTTTATGAAGAAGCAGCTATTCACTAAGCAAGTCAGCATTGATAATGGGGGTTGCGTTTGTTGCTGATGTGTAAGGAAGGTTTTACTAGCCAACATAGGAATTTTGGAATATATCTAGGAGAGGGTTCATGATGTGGGAAAGCATCTACTATATCTTGGAGAAGTGTGTATATATATTTGCTTCCAGTAATCCATAGGTTTGTATAAAAGATGTAAAGGTTAAAAATCACCAAACATACATCACACAAATTGGATTATAGTCATGTTTGTTAAATGCTGAGATTCAAATTTGTAGTTATTTATGCAAATGATCACATTAAACATATAACCAAGTGACGCTTTGCTCTGTCACTTAATATATTTCTTCCAAGGAGCATCAAACTTTATCTTCAAAAAGCCTGAAGTATGACCTATTCACTCCATTTTAAAGATGAGAAAACTGAGTAAGATAAATGTGGTAAGAAATGGAGCAAGAACTACTATGATGGTGGCTGCTCCTATGATCTGCATTTTCTGCTTTTCTGCCTTTTTTTCTGTAAGTTTACATTTATGACTTCAAAGCATCATTTTCAGTTCTCAACCTACCTCCAGGTTTCAAACTGTATATCCAGCTACTTATTTGTTATCTCTACCTAGTTTTAACTAAATCTTTAAATTAGATTACATGGGCTACTAAAGCACAGCAAAAACTACTCCTTGTTACAATGAGTCATGCAGTATTAGATAAATATGCAGATGTGTTACAGGACCAGGCAATAGCTAATGTTAATCAGTCCCAAATTAGTGCTAGTTGCAACAATTTGGTGTTATGTTCATAATTCAGGCATACATATTGAACATATATCGTTATTTAGGAAAAAAAAAGATCAAAACTATGCTCCTGAAACAACAAAAACAAAAATCTTAGTTAAAAAATGTCTGGTAATGGCATGGATAAGATTGATGGGTTGACATGGCTGATGTCTTTCAGAATTATTCCTACAGGAGTTATTTAAAAGACTGAAGCTTAGATGAGGAGAAATGTCTGTTGCTTCTTCCCTGGAAGCTTGGATATCAAAGATATATTGACTCTTTTGACTGTGATTTTGGAATAGTTACATGAAACAAACTCAACCAAACATGAATACCAGCTTTCTGTAAGTGCAGTGCTTCTTAGAAATAGGAAGGCCTAGACTGAATGACCTCCTTATGTCCTTGCTGTGATCAAAGCTCCAAATTCTTAGGAATGTGTTTCTTTATACTAATAAACCACAAATTCATCCAATATAGACTTTTCCTTCCTTTTTGCAAAATCTTGGAAATTATTTTGTAAGATAAACTAATTTTAATTTCTAAAGCTGATGGACATTATTTTGAGAAGAAAAGAAGTATGTTCTTACCTCTAGTTTATGGATTAACTCTCAGTATTGTCCCAAATATAGTAGCAGCAATTCAAAAGATGTCTTTGTTTCCACTTAACCTGCTATTAAATGCCACCTTCTCCATTGTTTTAATTCAGTTTGAGTTTATCCCAGGTTTGTGAGTCAAGCTGATCCTAAACTGGACTAGAGTAAAATTTTCAAAATTGCTATCAAAATTTTTTGTGAATCAGAATACATTGATAAATTAAAGGAGAAGCAAATCATTATCCCAACAAAGTGGTTGACTAATCAGTTGAACTTTTGAAAAGTTGTGAATGAGACCACCTTAGTCTTCCACTGGAGCCCTGCTCTTAAATGAGGAGAAAAGCTGTTATCTTTAAGTACAAGCTAATGAGAAACAATAATCTATAATTTTAAAAGATCACCTTATTTCCAGAACATAATTTGAAGAGGCAGATATTAATGATCTACTTACCGCAGAACTGATGCACGGGAAGTCTAAACAACTTGTCTTGGTTCATACTATAAATTATGATAAAACCAAGAACACCACATGATTTCCTAGTGTTTCAATTCTGAATGCTGCTAGACAGATGGATTTCTCCCTTAACACTATGAATATAATGAATATCTTACAGTGACACATCTGAAAACAGGTATGTGTGTGTGCATGTGTTGGTTTGTTTGTACTTGCATTTACTTTTAGGATTGGGTTGGGGGACCATGGACTATTGCTTCCCTTTGAGTGTCACTGGCTGTTGTATTCTCACTTTTTCTGTGTCTTCCACTCAGAATAAAGGCTGCTGGGTAGGTGCTCCCTATTTATCAGGATGCAGCTGTGCATTTAACCAGACCCTTCTCTTGAGCTGAACTCTCTATCCTGGGTTCTTGTGACTTCTTTCTTGGTATCACAGGGCTAGGTAATCCAAAGATTAAGTCTGATCTTTGGGGCTTTATGCTCTGTAAAAAAATATATTTTCTTTTTTCCCCTAATTTTTATTTTAGAATCAGGGAGTACATGTGCAAGTTTTGTCACAAAGGTATATTGCGTGATGCTGAGGTTTGGAGTACAAATGAATTCATCACCCAGGCAGGGTAGTGAGCATAGTACTCAACAGGCGGTTTTTCAACCCTTACCCTCTTCCTGTCTCCCCTGTCTAGTAGTTCCCAGTGTCTGTTGTTCCCATCTTTATGTCCACGTATACCCAATGTTTAGCTCCCACAGATAATTGAGAATATGCAGTATTTGGTTTTCTGTGTCTGCTTTAGTTTGCCTAGGATATTGGCTTCTAGCTGCATCCATGTTGCAGCAAAAGACACAATTTTATTCTATTTTATGGCTGTGTAGTATTCCATGGTGTGTATGTACCACATTTTCTTTATACAGTCCACCATTGATGGGCACCAGGGTTGATTTTATGTCTTTAAATATGTGCTGCAATGAGAAAAAACATATTTTCTACAAAATGATAGAAGTTTAAAAGGACAAGTTTATGGGTTAGCTAATTGGCTTCCCATTTTATTCTCTAATTCTCTTATATTGACACTTCTTGAGATTTAATGTTGTTTGCCAGGAACATGGTACTGGTATTGTGTTGGTAAACAGTAAGCGGTAGAAACAATGGTGATAACATAGATTCATACACAATGTGCTTTTAATTCTTTGAAAAAATAGAATAAATTCAGGAGTGAATTGCTTTGTAAGTTGTTATTTTTAAAACTTACCTGCAATGAAAGAGGACTGTCCTCCTCGCAGAACTAGAGAAGGGTGACAAGCCATCTCCCTATTCACTGATTGGATTCCCAGTGCTACTAGTTTTGTGTTACTGAAAATCACTTGAGATAATTCTGTTCTATGTGCAAAAAAGCAAAAAAGTAGAATTTAGAAATCCAGGCCTGCTAATAGCTATTAGCCATCTATTTATTGTTCTGATTTTTTTTTTTTTTTTGAGATGGAATCTCGTTCTGTTGCCTAGGCTGGAGTGCAGTGGCATAATCTTGGCTCACTGCAACCTCCACCTCCCGAGTTCAAGTGATTCTCCTGCCTCAGCCTCCCAAGTAGCTGGGACTACAGGTGCCCACCACCACACCTGGCTAATTTTTGTATTTTTAGTAGAAACGAGGTTTCACTGTGTTGGCCAGGCTGGTTCTGAACTCTTCACCTCATGATCCGTCTACCTCGGCCTCCCAAAGTGCTGGGATTACTGGCAAATAACAAAAAGTCCATTTTAGGCAAGCATTATGACTGTATCATATCCAAATGAACTATTGAATTATGAAATAGATGCTGTGAGTTTTGTCTTAAGAAGCAAATGCATTTTAGAATCTGCTGTGACAAATCAATATCAAAATGTGTACAAAATTACAAGAACAAATAGAATGTTGTTTTTGACTGGTTTGTTTATATTGAAACTATATTATTTTATGTGAAGTATGTGTAATAGAGCATTAGATTTGAAAACTCTGTGTTGAATATCATTTCTGACAGCCTTTTTTAGGGTCACTAAAATTCCAATAATTCAGTCTAGAATTGAAGTCGATTCCAGAGAAAAATTTAATATAGTCTGCTTGCCTGCCAGCTTCAACATAGTTTCAGAGCATTGAAATGGTTTGACACATTGAAATATAAAGTGCGTTTGTCATATCTATTGGTGGAGTATTTTATGTGATCGCATCTAACAAAGATCAAGTTAGAGTAAAACTTATACTGTTTTTTATGTGTTTGTGAAGAAGATTTTGTTTTATCTTGTTTTCTTTACAGTCCTGATTTGATTTATTGCAAAGTCCAATAAACTATTCCTAGTAATAATAAAGAAACACGTTGCCTGAAACAATTTTGAAATGTAGTGGAACATCTCTATATTACCACAATCATTTGCCATTTCAAAGATCCATGTGAATTCAGGATTGTGTCACAGAAGGGGTACTTTCTAAACTGAGCATGAGGTTAGAATACAGTGTCAAATTCTGATTCCAGCAAATAGAAATTGTGTAATTAGAGGAAAACTTTTAAATCTTTGAACCTCAGTTTTCTCACCTGTAAAATGGGGGTGATACTACTAAGCTTACAGGGTTTTTTGGTTCATTTTGGTTTTTTGTTTTGGCAAAAATTTATGTTATGTGTATAACCCTAGCTCAATGCCTACCACCTAGCAGATATTCTCTAAAATCCTGTTTTACATTTTTATAGCTTCTGGGGATTACATTTCATAGAATGAAATCTGCAGTATATCCAAGTATTAGCATGCTGGGAAATACTGACTCAAGTGTAGTTTACATCTTTGGTAAAATACTGCATTTGATATTGCAAAATTAATGTAATTTTTCTAGTATATATTCAGTCCTGCATGTTTGTTTATATGTTTGAGCAATTTGGGGCTTCTTGTGGTGAGAGTATAATGATAAAGTTGATTTTGTCTCAGATACCGTATTGAGCACAGATTAAACTGGAATGGACTTTAGCATTGTTTAGCAATACTGTTTATGTTTTTCATTTTTACATGTATACAGCCTTATACACGTTACCTCTTATCTGTAATTTGCATGTCTTTTTTTTTTTTTTTTTTTTTTTTGAGACAAGGTCTCTCTCTGGCTCCCAGGCTGGAGTGCACTTCACTGCAAACTCTGCCTCCTGGGCTTAAACGATCCTCCCACCTCAGCCTCCTGAGTAGCTGGGACTATAGGTGGATGCCAATTTTAATATTTATAAATACAAGCAGATGAACATTTAAGTACAACTCTAACACCAGTTCCTTATACGAAGGCTATTTCTGTGTCCTGGCCGAGAGCTCTCTGTAATAGTATTTTGCTGATATATTTATAACATATTACGTTGAGTGACAAATTCAGTTTAACAGAAATGATTTTAAGACCCTAATCACTTAACATTCAATTCATTTAATAAATATGTTATTATTTGAATACTTGAGATATTAAATATTCTTAATATTTAGACTGTACATGTTTACATATGACTGATCTTTTATGATCTGCCTGTATAAAATGATTTGACAGGGTTTTAAATTTAATATGCAATGAGTAACCATTTTCCAAAGAGTGTTCTACTGAACTCAAGTTCCACAGTATTAAAAAGTTATTTAAAAGAAGGTTTCCAGGCTGAAGTAAGTTTAGAAAACATTGGTTAAACAGTTTTTACAATAGGACTTCTTAAAGCATTTAATTTTCTCATTGCTGAATTTTCACAGTAGTAGTCTGTGGGAGTTCTGTGATACGCTGTTTTACTAACTTTTTGAACACAAAAACCTTTTCAATTTTTTAAGGGTACCTTACAGTACTAATAATCCTTAGAATATACTTTGGGAAATGCAAGCTTAAATGGAATGTGCAAAGTTTGAATTTACTTTGCATCATTAAAAAATACATTGTTGAAGACCTGCACAGTTCCTAACTTTTTAATACTATTCAGCACAACATTTTTTCCTACTGCTTCCTGGGATTCATATGTTGAAAGGCATTTGAAACCAAATGCGCATTTCTATATCTCTAGGTTCAGTCCGGGGACGGGAACCACAACAGCTAGTTGAACCCGGAGAGTTTAATATAAAGAATTGCTAACTAGGTTTTATGTTGTTAACTATTAATAGTAACTGAAAGGGTAAAATGAGACTGCTGACATAGCAGTTGTGGGAAGCAGGCACTACCCACAGGACTGCCTGAAACAAGAGAGAGGTTGGGATGGAGGGAGCTAAAACTGACAGATGGAGAGGAGAGACCCCTGTGAGGCTGAACCTCAGACCTCTGAAGAGCGACTTTGGCCAGTTTGTCTCTGAAGAGGAGAGGGATGAGGCTGATCCTGCAAGTGCTGGAAAAACTGCAAACTGAATTCAGCTGCTGCCCTTGGAAGGCTCTGCCACTGTTGGGGAGAAGAAACTGCTGGGGTGATACTCACTGAGCCAGGCAGAAAGCCTGAAGGGAGCAAGGCCCTTCTTCCTGTTAGCCATGCAGTCTCTTTGAATGTCCCCCTACAGCAGAGCCTAACAGGGAGCCGCTCACTGGGCCCAGAGGCAGTTGGCCAAGTCTCAGCCCCAGCATCTAGGGTAGAGCGTAGAACGGTGATTTTGAGGCTGATAACAATAGCTTAATAACTGGCACAGTTGCTTTATAAGAATCCAGGCTTTTACAAAGAAGAAGCTGGAATTATTTAAAAAATAGCCCTATTATCATATTGGATTAAATTTGCTACAGTAATTCACAAAGCAAACCAACTCACTTTATAATTTATATCCCCAGGAACTCTATTCCATTGTTGCCTTAATATTCCATTATTAATGTGCAGGTTTCCCAAAATAAAAGAGATGTGTTAGTTTGAATTTACTTTGCATCATTTAAAAAAATACATTATTGAAGACCTGCACAGTTCCTTAAATTTTCTTTTTTTTTCTTTTTTTTTTTATTATACTTCAAGTTTTAGGGTACATGTGCACAACGTGAAGGTTTGTTACATATGTATACATGTGCCATGTTGGTGTGTTGCACCCGTTAACTCATCATTTACATTAGGTATATCTCCTAATGCTATCCCTCCCCCCTCCCCCTTGCCCGCACCCCACAACAGGCCCCGGTGTGTGATGTTCCCCTTCCTGTGTCCATGTGTTCTCATTATTCAATTCCCACCTATGAGTGAGAACATGCGGTGTTTGGTTTTTTGTCCTTGGTGATAGTTTGCTGAGAATGATGGTTTCCAGCTTCATCCATGTCCCTACAAAGGACATGGACTCATCATTTTTTATGGCTGCATAGTATTCCATGGTGTATATATGCCACATTTTCTTAATCCAGTCTATCATTGTTGGACATTTGGGTTGGATCCAAGTCTTTGCTATTGTGAATAGTGCTGCAATAAACATACGTGTGCATGTGTCTTTATAGCAGCATGATTTATAATCCTTTGGGTATATACCCAGTAATGGGATGGCTGGGTCAAATGGTATTTCTAGTTCTAGATCCTTCAGGAATTGCCACACTGACTTCCACAATGGTTGAACTAGTTTACAGTTCCACCAACAGTGTAAAAGTGTTCCTATTTCTCCACATCCTCTCCAGTACCTGTTGTTCCCTGACTTTTTAATGATCACCATTCTAACTGGTGTGAGATGGTATCTCATTGTGGTTTTGATTTGCATTTCTCTGATGGCCAGTGATGATGAGCATTTTTTCATGTGTCTGTTGGCTGCATAGATGTCTTCTTTTGAGAAGTGTCTGTGCATATCCTTCGCCCAGTTTTTGATGGGGTTGTTTTTTTCTTGTAAATCTGTTTGAGTTCATTGTAGATTCTGGATATTAGCCCTTTGTCAGATGAGTAGATTGCAAAAATTTTCTCCCATTCTGTAGGTTTCCTGTTCACTCTGATGGTAGTTTCTTTTGCTGTGCAGAAGCTCTTTAGTTTAATTAGATCCCATTTGTCAATTTTTCCTTTTGTTGCCATTGCTTTTAGTGTTTTAGACATGAAGTCCTTGCCCATGCCTATGTCCTGAATGGTATTGCCTATGTTTTCTTCTAGGGTTTTTATGGTTTTAGGGCTAACATGTTAATCTTTAATCCATCTTGAATTAATTTTTGTATAAGGTGTAAGGAAGGAATCCAGTTTCAGCTTTCTACATATGGCTAGCCAGTTTTCCCAGCACCATTTATTAAATAGGGAATCCTTTCCCCAGTTTTTGTTTTTGTCAGGTTTGTCAAAGATCAGATAGTTGTAGATATGCGGCATTATTTCTGAGGGCTCTGTTCTGCTCCATTGGTCTGTATCTCTGTTTTGGTACCAGTACCATGCTGTTTTGGTTACTGTAGCCTTGTAGTATAGTTTGAAGTCAGGTAGCGTGATGCCTCCAGCTTTGTTCTTTTGGCTTAGGATTGACTTGGCAATGCAGGCTCTTTTTTGGTTCCATATGAACTTTAAAGTAGTTTTTTTCCAATTCTGTGAAGAAAGTCATTGGTAGCTTGATGGGGATGGCATTGAATCTATAAATTATCTTGGGTAGTATGGCCATTTTCATGATATTGATTCTTCCTACCCATGAGCATGGAATGTTCTTCCATTTGTTTGTGTCCTCTTTTATTTCGTTGAGCAGTGGTTTGTAGTTCTCCTTGAAGAGGTCCTTCACGTCCCTTGTAAGTTGGATTCCTAGGTATTTTATTCTCTTTGAAGCAATTGTGAATGGGAGTCACTCATGATTTGCCTCTCTGTTTGTCTGTTATTAGTGTATAAGAATGCTCGTGATTTTTGCACATTGATTTTGTATCCTGAGACTTTGCTGAAGTTGCTTATCAGCTTAAGGAGATTTTGGGCTGAGACAATAGGGTTTTCTAAATATACAATCATGTCATCTGCAAACAGGGACAATTTGACTTCCTCTTTTCCTAATTGAATATCCTTTATTTCCTTCTCCTGCCTGATTGCCCTGGCCAGAACTTCCAACACTATATTGAATAGGAGTGGTGAGAGAGGGCATCCCTGTCTTGTGCCAGCTTTCAAAGGGAATGCTTCCAGTTTTTGCCCATTCAGTGTGATATTGGCTGTGGGTTTGTCATAAATAGCTCTTATTATTTTGAGATACGTCCCATCAATACCTAATTTATTGAGAGTTTTTAGCATGAAGGTTGTTGAATTTTGTCAAAGGCCTTTTCTGCATCTATTGAGATAATCATGTGGTTTTTGTCATTGGTTCTGTTTATATGCTGTATTATGTTTATTGATTTGCATATGTTGAACCAGCCTTGCATCCCAGGGATGAAGCCCACTTGATCATGTTGGAAAATTTTCTTTTTTTAATTGAGACAGAGTCTTGCTCTATTGGCCGGGCTGGAGTGCAGTGGCACGATCTTGACTTGCTGCAACCTCTGCCTCCTGGGTTCATGCAATTCTTGTGACTCAGCCTCCCGAGTAACTGGGATTACAGGCTGGTGCTACCAAATGTGGCTAATTTTTGTATTTTTAGTAGAGATGGGTTTTTGCCATGTTGGCCAGGTTGGTGTCAAACTCCTGGCCTCAATGATCCACCCCCCTTTGGCCTCCCACATTGCTGGGATTATAGGCGTGAACTACCATGCCCAGCCTAGTTCCTGATTTTTTAATGTTATTCAGCACAACATTATTCTGCTGCTTCCTGGGATTCATGTGCTGAAAGTCATTTAAAACCAAATGCATATGGATTCAAGCAGAATGATGCCGTGCTGCTGAGAATCTGTGAGACACTAATATGTTGTAAGGTTACTGCCTTATGAGAGACTTGGGTATTTGACAAACTTTGTGGGTTACTGAAAGGGTACTTCTTATAAGAGTCATCAGTAATTGAGAAATGCTAGCACATAAATGCAATCAACAGATGAGAACAATCCTCTCTGTCTGAGCCTTCCATTTACTTAATGCTGCAGCAATGAGTGTTTTGAGCAGGGATATTGTGGGCTTGCCTTATATGTCATGGTCACGTTAAACTCTACTTATTGACGAGATCCAGTTTGACATTTATAGTAGCTGAAGAGAAACCAAGAAGGCTTACAAGTCAAGAAATTAAAGCAGCAGCTTCTAATGTAAAAGAAGTCTCAACAATAGAATATGCAATATATAGAGAGTTTATATGTATTAGGGTAGATTACAATGCTGTAATTAAAAGATGCAAAAATGTATAATAAAAATGAAGAGCAGCCTGAGGATATGGGCTGTGGAAAAGTTAACTTCAGACGATGGGAGAAGGAGAAGTTCATGACCACAACAAACCAAGTAGGATGGAAGAAAAAGATTCCTATTCTAAGAAAGGCATGATAGACTAGAATCTCAAGAACAAATAATAATTGTAACATCACTAACATTATTGAGTGCTTATTGCAAGCCAGTCTTTGTTTTGAGTGCTTTAAGCATAGTAAGGAAAAGGTTAATATCGGAAAGGGATAGGTGGAAGGTCCTGTAGACTGTGGACTGAAAGAAGGCTGTTCACTTTGATAGTTGGTGGGTGATTTGGGACTTTTGAGAGAAACGTTTCAACACAGTGGAAGGATTAGAAACTAGGTTTCAAAGGTTTAAGGAAGTAAGGATTAGGAAGGAGGTAGGTGCAGTGAATTCAGGCTAGTCTTCCCAGAGGTTTGTCCGTGGAGAAAGAGAGGTCATGTACCCAGTCGTGCTTTTGCTTAGTGTATGTGACTGTATGTTTGTTTAAAAATTCACAAGGTGAGCATATAATGCTGGTGTCATAAGACATCTTTTCTGAGTCTGAGATTATGATGGGTCACCAACTTCTTTGGTAGGGTAAAATGATGTGATTATGAAAAGGACTGTGTGTGTCCTAGAAGGTGTTCCATCTTAACTAGAGACATTGAGTAAAGAAAGTACCTAGAAATGCAAACTATTTAGATAGAAATCATCCATATGTGTTACCTAAATATAAAAATAACTTCAAAAATTGTTCATTGTTTTTCTATAAGATGGTCATCACCCAATCTTGGTCATATATGCAATCCATCAGGGATTTGTTTTGATAGAGACTTTGGTTTCCATGTACAGTGGTTTATAAGAAAAACACATGTGGAAAATTCTATGAAGGTGACCTGCATCTATCTGATGATTTGGCCCACATCACTGCTAGGGAGAAATCTCTATGATAGATCCTTGATTTGTAAATTAAAGTCTATTTTATAGACTTTAAAATGTCTTTTCTAGAAAACAGAACTCCATATTTTGGGAGACTCCAAGGTCCCTCACGAGTACTTCAACAATCATGTTTCTGTATCCATTATTTGCAATACACAGATGGGAGCCTCATCCAAATTGTCATTTCTCTTAAAAAAAGAAAAAAGAGTCAGCTTTAAAATCTGTTGTAAGCTACTTGGGTGCCTTTTAGTGGCTTTTTGGAGGAAATCACTCAAAATGCCACTCTTCTCAGTGAGAGCAGTTTCCCAGTTGTGTCACAAAGGGATTATATCTCCATATTTTACTGAACTAGCTCCCTACATAATTAGCTGATAATTTAGAAGTTAAACAGTAAACATGCTACTTTCTGTTCTTTGCAAAGCTACCCTTGATTCATTTTATAACAAGAGCTAGTCTTGCTTAGGAATGTTGTAGGTACTAATTTGCATAACTTCCCAAGAACTTCAGGATGAGCATGTGTTGTAATTCAAATTGGAATCAAATTTAAGTAAGTTTACTTTTGAAATATAGATGTATGTATATATATTTAACCTCCTTCCAAGTTATTTATTTGATAGACTGCATATGCATTTCTTCCTATTAAATAACTTATAAGACATTACTAAGATAAGTGCTATATTATAGCAATGCTAGATGCTTTAACAAACCTTAAAATTTCAGTAGCTTAACACAAGAGTTTTTTATTTTCAGAATTTTCCCACATGAATGTTACTGGTGGACGTGAATTTACTGCTTCTCCGAACTGACAAAAGTTGTGCCAGGCTTCTAGAATGGCAGAATCACTCTGAGTGGTGCCTGTTATCCCCTCCCCACCCACCCATCACCTGGGTCACCTGGAGAAGCTTATAATGGACCAGACCTAGAAGCAGCACGCAACCACTTCTGCTCATATTCTGTCTGCTGGAACTCAGTCACATGGTCACATTCAGTTTCAAGGCAAGCTGCAACATGTAGTCCAACCATATGCCCAGGAAGAAAAGTGGTATTTTGGTGTAGGACCTGTGGCCAAAGTATTAATAAATATTGATTTTTAGAAGGTTTTAATAGGCCATTGCTTTGTAACAGAATATCACACAAAAACATGTTCTTTCTTTATAATTTATGTGCATTCCTCTCTAATCCGTTAGTATTACAGCATTATTTAAAAAATTTGACACATTATAGTTGTTCGTATTTATGGGGGTACAATGTGATGTTTTCGTACATATATGCTGTATAATCATCCAATCAGGGTATTTAGCATGACCATCACTTCATGCATTTATCATTTCTTGGTGGTGGGGACATCCAAAAGCCTCTCTTTAGCATTATTTTTGTATAATAATCTGGGGAGGAGGGAGATTCACGGCTAGAGGGGATTTGACTGGGGATCATAGTCAAACTCTATTTGAGATCTATGGCTGTACTTATAGACTTACCTGAAACTGACTGCTGGGAAGCATACCTGAGGACTCTGCCTCTGCTGAAGGTGTCACTTGCTATTCCTAGTAAGTATCTACTCTCATGACAGAGAAATAACCTTGCTGCTGAAATGTTTACATTAGCTGAGATGGCAAGAGTTGTTCTGTGTAAGCCAAAGAGTGCAGTGTTAATGGTGTGTCTTGCTATGGCGATTTAGGTTTGATTGTATTGCAGAATAGCCAAATTTGTGTTTTGCAAAAATCAAGATCCTTTCTGAAGACTTGCTTGTTCCTTAGATGCTAGTGTGGAAATCTACTTGTAAAAGGCCATACATTTCTGAGACAGAACAAATATCTTACTGGAATTGTAACCTTATTTGATAGAAATTTGTATCTTTTACTTAGTAAAGTCATAATTAATATTTCTGTTGGTATTAGTAAATACCTGGAAATAATTTTTGTCATAATAAATGCTTGTCACCAGAAGTAAATGAAAGCAGCAAATTGATTATTTACTGTCAAAATCTTTGACATTTTTGTGTGTCAGTGACTCATTTTTCCCTTTCACTTCCATATTAACTGACATAGAAAAAGCTTTAATTTATTCTCTCACTACAATTTAGGCAGGATTGAGAAATAGATAATAGTTATAATTATTCACAGGTGAGTACTCTTCCATTATTTCATCAAGGTCAATGTTCACATAAGTTAAACTAAATCTCAAGTTTTGGGGAGCATATTTCCAGTCTATTTCCCTCTTTTCTTGTAAGGAATTATGTTGAATGACTTTCACATAATTGTTGTCTTTTTTTCCTCTCTCTCAGTTCAAATAGTATATATCACATTGTATTTCATATACTCAAAAATACTTTAATATTATATAATATTGCAATATTATCAACATTAATATAAATATGCAGTAGTATCAACAAGTATCTTTAGCTATGATGGGGATTGGAAGTGGGAAAGTATACTTAAAAGGAAAAAAGGAAACATTTTAAGTAATTATTTTGAAGTTAATTGATTTAATGACACTATAACAAAAGTCTAGAATGTTTTATATCCCTATTCTCCTTCAGGAAGAACTATACATGTTTTTCACAATAAATTTACAGAAAATGTTTATCTTTGTGGTTGTATTCTTTCATGGTAATCTTCAAAATATCCTCATCAACCACTGTGCTTTTTCCATACGGTCTGTCTTATATGGGATAGGCAAGTTCTATCTACAAATTAAAACAACTTTCTTGTTATAAATATGCTTCTTATTTCAGTACGATCAACAAAATGTTTAGGAGCACAAACAAATTCATTAATTATCTTTTGTATCCAGGGCAAAATATAGCAGGCAAATTGAAAAATGAATTGTTTATTTTTGGAGGGACTGGGAATAAAGAACAATGAAACTTCCAAATAAAAGTAGTTGGACCTTTTTGCTGTGGATTTGAAAATAAGTCCAGAAGGCTGAGCTTAATATAACATGTGGCAGGTGGCCTGCGTTTGCCTGGAGAATTCCTTTAGGGCAAGACAGCTCAGCAAACACATAAATCCTTTTTTCTCTGTTATCTAGTAGCACATTTAGTTGCCATGGGGATTTTATTTATGCAGCAGATCCTCTGCAGTTCAGTTTGTGCCTAAAGTTTAACCATACAGCTGTTACCATAAATGCTACATGGCAATATTTTCCAAACACAGACCCTAGAACAAAAAGAACATTTTTTTTCCAGCACTGATTTTGCTTTTTATGTTCTGAAACATCTTAGTAAAGTATTACTATATACCAGCAAAACTTCACAAGTTTTCAGGCAAGCAGTTGGTATCATGTAATGTTACTTAAAGTGTTCAATTGCAAATAAATTACATGAAAATGTAGCAAATTTATTTTAGGTTAGGACAAAATTTTGCAAGCTTAAATGAGTAGCTTTTTAGTACTCTCTATTTTTAAGAGGATTTGTTTTTTTTCCACTGCCGTTATTTCTTAAAGGAGTTTAGATCAAATGATACGTAAGACAGAAATGCTTGCCAATCCACAACTTCTCCCTTTCACAGCTCTTTTAATATTTTTTCCCACTATTTTTAGTGGAGGAGGGAGGAAAACAAGATAGGAAAACGGTGCTTGCTGTTGCAACAATCAAGGGACATGTAAGTTTCTCCAGCTCAGGGCTAGGTCCTGATTTGGAATGAATTGCTTTTGTTTAGTCTTGATTTGTACTACACCAGATAAGTCACCAATATGTCTCCTTTGTGTGAAGCAGCATGGATTGGTCAATGAAAAGGGGAACTGGTGCTTTTAGATGGAGTGCATAAAATTACCTCACACCATCTGTGTCACCGTGCACCAGGAAAATGATGAAAGGAAAACTTGAAATCCAGGTAAAGTTGCTCCCTTAGAAGGAAAGTAAGGCATTCAGAATCAAGATCTATTGTTCACGCCCTACTCCCGCATTACATTTCTGGTAGGTGATGTTGACTGTTTCAGAGAACTATAGAGATGTCATCCTTACGGATGGTTCTGCTCTAGTTAGAGGGTCAATAGATAAAATTTGAAATGATAAACTAAATGAAGACCTTCTGTTTAATGCCATATATTCTTGGCAGTAACCAAGCCATTTAACATTAAAACTGCATTGCTATAGTAGCAGTCATTAAAGATCATCTCTGCTAGGAGCATATACTTTCAGATACTTTGTTTTTTTTTTGAGACAGAGCCTTGCTCTGTCACCCAGGTTGGGTTCAAGTGATTCTCCCTGTCTCAGCCTCCCGACTAGCTGGGATTATAGGCACCCGCCACCAGGCTGGGCTAATTTTTGTATTTTTAGTAGAGATGGGGTTTCACCATCTTGACCAGGCTGGTCTTGACCTCCTGACCTCATGATCCACTCACCTTGGCCTCCCAAAGTGCTGGGATTACAGGCATGAGCCATGGCGCCTGGCCCATACTTTTTATTTCTATCAGAAATGGCCACATAAATCTGAAAATGAACTTTGATACGATTACCGGAACCAACTAGAGATTTTAAATGACAGCTATTGCCAACTTTTGCTTACAAGATGGATACTCTGGCATTGAGGGCACTACATCTGCTATGAGAGGTGACCATAGTCTGTTCTCATTCACTGCAAATGCTTAGCCAGTGTGTCATATCACTTCTTAAGTGGTATTAGACAACAAACATACATGCTTCCTTACACCCATCCAACCAACAGCGATGTTCAAGTGTTCAGTTTTCATTGTGATTTATTGAGAAAGGGCAGCAATATAACTGACTCATAATGACACGCTACTCAAAGTTTGGTCCATGGGCTAATAGCATTGGCATTTCCTGGGAGCTTATTAGAAATGTATAATCTCAGCTCTCCTCCTTCTCAAGAGATACTGAATAAGAATCTGCATTTTGACAAGATGCCCGGATGATTCCTATATCCATTGAATTTGAGAAGCATTGGTTTTTTTAAGGCTATGAGCCTCAAAATTAGAGAGAAAACTACACTAAAGGGGAAGGAGAAGTATGAGTTTATCAGCTATTTTAGGACCTGCTAGTAGCAGGACGCCTTAGCACTATTTTCATTCTTCTTTTGTATTTTTAATTCACATGCGCAAACTCTAGTTCGTAATGGGTCTGTCTTCCATCATTTATCCCTCCTGTTCGGTGATAATTACTGCCAAAATTATCTTTCAGAAATATAGTTCCAGTAGCCACTACATTACTCAGAATGTTTGAATCCCTCTTCCTTTGTCTATTGGCTCAATCTCCCTTTTTGACCTCTTAACAGTCAGTCTTATGCACACTGACCCAAAATCAAGTCTGTCTTATGCACACTGACCCAAAATCATACCAAGTGACTCATCATGCCCTGAGCACATTGTATTCTTTTACAACTTCATGGCCTTGCGATGCTACTTCCTCTTCTGGGAATATCCTTTTATTTTTCACCTGATGACTTTTATTCATACTTGACGAACCAGTTCCTACGTCTTTGAGATAAAACATCCATTTGTAGGCAGACAGAATGAGTTGCCCTCTCCATGGGTTATCTGTAGCATTTAGGCCAACCTCTCACATGGCACTCATGACACTATATTTTGTTTATTTATTTAGGAGTCTGACTCCCCCACTAGACTGATTGCTCCTTGAAGGCATGACTCTTGTTCACTTTACCTGTATAATCCCAGCACCTGGGAAAGTAGTTAGCCTATAGCAGGTGCTTATTGTTTGTTAAATGAATGAGTGCCAGATTGTTTAAAAGGACACCTTTTTAGCAATCAGAACTGCTAGTGAATGGAGACTTCAGAGTAAATCAGTCTCTGTCTCTCTGACATAACTTTTTAAAAAGAAAAATATTGTTCTCTTCTGAGAGAATCATGTCAGATATCCTGGAAATAGAAAGTATAATTGAAAGACACAGAAAGTAGGGTATGAAAAACAAAGTGCCTGAACTGAGAAATTACTGAAGCTTAAATGTTCAATTGGAGAGAAGCTGGTACACCTGAGAAAACTCAGGTGAATTAAAAAATGTATTTCTAAGGATTTGATTATACCTCACGTGGAAATTGTATCTCACTTATTACTGGCAGAGGATCTGATACTCAGATGACAGAAGTTTATCTTTGAAACAACACATAACTTTCCATGAGTACCCTAAAACAGTGTATTTTACTTACAGTGTATTTTCATGTGTACCAATGAAATTACTGTGTTAATGTATCACTGTTAAAATAGAAGAAAAATGAGCACGTTGGATTTTTCTTCAACTGCAAATGGTAGTAGTTTGTATCCAGCTATGATTATTTTCTGTTGGTGTAGATGTTCACTTAGAAACAGCACTGGGCTGTAAAGGGATGCCTTTCTGATTCTGGAGCAGACATGCTCTTGTACATTTACACCCTGTTTGTCTTATCCCTACTGCTGTAGGTTGAATGAATTGTGGAATTTCTAAGTTGTGCTGTGGAAGTGTGAAATGAAAGTTTTGGTATTTCTTCAGTAAAAGTGGGAAATTGGAACTATATAACCATCACCTTTCTCCAGAAGAGGGAAACTTTAGATGGACTTATCAAATCTAATTTGAATAACTAGCAAAAATAAGGCTGGCAATGTCAGGGTTCAGACATTGCCACATAAATCGATGACATTTCAAATTATTCAACTCAAAAACCACTTATTTTTAATTGATTGATATTTTGCCAAACAAAGATCACTAAAATGACTTTGGGGTTTGGTTCTGCTAATACTATTATCAGTGATGTTGAGCAAGTGTTTTAAGGAACCTGTGATCCTTACAGTTCCCACCTTCATGTTGTGATACTCAGGTTCAAACGATCTCAAACTTATTTTTTTACTTCATGCCAGGAAGGGGGCTCAAATGTTTAATTGCCTACAGGTTTCACTCTTAACACAAAGCTTGGTAGGTCTCAAATATCCTACACCTTATAAGAAGACTGAGATGGTTAAGGGGTCAGCAGGAGAAACAGAGACTGAGGGAAAGAAGAAAGAAAATAAAACTTAAGGGGCTACTTTGAGAAAAGTTTTCTTGAAGAAGTCGGTAAGAGATCAACTACAGATTTTTATTGTGGACGTTTTGATTATAAGATCACTAGAATAAAAAGGTTTTCAGTTAAGTCGAAAATAAAACAAAACAACACTTTTAGTCATGAGTGCTTTAGGAGTATTATTTATTTTTAAGGAAATATTTATTAAAAACCTGGGAAATACTGGCCGGACTGTCATTGCTGCACACAACAAAGATATACCTTTTAAACAACATTTTATTTTATTTAGATAAATTAAATAAATTTAGATAATTAAATAATAGTATTTTATGTAGAAGATAAAGAACTATCAGAATTAGTACTGTAAATGGTCCATGATAATGTGCTTCAGCAGTTACTTTAGATTATCATGTTTAGATCATCACGGGAGACATTTGGGGTGTAAATTGGAGTTATGGGGATTTGGGGGACCTACTAGAGACAAAGTGGGGAGCCACTTACCTGCCATTAATAGGGACCAAGGGAGATGCCACAAGAGCACCGTGTCAGGGATTTTGTGGATATTGTTCATTACTTGACTAGGAGTTGGGGTGCTGGTAACACAGGATAATTATTTCAGCTGTCCCATCCTTTCAGTGTTTTATATGCCACCTGGTCCAGGCATGGTGATTAATAAGCATTGCTGAAGTGGGTGGGGGCAGGGAGAAGGAGCAACAACTCAAAACCAAAAGAAGCAGTGGAGAGGGAGGCAGAAGAAACCACTATCTGCCTAGGCCTCTGTAGCAGATAGTCGGGAGGAGAAGCAGAGTTATATGTAATTTCCTGATAATATGTAGGCCCCAAGAAAAAGAAAAACCAAGTAATGCTGGGGAAATAATGGTAAGCTTAAAAACAGATAAGGTAAACACCAAACTAAAGGAGAGAGATTAACAGGTAAGTATATTCAGCTGTTGAGTTTCTTTTTTGGCAGCCTTAAAATCAATTAGTGTCAATGAGTTGAATTCCATAGGCTGGCAGTGTTTTCTGTGAAGTTTTTTCTTTCTTTCTTTCTTTTTTTTTTTTTTTTTTGAGACAAGGTCTCACTCTGTCCCTGAGACTGGAGTGCAGTGGTGGGATCATAGCTCACTGCAATCTCCACTTCTGGGCTCAGGTTGTTCTCGTGCCTCAGCCTCCTGAGTAGCTGGGCCTATAGGTGCTTGCCACCATGCCTGGCTTATTTTTTTGTAGAGACAGGGTCTTGCCATGTTGCCCTGGCTGGTCTTGAATTCCTGGGCTCAAGAGATCCATCTGCCTCGGCCTACCAAAGTGCTAAGATTACAGGTGTGAGCCACTGTGCCCAGCCTCTATGAAGTTTTATAGAGGAAAGATTGTGTACATTTCTTTGGGAAACTAGACTGCTTTTTTAAACCATTATCCCCCCAATAACATCAGAGTAGATGCTTGGAGTGAAAAGATTTTCTTCTGGTACATGGGATGAGAAAGGGTGAGTTGTCTTTTCCTCTGCATTGTAGAGGCAGCGTAGCATAACAGGTAAGGGAAGGCAGAGACTCGGAAGCCGGACCACTTATATCCAAATTGTGACTGTCTTTAGTTAGCAAGTTACACCATCACTCTGTGTCTTTGTTTCCTCCTCTGTAAAATGAGGATAATGCTACTGCTCTCTAAAGGGTTGTAAGGATTAAATTCAATATCATGTAGAGCAGATATCACATTAGAACAATATTTGGCATGTCAGTACTAGATATTTTTATTGCTAAGAAATAAGGACTGAAAGAGGCATGTTAATGGATAAGAAATATAGAGAAACATGAGATTGATACATGTATCCTCAACAAAAATGAAAGCTATCTGAAGACTAATGTTGGGAGAAAACCTTAACTCAGGAGAGGAAATAGATGAGAATATTTCAAAGCAGAATATTTAAATAAGAGGGCAAGACACTGTCTTTTAAGCAGACTTTATAATTGAGTATAAAATAAGAAAGATGTTTAAACATAGTGATCAATTTTGGAAAGGAAAAGGTGTTACAAGAAGAAAAGGGCAATGATAAATTGCATAATATAAAGAAGTGAAGGTACCATTAGCTTTTAGGATTCATGGCAAGGAAGATGCCTTAGGAAGCTATTAGGAGGCATTCAAAGTACATTTGGAATAGATGTAGTTCAAGAGCCTGGAGAACTACCTATAGGAAAACATTGACAGGATGATAGGAAAGAAGAAAGTACTTAAAGGATGGAGAAAAAGAAATATGTGTTCTTTTTCCCACTAAAATATATTAGCTGCTTGAGTGCAGGGACTTTTATCTTCTTCTTTGACTTCTCAGTGCCCAGACTTTTGCTTGGCATGTAATGGGTGCATTACATTATTTAATGAATTCATGAATGAAGGAAATTAATGGATTAATGAAGGAATTAAGTTTATTAATAATTTTTATAAGCACTAGAAGGAAGTAGGTCATATATGAGATATGATTTAACTCTGAAGTGTAACGGAATTTATTTATGGGCAATAGAAAAGAGTGAAATTTATCTTCAGGGTACAGAATTAGAAAATCCAGGAGTCGAGGAAATGATGGGAGATATTTTCTCAGAATTACTCAGATAAAATTATGGAACAAAAAATGAGATTTTTTTTTCCTGACAATTCAGTTCAGGTGTTAAGGATATAGAGGCAACAGTGGCTGATAGAAGTGTGATCAATCTGTGAGCAAAGGCAGAGTATTTGCATGAGGACGTTACTCACCTCTGAACTTTATCGAGAACTGATGATTCCATAGAAATCCTTTTAAGAAGTTCCCGATGTGTTTTTCTTTAAATGAGAATGGACAAAAGCCTGTGAAACATGGCTCAGCTGCTTCCTGTTTCATATATGAAAGGCCCTGGACATGGTCAAACCCAGGGTATAAAATATTTGTGGGACTATTATGGGAACAACTAGAAGTAGGAGTTAGAAGAAAGAAACAAAAATCTTTAAACCATACATGTTAGGAAAGAGGATCAAACTTATTACTTACTTAAAAATAGTAATGTTTTAGATAGACTAGTTACTTTTCATAAAGAAAACATGTTAAATAGCATAAAGGAATTTTTAAGGTAATATTAATACAGATTATTTCCAATTTGGGTAATATGCTTTATAAGGGCTTTGAACACAAATGGCAGTTGATGTTTCTAGTGAATTAGGAAAAGGTAAAGGTCACAAGAAGAGCCGCCATTTAGCCTTCAGCTGTGTGAATGGGCCATAGATACCTCACGAGAAATTAACTGGCAACTTTAAGAGCCCCATAGCATGCTAGTTTTCAAACTGCAGTCCTCTCTACTGGTGGTGCATTGTTCAGTTTTAAAAATTAATCGACTTTTCAGTTTTATATTTTTCCTAATAGCTTTTCTTTTCTTTGATATCAACCACTACTTATCTACTTGCAAGTGGCAATAGAGGACAGAAAGACTAAACAGTAAGTGGTAAACTGCATGCATTCTTTCATTCAGTTGATAGATGGTGTCTACTGCCTGCTGGACAGGCTACCACAGAACAAAATGGATGCCGTTCCTGTGTTCTAAACTTAGTGTAGCAGAGGTCTTACAGCTTTCTTGCACTGGGAAATTTCCTAGAAATGTTGAAAATGTAGATCCCCAGATATTACTCTGAGATGGTTTCTGTTAGCTGTGTGTGCAGGGCTGGGGATGGGAGATTGTGGAGGTGCCTAATCCAGGCGGGTGGGTGGGGAGAGCTGACCACAGAAGGATTTCCCAGAGCAAGAGGCATGAACATGGAGAAGTGATGGATGGGAAGGGCTTGGCCAGGATGAAAGGGTTTGGATGGTGTAAGGTAATGAAGAGAGGGTGGCAGACTGTTCTAGACAGAGGGAGAACAAGTGGAAAGACTGTGGCAGCTCATGCCCTTGTTCTACTTGGTAGGTTCCTCTGTCACTTAATATTGTAACAAGCATGTACAGAACACCTCCTGCAAGCCAGACTCCACTTACCACTCATGTTGAGATTTGTTCCCAACCTCAGAGAAGTTCGTGGTTGGGCACATATACCTAAACATGTGGCTTAAGTGATTTAAAATAGTGAAATGCTTGTTGATTACAAAAATACATGTAACACATGTAAGCTGTAAGAAATAAAATATATATCTCTCACTTCACCGCTCAATTTAAAAAACTAGAACTGTAGTAGTATTATTGAAGCTACCTGAATTTCCTAATTCCATCTCCACTGCCCTGGCTCTCCAACTGAGAGATCTTGATTTTTTTCATTTATTGTTCCCTGCTTTTGAAAAAAAAAAACTCTAAATAAATGTTTTGGGGCATATTCTTTGGGACTTCCTTTATACACATTACATCCTCTGTAAATGGCAGTTTGGTTTTTGCCACCGTTGTCTTGTTTCTGATTTTAAATGAGATTTTTCTGATATTCAGCCACCAAGCTTTGCTGTAGTTTTTTCATGGACATTTCTTATCTAGTGAAGGACCTCCCTTTTTTGAGTATGCTATGAAGTGTTTGGTTTTTTAATTATGAGTTTGTGTAGAATTTGGCCAGATGATTTTTCTGCATATATTGAGAATATGTCCTTATTTTACCTTTAATCTTTTGATGTGGTAAATTACACTTAATGATGTTTGTAGTGTTGCATTTCCGGCATAAAACCAACTTGGCCACGCTGTGTCTCTTGTGTTAGTTTGGGCTGTGTCTCTACTTGTGTTACTTTGGGCTTCTTCCTCCAAACAAGCCATGCTGCAAAAAGGATAATAGTTTATCCCTGCTCCCTTATAGAAGGAGGTTCAGATCCTGCATTTTACGGACTTGGGTCTTACTGTCCTAGAAAGCTGGCAGGTACTGAGCACAAAAGCAAACATTGAGAAGTTAGAAAGTTTCTGGAGTTCTCATTGTATTGGTTTCTAGTTCTTTACTCTTTTTAGAGGAGAAAATAGATAATCCCATGGCTTTGGAGGATGTGACTCACCTTCCTGAATCCTTACTCTGTGAATAAACACTCTTCTGAATTCAGTAAAATACATTTCCCTTTCCTCCCTTCATGATAGATCCACTTGATACAAAATCTCAAAAGAATAAATAGGCAATTTGCATCACTAAGACTTATTAAGGGAGGCATAGATTTATAAATTTCTTCCTGGACAAGGAAATATTTGGCCTCGACTTGTGTTCACTCAGTAATTATGATGGGATTCTACCCTTGTTAATAATAGAGAAATGGTAAAATTTTATTTTCTTTCAATTCTCTGAGAAATGTACAAAGCTGTCACAGCTTAATGTCAGCCATAAAAATTCTGGAGTAATTAAAATGCAAAAAAGCTGTAAAAATTAGTGAACCTCACTTAAATCCCAGTGGTACTGTTTTTGGTGGAAGGTTTAGGACATCTAAAACAATGGAAGAACGAATAAAAGCAAAGACAAAACAGATAATAAGTAATCAAATTGGTTTATGTACTTTAAAAAATGTGTATTGCATCTGTCTACCAATAAATGTATGTAGGATCTGTGTGGAAAAATATTTTTTTCTCAATCAACAATATAAGTTAAACTACATTGGAGGAAACTGGAAGAGATTTTTCTGTTCTTATATACCAGAAATTTGTTATCTTAAATATTGTTTGAAATAGGGTGTTATGAATGAGTTAGAAGCATGTGTTGTATAAAGATACCAATTTTATGACTAAAATACTATTCGAACAGAATAAGATACTTCAAAGAAAATTATGTGAAATTATGACTTTTGTGCTATATTTTTATAAAAGTAGTGAGTGGCTGGACTAATATTTACCTGTTTAAAAAACTTCATTGTATTCCATACCCAGTGAGTGGTAGATGAGTTTTTGATCACTGTATTTCCACAGCTAAATGGTGCCGAGCCAGTATTGTATACTCAATACATATTTGAAATGAACCAATGAATGAATGAATTGAATACATTGTGTTGCTTCTCACAGATGTGTTTATGAGGTAATGTTACCTTGTCTCTGGTGTTACTTTTACACATAATGCCCTTTCCAACCAGAGAAGTAGGTGATACTTACATCTTAGACAAAGTATCGTATCAGAAATGGCTTCATGAGTGTTTTCATCAAAACTGGAAAATGGTTAGCCATCATCCTCCATATGCTCTTTTCATATACTGACAATCTCTTTTTGTCACTTTTGACCTCATTCCAACTAATTTCAGTCCCATTACGAATTTTCCACAGGATTTTTTTCCAGGTTTTTGTAACCTGGAGAAAAGCCCCACAGCAGAAACCAGGGGCCAAGATTTCCAGTCTCTCTTCTGCAGAGGACTCCCTGGATGTGGTGGTGGAAAAGTTACTGCAGCTCTGGGCTCCACTCACTGATTGAAACAAATAATCTGTAGCGTGCTTCTCATTTTAGAATTCTGTGAGTCTAAGAGTAAGAAATTTATTAATGTATCTCTTTTCTAACAAATAATGAAAATAGGGCATTAAGGGAAAGAGAGAAATAACTATGGGGTTTATCAACCATTGTCAGTGTATGAAAAAGCCATCTGGACAATGATAGCTAAGCACTTTCAGAGACTTCTCTAACACATGTGAATATTGATAGCATATCCAAAAACTGCGGTGGTTTTCTGAATTAAAGAAGCTCCATTTTCATCACTGGTTGAAGGTGCCTGTTCCTCATAAGTAGATCTTTTTTGTCATTTTTATACTCACTGAAACATTAAAGCGTGCTATTAAGTTTATGTGCTTGTAAAGAAATGTCTGTTATTGAAAAATTCCTGTGTCAGTTGCCAAGGATAGTTTGTATCTTCCACACATTTTAGTCTATTTGGTTGTTCCCAATTGTAGTAGTTTTAGAATCCAACACAGTTATGGCAGTAGTGAATAACTAGTACATTTTGGGCAGAGCAAGCACATTCATAATAGGAGATGTAGAAGTGAGTATGTATAAAGGATCCCATGTTCAGAGGTAGAAGATTTTATCTTTAAAAAGTAAAGATATTAGTTACTTTGTTTGCTATAATAATATATGAATGACTAGCTTGGCAAAAAGAGAATTTGCGATAATTTTCAAAGATATTTTAAAGATTTGACTGGGTGTTTTTAACTCCTTGAACTGAGATCAATATATTTTACTCACAGTTTCATGATTAAGCAACAGATCATACCATCTGTGTTTAGCATGGCTCCCTAATAGTGTGTAACATGTAGTTTTGTCACTTTTAATTTAGGATGTTATTTTTTCCCTAAATGACAGAAGTGCTACTGTTTGCTAAGCAGTCTGTATGTGTTAACGTTTTTTCTGGTATAGCAATTATAACTGATAAGGTATCCATAATTCATTTAATGCAGTTTCTTAAATGGCCAATTCCTTCTTTATGCGTACGGCAGACCATAATGGAGGATTTGTTTTACTTCTGTTTAATGGAAATAATTTCCTTTTCAGTTGACTGTCCTCTTAAATCTCCTTAAAAATAAGTTACTCTCCCCCCTTATTTAGTCTCATTTGTAGACTTAGACCCACTGTCTCAGCAGTAATGGAACTATCCTTAGAGCCAGGCAGAATTTGCCAACACAAGTGAAGATGTTGAGAAAGCGAATGAAGGTGAAGAGGAATAGTCTTTGAATTGCAAGATTATTTTTCCTTTCCCTGAATGTGAAATAAATATGTGATTGCATAAATTAAGTAAAATTAAGCATGATTAATCATTGTTATTTCTATGACATCTGAGATTCCTTTGAAATCAATGATACTTTATGGAAATATCACCATTCTAATTTTGTAATCACATTGTATGTTTTGGAATCTTTATGCTGTTTGTGCAAAAAGGGCAAAATAACTTTTATAACAAGTGAATGGGGGAAATGCAATTATTTTCTTATGCTTTTAGGAGGAGCTGGCTTCCTAGTCAATTTAGAAAAAAGTTTCTGAGTTGATGCCATATTTTGCTTATATTGTATTTTTATTCAGGTTCTTCATTTTGTAACAAGCTAAATGCAGAAATAGAACCTCAGTATTAATAAACATCATTCTTCACATCCACTCTTGACACAGCATCTCTCTCTTCCTGAAATTCCTATAGAAGTGTGCATGATGATTTGAAGCTTGTGTTATAAGAAACCTTCAATTTTTCAGCCAGGACAGGCTTTCACTTCCAGAAGGGACAACGGAAGCCTCAGAGATGGGTATTTATTCTACTCTTAAAGATATACAGAGAAGTTTCAAACCATCCATGCTCACCATTCAGCTGGGCTTTATTATCTGGCCCAAGTACCTCTTATGAGAGTTCCCTTGTTGTCCTCTACTTGTCAGTACACATTTGGAGCAAGTCTACATACCAGGTTCTGTGGGAGTTTACAGAGTAAGTAACAAAGACACTTTTTTCCTCAAGGAAAAACTAGTTTTTAGTCTCTCTTGTGTAGTAAAATTTTATATGCTGAAACAGTCATTAGGTCATCTACTTGTAATTAGACCACTTTGTCTTCTGGACAAAATAATCTAAATATTAGCTTTATTCTAGATTTATTGATAATCCTTTAAACATTTGGCTTAAATGACCCCATTTGATATTCTCCAAGTTCTCCAGCTCTCTCTCAAGTTCAGTCCAATTGAGTTACACCCAGCCATGTGTTCATCTGACTTCCACGTGGTTAAGCAGATTTTTATAAATTCTGATTAACAAAACGCCCAGCTGAGGTTACATCCTTTATTTTACATGTACAGTATTTAATATAAGTAATAAATGTTGGGGTTTGTGTATCTGCCTCTCTCCAGATACATTTGTAGAGAGAAACAGCTATTAGTTTATAGTCCCTTTTTTGTCATCTAATAATCCTAGTAATTATAGAAAATACGGCAAACTCATCCTAGCCCTGCTGCTCGTATGTGTGCATGTTTGCGTGTGCATGCCCACACAGAGGAATGTAAGTTAGTCTGCCAATATTTGATAAATGCCTATTATGGGCATGATTAACACAAAATCTCTGGCTTAGTTGGTAAGGAAGGGGTGTTAAAAAGGGCCACAATAAACTGTGTTATGCACTGAGGAGTAAACTGGGAACGTAATCTTTGAGCCGAAGCTTGCAGGATCAATTATACTTTATCTGATAGAGAAAGTGGGACAAGTCATGTGGAGAGCTGGTTCTTTAGGAAAATTATAATTGGTGGCAAATGTCAACTGTGTCTGGAGATGGGGCTGAACAGGTGATTGAGAAGGGCTGTCCTTAGGAGCTGAAACCACAGAGAAGAAAGAGCCATTATTTAAGTGGTTCATGTATTCATTTAAACTGTAAACAATGTAGCAATTGGATTGGAAGCTGGTG
This sequence comes from Homo sapiens, assembly GCF_000001405.40. NCBI lineage: Eukaryota > Metazoa > Chordata > Mammalia > Primates > Hominidae > Homo > Homo sapiens. The sequence goes on from NC_000014.9 coordinate 33,132,110, forward strand.
GGAAAGGGAGTCTGGGAAGCAGATATGGAGGTTACCTTGGTGGTCCAGGTAACTTGCATGAAGACCTTGGATTAGGCAATGGAAGTGGAGATGAAAGGAGGTGTGTGGACTCCAAATGCTTGGTGACTAGTTTAATGTGGGCAATAAAAGAGGCTAAAGTTGAGTGCCTCTGGTTGTTCTAGCTTGGGCTTCTGAGTGCTGAAGAGACAAACTTAGGGAGGCAAGGGTAGTGAGGCAGAGCGAAGGGAATGAGTATCCAGATGATTTTGGATTTTCGAGTTGTCTGTGTACTTGTAGGAAGAGACTAGAAGTCTTATATTTTAAACCATACATACCTGTTCACTTAATGAGAAAATAATGAGACTACAAGTTTGGTCTTGAGCTCAGAAGAGAGGTTAGAGATGGAAATTGAGATTGATGGCTGAAATCATCAAGAGGCACCAAGTGCTGTGGGACTATAAGCACGTAGATGGATCCCTCAGGAGTGAGGGATGGTGAGAAGACGGGAAGTTCAAGTGTGAGGGGAAAGAGCCTTAGAAACCAAGGAAACATGTTCATGAAGGCAAGTACAGTTGATAGTAAATGTCTTGTGCCACAGAAATGGAAAATTGACAAGATGATTGGATACCTTAATTAGGACAATTTGACTGAATCATCAGTGTTCAAAGCCAGATGGTAGTGACTTTAGAAGCAAATTGGGGACAGGGAAATAACTAATATTTACTGATACCTGTTATGCTGCATACATTTTATTAGATACTTCTTGGTTTTCCTGTTTAATTCTCATATGAACCATGTGAAGTGGGTATTTTGCACATAAGAAATTGAGTCTTAAGTGTTTGTCCAAACTGCACAACTAATATCATAGTACCAAAGTTTAATTTCCAGTTATTACTCTTAAATTAATTGGTCTATGACTGTGATTAGATAGGTGGGATTATTATTTGTTAATAAAGTACATATGACTTATGAAAGAAGACTTCTATCTGTATTCTGTCCAGTAGTAACACAAAAATTCCCACTCCAGTGTTACTCATGTTATCATCATATAATTGGTAGCAACATAGCAGTAAGCCAACAAATATATAATAAATTGTATTATAGGCACCAAGAATCAGAATCTCTTATGAAGGCAAGGATATGCACACATACACTACATAAAAACACAAGAGGGGCTTTATCTTAAGGCACATCTGACAGTTATGAAGGGATTTAGGCACTATATGAGACATGAAACTTGATAAATAAAATATTTTATTCAGAAGATATTAGCAAGGCTTTTCCCTTTTTAAATGTACATCACTGAGTCGTTAGGACCGGTCAGAATTTGGCAGCATTCTGTTCATAGTCATAAGTGTGTAAGAAGGCATTGGTTAAGCCAACTACTGTAACTTCCCAACTAAACTCTAATAATTGCTATCTAATGAATGTGTAAGTGCCAGTCAATGACTAATAATAAAATAATTAACAGTCACTGGTAAAATAACATTATGACTGCAATAGTAAATAGTAAGAAAGGGCATTTATACCTATTGTAAACTTGTCCGTAGTTTGTAGAAAAGGTGACAAGGGCTGAGCATTTAATCAGACTATGCAAATAATAGAAAAGTGGAAGCTTTTGTAAGAATGTAGTTTCTATCTTATGTGGCCTTTTTTCCTAGAGGTTTACAAGCTTTAAAGCTGCTTCTTGGTGACATGATATAGTGTCCAAGGAAGGGGAGAAGCCACGGGCATTCCAGATGATTCTAGTCCATCAAAGAAAATTTCTTGGATTGTGGTCCAAAAGCTGTAGAAAACAAGTTGTACATTAGGTGAAGGCATTAGGGATCATTACAGAAATATATAGCAATAACTTCAAATAGAAAAATTAAAGGAATTTGCAACTGAGGGGCTAGCACATGGTAAAGTTCGCTTTCTATAAGAAAATGAGGGGATTCCTCTCTTTTGGAAATTCATTGATAAACTACACTTCTTTTTCTACCTACAAAATGCAAATTGACTGCTATTTGGAATCTGACAAGTGAATTTACACTTACATATCAAATCTTTTAGGAATTTTTGGGTGATTTTCTTCTTGGGAATTTAGGATGGACAGTTGAACTTTTTTTTTTTTCCTTTTTCTTTGATGAGATTCTAGTCATGTTTTAGTTTATATCATAGCAAAGAGGTTTTAAATGACCTCTTTATGAATGCAGTTGCTACTGCTTCCATTCGCATTTCCCTTGATCTCAGCATGGCTTTTGACACTGTCAACGGCGCTATCATTTCAGAGTGCTTGAGGGAATTTTCATCCTTAAACACTCAATTTTACATCAAAATAACACTTGAAAAGCACAGTTTTGTAGGCAAATACTTTATCTAAATGGTTTTTTCACGGATACTGAAAATTCTACTTAGTTAAAACAACAGCATATAGAGGTCTCATTATTTTAATTTAGCTTTGGAGAGATTTTCCATTTTATCCAGCCACCAGGAGCTGTTTTAAAGATGCTTTGCCTGTGGTCTGTTTGGTTTTCCATCAGCATAGGTGGCTTCATGTAAGAGTAGTCACCTCTGCCTACTGAAGTGGGCAACAAGATGGACCCATGAAGCTTTGTTTTGAATTAGAAGTTACTGTTTAGCTGTGGTGTATTGCTGGTATGAAATTAGTGATTTCTGTACCTAATACCCTATTACTGCATTTACCTGTTAGATCTTTATATGGATAATGACATTTTGAAACTTTCTCCTAGTGAATGTGCTTAAAGACTGATTTTTTTTTTCTCATAATATGCTGGTTAAAGGAGAGGCATTCACAGGTATAGTCTGGCTTTCAGCTGTAGGGCACCCCAACTTTTAGTTTCAGTGTTACTTCACAAATAGAGCTCTTACTCCAAGATTATTGGTTATAAAGCTAGTGCCAGCTTTTGTGCTTTCATTGCATATTATGTCTCGCCAATTATTAAGACTTATAAATGTCACTTGAAAAATATAACTATCCTTACTCTTCATGTAATCCTGTCTATTGTGAAAGTCTGAAATTCACTTTTGGTTTCTGGACTCCACAGCTATTTTACTCAGTTGGCTGTATGCCAGCAACCCTTTTCTAAGCAATCCCTGAAGTTATAGGGACAAGTAAAAGTGAGGAGAACTTACTCGTAAATTCGGACAAACCAATGTTGACCTTTCAGCAAATGAAGAGATGATGGTTGTGGTAGCTGGTAAGGTAGGGATTCAGAGTGGATTTCCTGACTTAATGTTGAAATGTGTTTCTTCTTGGCCACTATACTGTTTGGAACTCATCACTACAGGTTTAAATTAGAGAACTATATGTTTTCAGTAATGGGAAAGAAATTTTTATTAAAAATAAGACATTCAATGCATTTTACCATAAAATAGTTTAAGTTTATTAATCATTGCTGTGCAAAAATTGCATATTTCTTTGTCATAAGAGAATTCCAACATTTTATAATAAGTCAAAAAAGCTGAGCAGCTTTTTGCAATTCTGATTATGAAAAGCAATTGTGATTATTTTGGATTTGGGTCATTGATTACAAATATAGCAGTCTGAATTTTTCAGTGGGGGTTAAAAAAAACAATTTCCCTCTTGACTCTTTTGGATTTCTGAAGAAGAAAAAAGGGAAGGAAAAGACCAAAAGAAACAATAAAATACTAGCATTGGAGTGGGTCGGGGTAAATAATTTTAAAATGAATGAGCTCAGCCAGTTCCAGCAGCCAATGCTCCGTTGAAAAGAAATGATTGGTAGTCCATCTCCTTAGATTCTGAACAGAAGTGGAGGACACTTTTTACAGTGAAATAGACCTCATGTAATTGGAATGGATCCAAAATGGTTTTCCACTGGACACAATAGGTTGTCTTATGTAATAAAAGCAGCACAAGTAGACATGGTGTAAGTGGACCTAAAAGCTCTGAGCTGTGGCCATTCATGTGCAATAACTACCTTTTTTCTTTTTTTTTTTTTTTTTTTTGAGACAGAGTCTCGCTCTGTTACTCAGGCTGGAGTGTGGTAGCGCGATCTTGGCTCACTGCAACCTCCGCCTCCCAGGTTTAAGCAATTCTCCTGCCTCAGCCTCCTGAGAACCTGGGACTACAGGCGCACACCACCACGCCCAGCTAATTTTTATATTTTTAGTAGAGACAGGGTTTCACCATGTTGGCCAGGCTGGTCTCAATCTCCTGACCTCGTGATCCGCCCACCTTAGCCTCCCAAAGTGCTGCGATTACAGGTGTGAGCCACTGCGCCTGGCCAAATAAATACCTTTTTAAAATGAAAAGTTCTTCGGTTCTGAAAAAACACAAAACGACAACCATGTCCATGATAACCTTTAACACATTGATAATGCAGGCTATGAGCAGTTCTATATAGTTTTCTGGAATTTAGGACTGCAGTAATAATGACAGTAACTCAGTTTTAATGAGATAAGTGGTAGGATCACCATTTTACAACTGAAGAAACTGAGACCCTGGGGTGGTGAAACTCACCCCAAGTTGTATAGCTAGTCAACAGCAGACCTGAGATTGGAACCAGTGAGCCTTATTTCAAAGTCTGTGCCTTGCAGCTTACTTTCTCCAATTGTCACACAACCTCTTACATCTCAGGCACTTCTTGATGTGGGTACTTGAAAGATTTAGTTTTTAGCTATTGCCTTTGCAATACAACAGCAATGGCCTTTGCATCTGGGATTATATACTTCGTGTATCTGTTACAAAGATGATGGGAGCAATTTACCAATACCGCTTTTTCCTGATCTATGGAAGAAGGCAGTTTTAATTCATTGATTTAACTTTGTTGTAATATGCTCCCGAAGGACCAGGCTTAAATTTATAGAAATTTCACTTTATTTTTCTTCGTGGCCATTGATTAAAATTGAGATGAATGAATATGCCAAAACTTCTTGGCTTTTTCTGTTCTGTTGAAAAATTTAAGAAGTAATGGAAGCCCAGTGTAATCAATGCAAAAAAAGAATAAATTGTTGAATATTATGAAGAATTATTTGCTAGAAGAATGCAAGAGAAAATTCAACTGTATAGATGCTAAAGTAGCACATTATGTATAAAATGTGACTGAAATAAGAAACATAATTGAATTAACATGAGGACATTAAGTGATAAAATGAATGTTTTTAGTGACTAAGGGTGAGTAGTTGGACTATTATAGTGAAAATCTCCATCAAGGCATCTGAGATATTTAAGACTTAAATGTGACTTTGATGTAGCCTCTGGCAACATCTGAGGAGTTTCAAGACAAAACTGAATCATTTACATGGCATCTTATTACTAAATAAGATTGTTTGATTCACCATCAACTAAGATTATTATTATTTTCTTGAAGCAAGCAATCCACCAGGAATTGTAATGTATCTGTTGGATTTTAAAAGGCCATTATAATTGGTACTATTTTAATTGAAGTACAAATTTCAAAGTCAATATATGTGTGAGTACAAATGGGTACATATACACATCAACCAGATTTTTGCTGTTTGTGTCTTCAGCTAATATCAAGATTAGTGGAAATTGTAACAATGAGCAAAGCCTAGTATACGTTACATAAGAATTAAGCCAGGATTTATAATATTTATAATACTGTCAGTAATTTCTGGAGTTAATTTAAATTTAACATCTCAAGAATGGCCCAGTATCTTTGTCGTGTTAGTTGGAAACATGAAAATATATGTGTTTCTAGAGCTATTTGGCTAACATTTATAATATGAATCCCAAGTTTGGGAAATCTGTTAATCTAGATTTAAATATGGAATTCTGTTGTGAAATAGACTAGAGATTCTCAATAGTTTTTGGGGAGAAAGGGAGGTACAACTTTCTGAACAGAATTATCTGGTAGGTGTGGAGGGTTTTTAAAATACAAGCTCTCCTGCTTTTCCCAAAAATGAGGGATGGTGTAACATCTTTCTCATCTTGTGGAGAATTGGACATAATCTATCACTTTTTTTTTTTTTTAATTATACTTTAAGTTTTAGGATACATGTGTACAATGTGCAGGTTAGTTACATATGTATACATTTGCCATGTTGGTGTGCTGAACCCAGTAACTCGTCATTTAACATTAGGTATATCTCCAAATGCTATCCCTCCCCCCTCCCCCCACCTCACAACAGGCCCCGGTGTGTGATGTTCCCCTTCCTGAGTCTATCACTTTCTTGATGGGAGTTTGTAATATCTTCAGGGTTTTGGTAATCAGTGAATAAGACTGACACATTTAAATCATCTTTTACTATAAGTGCCTATCACAGGTCATTAAATATAGTAGTCATACAGTAATTATTACTTGAATACATATAAAGCTATAAGCTAAGCATAAAACTTGTAAAGGATTGGTTTAATTCTTCTTTGAGGTTAGAAAACATACTTGAAAAGATTCATTGGTTCAATGAATTAAGGATGGAAAAAAAGTACATCCATGCCCCAGCATCATGCTCAGTCAACTGTGATTCCATTGTGCTTTCTCTCTGGTCCAGAGAGATACAAAACATCTATGTGTTTATGTATAAATAGAGTCTTCCAACAATTTTTTCCATCAATTCCAAATCTAAGGAAATAAAATGGTGTCTAAGGAAGAGGGAATGAGACAGGGTTCCAGTGATCTCATGTGTGCTGTAAACATAAAATGCTGGAATGAATGTGTGAAAATTTATATGAAATTCTGCAGTTAGACATAAAAACAACGGGGCTTCTTTGAGTGATAGGGTTATATACTTGACATGCAATGGAACCTGACTTCAAGGTACTTGGACAGTATTTTCTTAGAATATATTCTGTCGTGACAAGGAAAGAAAGAGGAAGAACTGGATGCATGATTAAATACTGCTTTATCATTAAAAGTTAGTTCTGGAGGATATACTCCATTTGGTAAGTGGAATATATTCAGTAAAGCTATAGCTGGCAAAAGTTTCTTCATGATAGAGATTTTCTCTTCTCTTGACTTCCTATGGGATTATTATGACTTACTCCCAGTGGTTGGGAACTTAAAATTGGGTGTCTGTCTAGATGAGTAATATTCTGTTTAGTACATCAGAACAGTCTTTTAATTACCTCCAGTGAGGATCACAAATGGCTTGTCAAGCATATAAAATCAGATAAAACTGAGCATCCAACTATAGGATTTTGAGACTGTTCACATGTTACCATCAGTTGCCCTTTCTGCCGCCCAGCTAGCATCTATGTGCACATTGGCTTCCTCCCATTGCACCAAAACCCATACCATTCAATCAGTTTTTCCTGGATTGGGCTTTTTATTCACTACATTGTTACTTCCAAAATTACAAATAGTGGTATAAGAATTAAATGGTTTTCTTCACATTATTAATTTTAACTTGCCAACAGGAGAGGTGGGAATCTTATATCATTGGAGTGTATTGGTGGTTGGGTGAATTGAGAAGATGTGGACGGGGTGGAGGATGTGGTTTCTTAAATTATTTTTAAGCCCTGAGTATGTTGGCATATTAAAGAATTGTATTCCTCAGACTTTCTCCTCCTGACAATTTGTTTCATATTGTGCTTCTGTTCTGAATACAAGCTCCATACAATACTGCACAGTCCAGAATGGTAGCCATTAGCCCTATGTGGCTCTTTAAATTTTAATTAGTAACATGAAATAAAAATATGTTTCCTCAGTTGCACTAGCCTCATTTCAAGTGCTTATTGGCCACATGGGGCTAGTGGCTACTGTAATAAACAGTGCAGATCGTAGAACACTTCCATTATCACAGAAAGTTCTACTGGACAGAACTGATTGAATGTAGTCTCAGATTTCCACGTGCTTTCCCTGTCTACTTCCACTTCTTGGCCTTCCAGTCCTATAATATTCTGCCTGCATGATTTTTTTTTTCAAGAGAAAGAGTTGCTGAATTTAAGGGATTTTCATTTTTTACGCTACTTTGCATGTTGTTTGCTGTCAGTGCTCCTTCTTAATAATTATAGTAGTACTCCCTTATTCTGAATATATATTAAAACATTTTTCGGTAGGCCTATGATGAAGTGTACTTTCACCACTCCTCTTTGGTGGTGTGGTTCAGTACCTTGGTTTTAATTCATAGAAACACCACTGCTGCACAGTAAATTACATTGAAATAAGTGTGGCATATCTTGACATAAATATCCCACGAAAATGAGGAAAAACAAGTTTGACACTCAGGTGGCTAATACATCACTCAGATATTAGGAAATGGATTGCACTCTTGTTGACAGAAAGTAAGGGGATAGAAGATGATTTCAGTAATATGTAAGTAGGGAAAAGAACACAGAAAAAAACAGTCACTATTTTGAGCTCATTTTGCTGTTTTTAGGGGTGAAAATGTAGAACATCAGCAGGTGACCATTGTGTAAGTGGGTTATCCTTTCCCGTTACTCACTGGCCAGTGTGTCTTATTTCTTTCTAGAAGTGTTGGTGTTGGCAGTATTTATCTCTGTTCTTCTGTGAATTCTCTCATTTGCATTGAATGTATTTATTAAATCATGCATGCTTCACCGTGTCATTTCCCTTTCATACTTCAGTTTTGTTTTGCTTTTCCCATCGATGCAGGATTATAATTCTTAGCTCTCAAGTGCATTCAATATTCAATAGAGAAGAATCACTAAAAAATGGTCTTTAAAAAAAGTATCAGAAATTCCTCCTTTTCTTGCTGTAGAACAGCAGAGAAAATAGCAAAAGGTATAGCAAAAGATGAGAAGTGTTATGGGAGGGAGAAGAAAGGTCAAGAAAGCTATCAGGACTGGCTGCATTTGGAAGTGAATGATGGAATTAAGAAAGCCTATTGACTATGGCCAAACATAATGGGGAAATCCTAAAGCTGCTTGGTATCAGTCCATCAATTCAAAAAGCAATCTGTATGTTTGCCTCTTCTTTGCTTTTGGACAAACAATGGCGGAGCATCAGGGCAGCCTCCCAGGAGAAGTAATTTCTCAACAGTTTGTTGTATGTGGGATGCCATCATAGTTTAATCATATTGATACCAAAACTGTACAATGGAATGCATTGTGAGACAGTGATTGGCACCTGCAGTCACTTAGTATTTTGTCAAGAATTTGACATGCCAATGAATTGCGAGAGCAATGTATGCTTGCTTGAAATTGATCATGAAGCACCTCATGTTAAGCATCTTGATGTTTTCGGCTAATGTAGGTCATTGCTGGGCTTTATAGCTTTCACTCCTGCTTCAGTTTTGTTACTAAGGGGGAAATGATGATGGGTGTGAGCTATTGAAAACATTTCACAGCAGACTACTACTTTTTAGAATGGACTCCAAAGTGAATTGGCACGCTGGCCTCCATTTATTTAATGACTTCCTCCATGATTATCAAAATAAAATGAGCCTACTATGGAGAATTTTAAAAGTACAGACAAATATAAAGATGAAAATAGATAATTCTATGAATCACAGTAGCTACTGTTTAGAATTTGGAGCTATTTCTATACAGTTTTTCAAAATTAAGTATGCTTTGGTAAACTGATTTTTAAAAATTACTTTGCTAGCGTGTCTCATATCATTAAATATTTTAAAACATTTTAAGAGTATACAATACATATATGGATATACTATAATCCTCTATGATTAGATATTTAGATGGTTTCTTATGTGTTTGATATTATAAATATACTCGTGATGCACATCTTTGCGTACATTTTGTATGAATGTTTACATTCCTTGAGATTGTGATATGAGAATAGAATTGGGATGAAGGATGTACAGCTGAAGGCTGTATACGATCTGATACGTATCGATAGATAGCTTTCCAGCAAGTATGCCATCGCATTTCCAGCAGTGTGTGAGGATGACATCATTTCGCCACACCTTTGTCAACACCAGTGGAATTTTTAGGACATTTCTTAATTTGATAGTAAAAATTAGTATTCCATTGAAAATCACTTAATATTAAACAATTTATTTATTTTTATCACTTATTTCTTTTGCCATTCAATGGGCTCTACCTATTTTTCTGTTAGAACTTTAGTGATTTTAATTAATTGCTGTGAACTGGTTATTAAGGCTGTAACATTTTTAGCCTTAGTACTTTGTACAATTTTACTTCTGCTCCTAATTTTTATTTTATTTTAATTTGTATAAGCTTTTTTTTTTTTTTTTTTTTTTTACTAAAATCTGTCACCTCTTCCTTCTGGGATTTTTTTTCAGTACTTTTACACTTAAAAAGGAATACTTCCCTATCCAAACAACACAAGACATACACTAACATTTTTTAGCCTTAACTGCTATAGTGCTGAAGTTATGTTGACATCTAATAAATGTGGTTCTGATGCTAGCTCTTAGTACAGTATGTGGCATATAGTGGGTTCTAAAAGGATAACTGAACATACTGAATGATTTCATGCCCTATACTAGGATCCAGGCCATTTTTTTCTGTGCCATATGTCAGTGTTTGTATTCAAATCATACTGCTTTAATTGCCATATTTTTATAATATGTTAGTATCTGGTAAGGGAAAAAAAACTTTGTCCTACTTCTCTTTTCTAAATTTTCCTTGAAATCTTGACATATTGGTTTCTCCAAGTAAGCTTTTACATCTTTTGTTAACTTAAGGAATATCTATTTGATCTTTTTATTGGGGAATAGAAAGGATTATTATTTCTGAAGTATTCTATCTTTCCATTGAGGAATATGACACATATCTATATTTGTTCATGCATTCCTTTTTGTCCTGGAGAAAAATTTGGCAGTTCTCTTGATTTCAATAGAAATACCACTTAGCGGTGGCTCACGCCTGTAATCCCAACACTTGGGAAGGCCCAGGCAGGTGGATCACCTGAGGTCAGGAGTTCAAGACCAGCCTGGCCAACACGGTGAAACCCTATCTCTACTAAAAAAATACAAAAAATTAGGTGGGCATGGTGACAGGCACCTGTAATCCCAGCTACTCCAGAGGCTCAGGCAGGAGAATGACTTGAACCCGGGAGGAGGAGGTTGCAATGAGCTGAGGTCATGCCATTGCACTCCAGCCTGGGCAACAAGAGCGAAACTCCATCTAAAAGAAGAAGAAAGAAATACCTCTTAAATCTTGTCTCCTTTAAGATTATAAGATAATTATGCTTTTTGCCACTTACAGTTTATAAGGTTAAAAAAAGTTATCCTGGCCGGCTGCGGTGGCTCACGCCTGTAATCACAGCACTTTGGGAGGCCAAGGCGGGTGGATCACCTGAGGTCAGGCGTTCGAGACCAGCCCGACCAATGTGGTGAAACCCCGTTTCTACTAAAAATACAAAATTAGCCAGGCATGGCAGCGCATGCCTGTAATCCCAGCTACTTGGGAGGCTGAGGCAGGAGAATCGCTTGGTCCCGGGAGGCAGAGGTTGAGGTGAGCCGAGATTGCGCCACTGCACTCCAGTCTGGGCAACAAGAACGAAACTCTGTCTCAAAAAAAAAAAAGTATCCTGTTCTCTTAGCTTTTCAATCCTTTTCATAAAACCTATTATTGTTTGCAATTGAAGTGAACTGTATAAAACGTAAAATTAACCATTTTACAGTGAACAATTTAGTGGCATTAGTATACTCACAATGTTGTACAAATAGCACCTCTATCTAGTTCTAAAACATGTTTATCACCCCAAAAATGAAACCTCATACCCATTAAGTATTTACTTCCTATTTCCCCTGCCCCACCCACTGGCAGCCACAAGTCTGTGCTCTGTCTCTGTGGATTTACCTATTCTGGATGTTTCCTGTAAATGGAATCATATAATATGTGGCCTTTTGTGTCTGGTTTCTTTCACTGAGCCTAATGTTTTTGAGGTTCATCCATATTGTAGCATGAATCAGTACCTCATTCCTTTTTATGGTTGAATAGTATTCCATTGTGTGGATATAATATAACTTTATTATCTGTTGCTGGATATTTGAGTTGTTTTCCTCTTTTGACTATTGTGAATGGAGCTGCAGTAAACATTTGGGCACATGTATTTGTTTGAGTATCTGTTCTCAGTTCTTCTAGGTATATACCTGAGACTGGAATTGCCGGGTCATGTGGTCATTCCACATTTAAGTTTTTGAGGAACAGCCAAACTATTTTCCACAGTGATTTAATCATCTTACATTCACACTGGAAATTCAGAATTTTCTAATGTGCTTGCCAATACTTATTTTTCATGTTTTTAACAAATAAAAAAACTTATAGCTATCCTAATGGATGTGAAGTGGGACCTCATTGTGGTTTTGATTTGTGCTTCCGTAGTGAAGAAGGACGTTGAGCATCTTTTAAGATGTGCTTGTTGGACAAAACCTATTGTTTTGAAATCAGTTATTGCTACTAAATTATTTTTACAATTTTTAAATTTTGATATACTTTTGTAACGTTTTCATCAGTTGCTGAGACACTTATGTCAACATTTCAATCTTTCAGTCCTTGCATACTGCAGCATCTTTATAATTCTGATGTATTTCCCAGTTACCTGAAGTACATATTCATGTGATGATTATTATTTTTTTGAGACAGAGTCTCCCTCTATCATCCGGGCAGGAGTGCAGTGGCATGCTCATGGCTCACTAGAGCCTTGAACTCCTGGGATCAAGCGATCCTCCTGCTTCAGCTTCCTGAGTAGTTAGGACTACAAATGTGCACCAAAACACCCAGCTAATTTACCCATTTAATTCATTTAATTAAATGAATTTTAAAAATTCATTTTTTAATTTTCATTTTTTGTAGAGATGGGGAGTCTTGCTGCATTGCCCAGGCTGGTCTTGAACTCCTGGCCTCAAATGATCCTCCTATCTTGGCCTCCCAAAGTGCTAGGATTATAGGTGTGAGCCACCACACCTAGCCTTCATGTGATTTTAAAAAGGATTTATGTGTTAGATTTTCTGAGTCCTCGAATATTTTATCTATTATTGTTATCATACTTGAATTACAACTTGGTTTGTTACAAAATTTTCGGCTTATGAACATTTTCCTCTTAGTTAAATCATTGAAAATTTTGTTCCTCTTTCTCTCTCATGATATTTAAGTTACAGGGGAGATATTTGATGCCAACCAGAATTTTGTTTAAGATAAGCTGGTTTATTCTACAGAGAGGTTTGCAGTTCACCCACTACCCCTTGGGCCTTGTATTGAAAACCTTTACCCAGAGTATGTATATATGAACGTGTATATGTATGAAAATTTTTCTTTTGGCATTTAGGAATGTCTTTCTTTTCCAATCCCTAATAAAAGTCCAACAGGATATTTGTTAAGTTGACAAGAGATTACCTGGAAGAAGTGATAGGCCGGAATTTCAAAGGAAAGTTAGAAAGTTACAAAATCTGTCTTTGTATGGATCATGATATGCTCCTTTGATTTGAAACCTTTTTTCTCCTTTGCAAATTAAGGTTTTGTTTTTAAATTTCTATAGTGCTTCTTCAGTTTTGGCCTTGACTTTTGCTTTTATTTCACTTTTTATTTTTTTCCCTCCCGTCGTGATAGGTGTCACTCAAATGATAGATCTACTTTCTATTCTTCCTAATAATCCTCTCATCATTTTCAGTACCTTGTCTTGTCCTTCTGAGGTCTAGAAGAACAGCACAGTGTTGTTCCCCACATTAGTGGTTTAATTTTCTGCACTGCCCATGATAAGTTTTGCTATGTACTGTGTCCTTTTTGTTTTTCCTATTGCCTATTCGTTTCTTTCCTTACCATGCCTGGCTCTTTTCATTCACTCAGTTCTTTGTCTTTGCAACTCTCCTAATGTGATTTCACAGACTATCGGACCAAGAAATGTCAGGGCCAGGGTATAACCCAAGGGTTTCCATGGAACTGGAAATGTGACCTCTTGTTGTTTTTTAATTATTTTCAAAGAAAATATATACTAAATATATGAAAAATAACTTAAAGAAGAATGAAAGAGTGTGCCTGTGAAAATCTATACTTGGCTACCGAGGGCTTTACTATGAATGTATCACAAGTAAAGAGTCGCAGATGGTTTACAATTTCATGTAGAAGCTGCTATGTCCTTGTTAGAGCATTGCCTAATATATAAATATAGATTATGCCTCTCAAAAAATAAGATGAAATAATAAGGGAAGATGGGAAATTTCACTTTTTACCTGTTTTTTCTATATTTGTGACTAATTTCTTTGCTTACATATGATGTGTATGAGCATCCCAAAACATTGCACAGATACCACAATTTGGTAGTTTGTAAGTAAAGTGGGGGAAGCATGAGCTTCAGAGTGTTATCCAGACAAGGGTTTGCGTAACTGTTCTACCACTTTCCACTTGTGTAAGCTCGACCCCCTTCCCTAAGCTCTGAGCCTGAGTGTCATACTCTGTACAAATCCCCATCTTGAGGAAACTCTTGAGGGTTAAATGAGATGACAATCCCTTAGGCCTAGGATGGCACTTGGCACGTGATAGCACTCAACAATTATATTTCTTACTCAGTATTCATTTATTGAGTCCTGTGAATCAGGCATCATGCTAGGCGCTGGAGGCTCAGTTATGAATAAGACACAATCCCTGCTCTCAAGGAACTCAGAATTTAGGAGGACATGCAGAAGAGGAAAACAACAACAGTAATATTCTACAATAAAAGACTGTTCTGGAGAGGCTGAAGTGGTTTATCTTATTCACCTTTGCAGTACAGTGCCTAGCACAGTTTCAGACACCTAAACATGCCTTAGCTGTGGTCAAATTAATGATTTACTCTCTGAATGTTGGGATGCATAAATGGATAATGTCTAAGATAGAGGTTTACCGAAGGGCAGGAGGAGTAGAGAAGAGGGCCATGACTCGATCAGGGAAGATTTTTAAGTAGAAGTTACACTTCAGCTGAAGTTGTTTCCTTCCCTGTTTCCTTTGTAAATTGGATTAAATTTTTGCTGTACCAAGGGACTTGATATTTCAAGGAACCTTGCTACATATCTTTTTTGTAAAGTGAAATCTTTTGTAATGCAAATAATCACTTCCTAATTTATATGTGGAGCAAGTTAAGATTTTTGTATGTCAGGTTTTTTTTTTCTTTTCATTTTTAAAGATGGGCACAATGGTCTATCTTTGCAATAAGTAAACACAACCTTACAATAATTGAATGAGAAATTATTGATTGAATTTAATCTGCATTTTTTTCTTCCACATCCTATAAAGAATAAAGAAGCTGTTTTAAATGTAAAAATGCCCTTGCTGAAGTGAATAAAGAAGACATGTTTGTGTAGTTCTGATTGGAAGTTAAGGCTTTTCTTTCTCATTAGATAATCAACTGTTCTTTACAGGTCACTTCTTTAAGACTCCATTTCCCCATATGCAAAATGTGGGATTTGAAAAGTATTTCTTAGTTCTGTTGCTGCTCTAAAATTCTCTGAAAGGAAAATAAAATGATTAATGACAAACTTGCTTTATAACTATAATAGTAAACCACAAATAGCCAATATGCTAGGTGATAGAAATAAAAATGACTCTTATGTTTAGTTAAGATCAAGAAGTTTGGATTAGTGCCGCACTTGGACACAGGAAGGGGAACATCACACACCGGGGCCTGTTGTGGGGTCGGGGGAGGGATAGCATTAGGAGATAGACCTTATGTAAATGACGAGTTAATGGGTGCAGCACACCAACATGGCACATGTATACATATGTAACAAACCTGCACATTGTGCACATGTACCCTAGAACTTAAAGTAGAATAAAAAATATATATATATATATATATATATACACACAAAAAAGTTTGGATTAAAAAAAGTATGCACAGTCATGTATAATTTAGACTTTTAGAAGATGCCAGGCAATTATTAGAAGATGAAAATTTTATAGCCAATAAAAACTCATTATAAATACAGTAAGAAAATTTTCACTTCAGTATTTTCATATTGAAAGAAAGCTTTTGTACATACACACATTAAATAAATTCCAATTCAAACTTGGGCCATGGTATAAGAACATATTCAGTTACACCAAATAGCAAGAAGCAGAGTCTTCAAGAAACCAATAGAATGTGAAACAAATGAGGGAAAGTTCACCTTTTATTAATTTCGTGCCCTTGCTACCTTTCTTCTCTGAAGGATATTTATAGTAATATAAGTAACCATAGGGGGCAATTAATCCTGAGTGTGTGGTTAAATTTTGTTCCAATATTAATTGCTTTTAGCAAAAATGAGGCTTTATTTTAGGCAAAATTTTAATTTTACATACTGATTTTGGGAGATTCATCTATTATCTCATTTCTGTTGCTTAGAAATGTACTAAATTAACCCAAGGAACAATGAGTATATAAAAATATTACATCACATAGTCATTCATATTATATATTTATTATAAGCCAACATTACAAACTGTTTTGTTGTATCAGTAATACCTTAGAGATGCCCTGTCCATTATGGTAGGGCTTATTGACTGCTTAATACGTAGCTAGTCAGAGTTGGGATGTGCTGTATAGAGATACACACTGGATTTCAAAGAGTTTTTAAAAAGAATGTAAAATGTCTCCTGAAAAGTTTTGCATTCTTAATTGTGATGACAATATTTTGGACAGATTGTGCTAAGTAAAATATGTTTTTAAAATTAAGCTCAACTGAAAAAATTTTAAATGTGGCTGCCAGAAAGTTAAAAATCATTTATGTGATTTGCATTATATTTCTTTTCTTTTTTAAAAAAAATTTTTTTGGAGACGAGGTCTCACTGTGTCACTGAGGCTAGGTTATAGTGGCGTGATCAAAGCTCCCTGTAAGCCTCCAATTCCAAGACTCGGGCAATATTCCCACCTCAGCGTCCCAAGTAGCTAGGACCACTGATGCATGCCACCACACCCTGCTAATTTTAATTTTTTGGTTGAGATGGGGTCTTGCCATGTTGTCCAGGCTGGTCTCAAACTCCTGGGCTCAAGGGATCCTCTCACCTTGGCCTCCCCAAGTGCTAAGATACAGCTAGGATACCCCGCGAGCCACCGGGCCTGGCCTGGCCTTGCATCGTATTTCTACTGGACAGCACTGCCTTAGAGTTAAAGAAGCAAGTCACTTTGTGAGTACTGATGTGTTAGTTCTGACACAGTATATAAATATACCAATGATTGATGGTTCATTGATAGCTCTTATCTGAGACATTTGTGACATGAATAACAGACTTTTATTACTTTACTTTTTATCCATCAATATAGGAATAATCCATAAGGTATGTAAAGGAAAGGGCTATACTCCAAATGATTTGAGAAAACTTGATACGCTTTGTGCCTCCTCTTGTTATTCCGAAGTGTTCATCATTCCTGTGACTGATTTGGACCAAGATTTATAAATGCTTTTAAAATTTCTTGTTCAAATAAGTTTTTCTTCAATAATATTTAAAAACTTCTGTATCAGTCAAGGTTGTGCTTAATCACACCTTCT
The DNA here is from genome assembly GCF_000001405.40 of Homo sapiens. Lineage (NCBI taxonomy): Eukaryota > Metazoa > Chordata > Mammalia > Primates > Hominidae > Homo > Homo sapiens. The sequence continues at coordinate 33,149,420 of NC_000014.9, forward strand.
CATGACTATCTTCTTAAATGCCTACAGCCATAAATAAAGTGTACTTCATCAGTACTTTTGATGGTACATGACTTGTTTTGCTCTGCAGTTGATATCACAATTTGCTTTGTGGTGGTGGTATTTTTCCTTTGGTCTAACTTTCCTTTAAAATTGTGTATCCAGCTTGCAAATTGGCTTACTTACTTATGTATATAAGTGCTTCCTTTAGTAGTGTCCTAACATATAGTGGGTACCTTGAAAAATATTTATTGAATTAAAACAGTAATGTAGAAAGCCTTTAGATATTTGGTTCTTGAACTTCAGGACTGCAAATATACCTAGAAAATTCTTACTTCACCTCTTTGCCTGAACTAGATAGAGGAATCAGCATTTTTTTATTATTATACTTTAAGTTTTAGGATACATGGGCAGAATGTGCAGGTTTGTTACATAGGTATACACATGCCATGGTGGTGTGCTGCACCCATTAACCTGTCATCTACATTAGGTATTTCCCTAATGCTATCCCTCTCCTAGCCCCTCACCCCCTGACAGGCCCCAGTGTGTGGTGTTCCCCTCCCTGTGTCCATGTGTGTTTTCATTGTTCAACTCCCATTTATGAGTGAGAACATGCAGTGTTTGGTTTTCTGTTCCTGTGTTAGTTTGCTGAGAATGATGGTTTCCAGCTTCATCCATGTCCCTGCAAAGGACATGAACTCATCCTTTTTTATGGCTGCATAGTATTCCATGGTGTACATGTGCCACATCTTCTTTACCCAGTCTATCATTATAGCTATTCATGTTATTTATTTTTAAAATGTAACTTACCCCTCAGGCAGAATTTTCTCTAAAAAAGAATTACTGAATTAAGTGAGCACCTGCTGAGGTTTAAGAGATTAACTGTCTTTCAGCACTCATCCTTCATCAAAGTTATTTTGGCTCTGTGATGTCACATGTCAGAATGAACCTAAAGACTCAAGCAAACCATTGTTGAAACGTGCATCAGCAATAAATTGGTAGGTTGCGCTGCATTTCTTTTTGTTTTCAAATTTTAAAAATTGTTTTTATTATGAAATAAACTCACCAAATATTGATCATCTGGGAAATATTTTGATAATTCTACTGCTCCAAATAGTTTCCTTTGCATTTCAGTGTTCTGGTATTGCCTTTGAATAAATAAATTCAATACGTAAAGTTATAAAATTTTGTTTGCTTTAATTCTCAGGTGCTCTTAGTGGTTGTTCTCTTGTTCTTTAATCCTCCCCATATTTCTTCTGTATTCAGAAATTATCCCCACTTAGCAATAGGTGAAATGATTTCTCCGTAATCATGCTGTGAGTACAGCTAAGCCAGAACTTACTACTCTGTCTCTGATCTCATGAGTTTTTCTCCAATTTAACCTAAGAGCAGTCTAAGTGAGAAGTCAGATTATGAAGTCATTTTGCCACATCTTCCTGACAGCTGTTTCTTCCCTGAGCCAATTTCATTGCTGGGCTTCCACTCACAACCAGATAGGATTTCACTGTTAAACATAGCCTCTATATCCTATTGATTGCGGTACCACTTCTTGATTTGTTTTTAAAAAGCTGGATCTAATACGATATTCCTTGATAGGAACAGAAGATTTTTTGGAATTAATTATGTTCTTTATTTGTTTTCAACCATTATACTTAACACCGTGAATCTCTCTGGGAGAAGAAAGAAGAAAGATAACTATTTCTTTGCAGTCAATGCAAAATGCCATTCAGAGGCATAACCGGCCTCTTTGTCAAGTTTCCTTGGAGCATATCCTTGCAGAAACAACAGTTTCTACATGATAGGCATGGGGCTGTGACTGCTCCCACAAGGAGGCCTTCTGAGGCCTCGGTTGCTAGTTGAGAAAGTAACCCAGGAGAACTACTGGAGGACAAACATTCACAGGGTGCATGTGTTATTTTAACGTAAATAAGTAAGATCTTCATGTGGTTAAATGTCAACGCACAAAAGAACATGTAGCCTCTCTTCTGCCTTGGCCTCCTACCACTTGGTTCCCTGTTTTGGAATCAACGACTTCCGTCAGTTTGTATAAAAGAGGGTGATGAGAATGTGCATTTTCTTGTGTATGCCTAAAATATGCACACTGTTTTTTACCTTGCCTTTTTAACCTCATGATTTATTTTGAAAATTGTATCATGTGATGAATTTATGTTATATTTATGGGATTACATATTTCACAGCATTTTATCATTGAATCCAGTTATTTATTCTTTTTGCTATTACAAACAATGTCACAAATAATAACTGAATACATAATTTTATATGCATGGGAGCATATTTAGTAGATCACATTCCTACAAGTGTAGGTGAGAGGATATGTTCCTTTGAAATGTAAGATTATTTAATTTTATACATTGTTCTGGAAAGAGACTATATAATAAAAATATTTAAAAATAAGTGAAGAATAAAGTTAGTCTCTTTCTCTCTAAGAGAGGCAGCTGCTACTAGTACTCCTTTGGTACCCTTCCAGAGACTGAGCGTATACAAGCATGTGTGGTGTGTATTGGATAGATATATTACGTATACATCTTTCACTAGGAAGATTTTTATTTTTTCTCCTTCACTCTATAGTTCTGATTCTCAACCAGGAGTGATTTTGCCCCTCCTGAGGACATTTGTCAATATCTGGAGACATTTGTGGTTGTCAAAAGTGTGTATATGGGGTCTTCTCCTTGTATCTAGTGGGTAGAGGCCAGAGATGCTGCTAAACATCCTACAGTGCGCAGGAAAGCCCCTGCAACAAAAATTACCTGGCCCCAAATGTCAGTAGTACCAAGGTTGGGCAACTCGAGTCTATAAGGACTTGGAAGGCTTTTCCAAGGTGTTGATTTCAATAGATACAAAGCTTCATCAGAGCCATTGGTGTTGGGAGCATCATTACTTCTCCTCTTCCTCCCTTTTCTCTTTCTTCTCCTGTTTCTATCAGGAACCGTCATTGCTGTGTGTCTCACCAGCAAGAGTGATGTTCTAATGACATTCATTACACTTAGCTGGCCTCTGTAGGATGACTCAGATATGGTGTCCATATTGTCCCATGTGGTTCCCATTTCTTTTTTTCTTCCCTCACTTTGACAGCGCACATTCTCTGGTAGTTTGCTGGGAAAGGGTATATGAAAAGTAGATTTGGAGGGGATTTAATTTCTAAAAATGTCTCTATTACATCCTTAAGTGATTGATGTTTTTATATGGAATTCTAGGGAGGAAATAATTTTACCTCGGAATTTGAGGCCGTTTTTCCATTTTCATATAGCATCTGGCTTTGTTGTTGAGAGAGATTGTGACATTCTGATGATTGTTTACATGTAAGCTTCTTCCTGGGTGTTCTGAAATATCCCACTGATGCATGTAATGTGGTGTGAATTTACTTTCATTCAATGTGTTGGGTTCTTGGTGGTCTCTTTTAATCTGGAAATGTATCCTTCAGTTCTGGAAAATGTTAAGTAACTTTGTTGCCTTTTTTCCTGTTGTGTGTCCCCATTTTGGTGCTCTGGTTTCGATATTGGAATTTTTTGATGATTTTCAAAAAATATTTTCTCAATATATTTCGCTTGGCTGTCCAGGAGATTGCCTCAGATTTTTACTCTCTTAGACTGGTTTTCTCTCATTTTTGTTGTTTTTAGTTTTTAAAACCTTTTTTTGTTCTCTGAATTTTCTTTTTATTCTAGCTGTTCCTGTCTGCAGATGCAGTTTCTGTTCTCCCTGATGATTAATAATAGGAACATGCTTGTTTTTTACTTTTCTTCTTATTGCTTAGTCTTTTTCTTGCAAGTTACCATTTTCTACTTTTTTTTTCATCTGAGTCGTATCTTCTGTGTTAGAGAGTTTTTCAGCTGTCTTGTAATCTTTGATTGTCTATTTATGGTTAAGTGGTTTGGAAGTTCTGAGTGCATGAACTGGGCTTGTTGAAATTCATTACTGAGTGGTCTGGGTGAACCATGTAGGGAACTCCAATGTCTGTTATCTTTAAATTTGTCCTCTTGGGCTGATTAGCTTCCCCAAAGAAGGAACTTCCAATTTCTCATTTGGAGAGCTTCAGGTGTTCTGGGAGCCCTGTGGGGGAAAGAGTGGGTTCTCAGAGTGCATATGATCACTTAATCTTCCCGTTTGGGGTCCATAACCATTCTTGGCATCCCTTAGTCCAGAGAGCTCCTGTTTAATGATCTCCAGAGAATAAACCTCCAGACCTCCCACCCTCATTTCTACAGAGGTGGTCTCAGCAGCTGAGACCAGACATCTAATTGCATCTCAAAGAGCTTTCATACAATCGTCTTTATTTTAGCCGTGTTATTTCCAACAGAACCATCCTTTCTCTCAGTTCCATGGGTGACTGGTACTCCGAGTCCTAAACCATTTGTGTCTTCTGTGGTGTTTTGGACTCTTTCTCAGCATTGCATACTGTTGGCTTGGGGTCTCTTGTTTCATTGCTGCTAAATAAATTGCTGTTAATCCATCTGTTTACTACCACAAAAAGTTTCATGGCTGATATCTCTTCCCCTGTTTTCCCAGTTCTTACGGGTTTATGTCTTACATGTAATTTCTCCTGTAATTTTAATGTGGTATCAGAAGGGAGCATTCAGTGTGGGTCCAGGCTGCCATCCCAATTTAGAACTCTTTGTTGTACAAATATTTAGAGATCTCTTTATGGAAAAATATAGGTAGAATTGGCCTTCTCTCTCCTCTTTTTTGCTGCTACTATGTCCTAATTTGGATTACCATTTTGGCTCCTGGAGCCTGGGCAGTTAGCTGCCAGAGCTGTTTCTAAAGCAAAATCAAGTCCCCAATTCACTATATTGACAGCTATGCTGATGGATGTGGCACTACCGCTGGTTTAAGATTAGTTGGCCCTTCATGAGTTTGTTGTTGCTTTATGCTTCTGACTATACCTTCCCTTAACTCACCTTTGATCCTAAGGAATGTGTGCATAATCTTTTTGAAAATGTTTGCTATGCCAATATTCCAGATTAATGTCTAAGAATGTTTAATGGTCGGAAGCTGCGCTTTGAGCCCCATCGACCAGGTGTCTCCTGCTTCGTGGTTTATAGGTCACCTTTGCACAGGGACAAATGCTTCCCGACTTCTTTTTACGACTCAGAGGATGCTGTATTTGTAAAGCCACTTTCATTCACTGATCGTGAAGCCTTTTACAGATTTAAAATCATTCATCTTTTCAAGATGCTAAGGATGTTGGTCCCATGTAGAGATAATAAATACTGGGAAAAAATACATAATATGCAATGACAGCAGTCCTTTCTGTTCCCCTTAGAAAAGGATTCCAGGCCACTGGCTTCTTATTCTGCTTCCTAACAAACAAATATGACAATTAGTTACATGAAAGATGTTGACAAAATAGTTGTTTTGTACTATGTTTGAAATGATTTTGATATTGTTATTTTAATGAAAACAATTCTAGGACCTGCCTCTAAGGTGCCATTTGAGGCTTCTACCCAGAGTTTTCTACCTAGAGTTTTACTTTTCCATGCAGTTGATTTGCGTTTTTGGTAAAGATTTCCATGTTTCTATAAATATTTATGGACACTGCAATTTGAGTTTCTTAGAGTTTTCACATCACAAGTATTATTATTAATTTTTTTTCAGCCATCTAAAAGTATAAAAATATTTTAAACTCACAGACTAAACAAAAACTGGTGCTAGGCCAGATACTGCCTGCAGGGCATAGTTTGCTGATCTTGGTTTAAAACTTTTGCCTTGGGATGAGTGCTGTTCCTCTTGTGCCAAGTGTCAGCTGTGATAATCTGACATCTGTAGGTGGGAAGACATTGTTTGAAATTGGGATGGCTTTGCTCAAGCTTTTGTGTTGATGGGAGAATTATTTAGAGCCAGTTCAGACAACTCTCATGTATTCCATTTGTCAACTTCTTTCTCTCCTTTGTAACCATTTCCATTCTTCTTGTGGGCATTATTTTAGTTTTCTCCTGGGTATTTTCAAATAATTTGAGGATTTTTGGGGGTGAGGAGGAACTGGGTATCTCTCTGTTCCCAGGCTGGAGTACAATGACACAATCATAGTTCACTGCAGCTTCGAATTCCTGGGCTCAAGAGGTCTTCCTGCCTCAGTTTCCTGAGTAGTCAAGGTTACAGGCATGAGCCACTATGCTTGGCTTTCTTTATTCCGAGTAGAGATTATATACAATGCACTGTGCTAGTTGCTTAAGAGATATGAATATAAACCAGAGCCAAGTTTCCTTAGCAGATAAACACAGCTATGGAAGAGGTTTCTTCCCTTTGCCAAAGTTCACCGAGCTAATCCTAGGTAGGGAGTGTGGTCTGCAGGTGTGTGTGTCAGCAGAAATTGTGTAGGTATCTTCCCTCTGTCTTCATGTTGTAGATGAGGCATATTTTTCTGTATTGATTCCCATTTTGGGGATGCCAGCAACATCAAAATAGTGAATAATAGTGCTATGCTCTGCATTTTTAAATATTACCATATTTTTACTACTCTAAAGAGACTACTCTCTCTTCAGATGCCCTCTGTCAATTTATTCATTAATTTAAACTTGTTTTAAAAACTTACTTTGAAAGCTGTATTGCTTGGCAAAGATAGATCACCACTTAGTGAAGATTTGTGATTGAATGAACAAAGACCAAGGGGGAGGCCTAGGTGATGAAGTCTATGCACTGAAAATAATAAAAATAGGAACTTTTCAAAATGAAGGAAATCAGTATAAGGGTGTAGAATCAAAAAACAACACAATTATAGATTTCATGGTAGTTATAGTAAGTAATATAGTCTCAAATGAATACTCCTTTATTTCATAGCAGGGATTGGCATTTGTGCAATATTCTTTAGTTAAATTTCAATTTATTGGATTTTTGCATCACTGCAGATTGATCTATTGAATTTGTCACAGTGGCCTTGTTTTTACCTTGATGTGTTTAATACCTGCTGGATCAGAATGCCAATCAATTTAGGTTAATTTCATTAAGTTTGCTAAAGCTTTTTAAATTAAAGGCTGCTGACATTACCAGTAACAAAATGTAAGTAACATATTCTCACATGTTATTGTTCTAGACAATAGATTGGTGCTACATATTCTCTTCGAACACCTCCTTACTTGGATTTTTAAATTCCCTTAATTATTTACAAGAATATAAATCATTTAACATTTTAAATTTTAATTATCTGCATGATCATTGCTTAGTATTCTGTGCCAAACTTTAAACTCAGCATAGATTTCAGCTCTCACTAAATAGATTTCAATTAAATTCCTTCCATGTTTTCTAGAAAGAAATGGATTATATTTTTAAAAATTGTATTGTGCTTTCCATTACAAATATAAACTGGGGAGTGGTTCCTGAGAAGTGGCCTTTTAATTCTTCTCTTTTGCATTTTAGTTCTCAGAGAAGTCACAGTGCACTTAGCATTTAGGTGAAATATAATTATCGTTAAGGTTTTTGTGAATAATATATTTCGCAATGAGCTCAGTAATATGCAGTTATGGAACTCAGCTTGCATTATTAACTGATTTTATTAACTGCCATTAATGCAGTATTTATAAATATTGCTTGGAGAACTGTAGTTACATTTACCAAAGATAGAATCAAGAGGAACTCTAAAAAAAGAAGAGCAGACTACATCATTTCCAAAACCACTAGTGAATTTAGAAAGGGGAAAAAGAATATAGCACTCAAACCATCAAAAATTTGCTATTCAATCACATTTTAATGCTTTATGGCATTGGTATGTAGTCCTTACTGCACTTTTCTATGGGGAAATTGAGCAAACAAAAGTTTGTTATAGCATATGCTGATCTAGAATTAAAGAGATTTTAGTTACATAAGGTTCAAATTATCTTTGACATATTTTGCAGGTTACTTACAAAATCCTGCCTAAACACAGAACTCTTCTTTATCAGAGAACCTAACATCAGATTTTAATCATATCTTGTACCCACAGGGTTTTAGGTTTCCAACAGGCCACCTGTCTCGGACATTTAAAAATTCACAGGACAGATGGGAAGGTGAAAGAACCTGTCCTTGGATGAAGAAATTTTTACATTGCAGGAATGTTCACAGGCAGGGCCAGCCAATATATCACACACATACCTTGTATTTGTCTAGTGGTGAGGTATAATCACACATTTCCCTTTAGTAGTATAAATACAGAATTCATTATTTATATGCATTCTTTTTGTGGTCAAGAAAGAGAAAAAAAATTAGAGCTTGTAAAAACCTGTGGTTCAGGTGATCCATGATTCAGGAAATAAGACTATATTTTATATTAACTTTCCAGAATCTCTGTTCATGGAATATGTACCTTATGTAAGACCGGGTACAATTGTGTTTATTAACAAGTCAGGATCTGGAGCTAGGTCGCCTGGGTTTGGATGTCTTCCTGACCACTTACAAGTGACCTTGGCAAGCTACTTAGTATCCCTGGGCTTCAGTCATCTCATCTGTGAGATGGGGATGTCAATAGTCCTTCATGTGGTTTTTGTGAAGATTACACGAAGATGACATGAAGATAACACTAGTGCCTAGAATAGTGTCTGGAACTGGGAGTTAGTGTTTGGTAAATGTTGGCTGGTAATAATGATACTAATTGCATGTAAAAAGTAAAAGAGGCACTTAAAGCTTAGACTTGGAAATTTTAATGGAAATTTAAGGAAAAAAATGTTCTTTAAAATTTCACAGTTACATTTATTTTTGGGAAGGAATCTATCTGTTACTTGTATTCAAAATCGTTGAGCAGTGGTAGTCCGTTAGAAAGCACCAGCGGATTGTACCGCGAACTGTGGTTGATCTTTGTTAACTCCTTACACTGGTATTACTTGGAAACATGTTAGAAAGTTGAATTTTTAGGCCCAGCCTGGGAACTACTAAATTGGAAGCTTCAGGTGGGACTGAGAAATCTGTGTTTTAACAGGCCCCCCACATGATTTTGATACATGCTGAGGTGTGAGGACCACTGGTTTAGATGCGTATGTATTTATTGGAAGACACTATATTTGGTCTGGGTACTAGCTAGAGAATCAGAACATGAGCGATTATGTCCCTTTTCTAATGGACATTCCAGTGGGGTGGGGCAGACAAGAAATTTGTAAACAGTCATAAAAACCTAAGAACTAAAGGTGGCAGAAGTATTAAAAAACAAAAGGGAACAGGGAAATGGTGTAGGCACAATAATTGGGAGTTCTAAGGTACTGCAGAGAGAGGGTGTTCATGGAAGGGCTGAAGATAAGACAGCAGAGGTTAAATTATGAGAACAGTACATAACAAAAGTCAGTGAAAGAACAGTCCCAGAAGAGGAAACAGCTAGTGCAAAGGCCACGAGATGGGGGTGCTTTAAAGAGGGGCCCTGTTACTTGTCTACTGGTAATTACTATTGGTAAACTGAAAGCATGTTATTCATGTCGGGGATTTGATTATTGTAGTTAGGGAAAGGGGTTCTTAGCTAAGGTTTTGATAGACTCTTTTACAAAATTACTGGCCGGGCGCAGTGGCTAATGCCTGTAATCCCAGCACTTTGAGAGGCTAAGGTGGGTAGATCACCTGAAGTCAGGAGTTCGAGACCAGCCTGGCCAATGTGGTGAAACACTGCCTCTACCAAAAATACAAAAATTACCTGGGCATGGTGGCGCATGCCTGTAATCCCAACTACTCAGAGACCGAGGCAGGGGAATTGCTTGGATCTGGGAGGCGGAAATTGCAATGAGCCTAGATCACACCACTGCACTCCAGCCTGGGCAACAGGAGAGAGACTCCATCTCAAAAAAAATAAATAAATAAAATTAAATTAAAAACCAAAATATTACTGTAATTCCCCATTTTATTTTTCATGTAGACCCACTACCTAAAGCTAACTGTCATACACTATCAATTTGTTTATGAGTTGATGCACCAGAATTGCTTTGTGAGCTCTGAAGTTTGCATTGGGTTAACAGTAAGTCGTGAGGCATCTTGTAATTTGGGGGCTGTGGTTACCAATGAACCTACAACCCCCAAGGTAAAACGTTTTCTTGTAGAATTATGGGAATCTTGTCAACTTCAGATTTCTTTTGTCCAAAACTTAAATCACTGTCCTTAGATGTTTTTATATTGTCGCCCACATGTGTAAATTTGTGTGCAGAATAGCTAATTATAGTATTAATTATAATGAGCTTTTTTTTTTTTTTTTTTGAGATGGAGTCTTGCTCTGTCGCCCAGGCTGGAGTGCAGTGGCGCAATCTTGGCTCACCGCAAACTCCGCCTCCCGGATTCACACCATTCTCCTGCCTCAGCCTCCTGAGTAGCTGGGACTACAGGCGCCCACCACCATGCCCGGCTTATTTTTTGTATTTTGAGTAGAGACGGGGTTTCACCGTGTTAGCCAGGATGGTCTCAATGTCCTGACCTCGTGATCCACCTGCCTCGGCCTCCCAAAGTGCTGGGATTATAGGCGTGAGCCACTGCGTCTGGCCTGTAACAAGCTTTTACTAGTTTACTATTACCTATAACACCCGTAAGAAAAATTTTTTACATATAGAATAAAGACTGTGCTGGCTTATGATTTTAACTGCAAGAGACAAGTTTTTCTAAATTAAGACTAAACTCAACAAATTTAAATTTTTTAAAAATGAAATTATTTCAATATTTTGCATATTATAAAAGCATTGTAGCTAGCTAGTTTAACTCACATTATGACAAATTTAAGGATAACATATCTTACATATAAAACTTTCTTTTTTCAATCTTTGCAGGATAAAAATGTCATGTATGAGACATAAGAGTACATCTTTTTAAATATAAGAAAACCTAGATACAAATCCAGGCTTCTCCACTTATTCTTAAGTGATGCCATGATCAAGTCAATTATATTTTCTCTGTTTTAATTTCATTGTCTTCAACATGGTAATATAAAATCTATCTTTTTGGGTTTATTAACTCAGTTTTGAGATATTAAGACCATATATCCAAGTGTATAGCAAATAAGTGGTCCAAAAGTGGTGATTTTTATTTCACATTTAGTGAAAAAACTCTGAATTAATAGTTTGATTAACTGTGCCAAAGAAAAGTCTGTGGCTCTGGGAAGGGGAACATCACACACCGGGGCCTGTTGTGGGGTGGGGGGAGGGGGGAGGGATAGCATTAGGAGATATACCTAATGTAAATGACGAGTTAATGGGTGCAGCACACCAACATGGCACATGTATACATATGTAACAAACCTGCACGTTGTGCACATGTACCCTAAAACTTAAAGTATAATTAAAAAAAAAAAAAGAAAAGTCTGTGGTTCTGTCCATCTTTCAAGTATAGATTCTGGTTATTTCTAAAGGTTATGATTCTGTTTTTATTTATTTACTTTTTTTTTGTTTTAAGTCACAGAACTGCAGGAACTTGGGTGAAGTCAGCGCTCAGTTTTGATTTTATCTTTGAAGTTCCGCCATGTGGCCAGTGGCTAGCAAGCATTCTCCCTTTGGGGCATTTCATTTCCAAATGAAAAACTCTGAGTTTCTCCAACTGATGTGTTTCATTCACTCACTGTCTTACTGGTCTTCATTGTAGCACATATTGGAGAAATATGGTACTGAGCATACTTTGGACAGCTTCAAAGTTGAGTTAAATGTAAGTATTTTCCAAACAGTGGAGGACAATGAAAGATAACAGATACTTTAGTATGCGTTCATGTACTGGCTGGAACATGTTCATGCTCTGGCAGTGACTTTAGCTTTTCCTTAGAAAGCATGGGGATATTAAGTTATTTAAAAGTATTCTTTAGATCTAAAGTCTAAAGGCATCTACCCAGATTAATTTTTTAATATTTTCTGTATAGTTTCCTGATGGTATTAGAAGCAGGAAGTAGTATGGAGATAAGGAGCATATTTATTGAATGCCTACTATGTGCCAAGCACTTTGCTTAACATTATGATTAATTTTTGACTTCTCAAAACCTTGTGATTTAGTTAGTACCTATCCATTTTATAGATGTAGAGAGCAAGAATCATTGATACTAATTAACTTGCCCAGCTTTATGCAGTTAGTGAAAAGAAGTTAAAACCCAGGTATGTTGGATCCCAAGGCCCAAGTTCTTGACCACTGTCTTCTAATCAACAAAAGCTATATACTTAAGAAAACAAGGGTGAAGAATGAGGATACTAATACATTGGTATCACTGTACTTGACATTGTGGTTTATGTTTCAAATACTGGTTCTGTAGTCTTAAAGGAGTATATTTATTTGCAAATGAAAGTAGCAAGCTCACGATGGCTTCCTCCATGGTTTAAGAGGATAATGAGAGAGATCAATAGTTGTTGTCTTGTAGCCAAGCGGTACAGGGGAGAACTGGAAAGGTAGGTTCCCATTTGCTCTGTCCTGGAGGAGATAGTCAATGAGAGTATAGCCAAGTAAAATTATTACAAATGTTCATAAGTACTTTGAAGGAAACAAGTAGGGGTTGAGGTAGAGACCAGCAGGATAAGGAATGTTGCATACATAAGACGTGGGAAATAGGAATGGCTCATGTGAGGAAGTGACATAGGACCTGAGCCATGAAGGCTGAGGAGCCAGGTCTTAGAGCTGAGTGCTGCTGTCAGTTATCAGAGGAGCCCTGAATAGGCCATACTCCTCCAGGGATGGGGCATAGAGTCCTAGGCTTCTTCATTCCTGGCAGAGAGTAGGCACCATGCCGGGCACATGGCTGGCCCTGATGTATATTTGCTGAATGAATTTTGCAAATCCCTGCAAAGAGCATTTCCTTATGTACCTGCTTATACGGTCATCTGTGTTGATGTAGTGCAGCCAGGTACTTGTCTACTTAAACTTTTCATTACAGAAATTTTTAAACACAAAACAGAGTCTAGAATAATGAATCTCCATGCATCCATATCTACATTCAACAATTATTAATATTTTTTCAATCTTATTTTATCTAACCTCTACTTCATTTTTTTCTCCCTATGGTATTTTCCAGCAAGTCCCAGGCATCATATCTTTACAATTGTAAATACTTTAATATGCGTTTCACACTGATGAGGGCATTTTTATTTACATAGCCTCAGGTCACTATCACACTTAGAATTAATAAGGACTAATCTTCTGATCTTTTAAAAATTTAATAAAGCTAAATACAATTTATTAACAAATTATGATGGAATTAGCATCTATAAATGTGCCTGGATGCAGTTGCTATTTCCTTTTAAATTCTTCTCATGTTTGTGACTTGACTGTCCAATGACTGTAATTTCTTACTCTCTCTCCAAAGCTAGCAACCAAACATCAACTTTTCGTTAAAAACAAGCAAAAAAAAAAGTGGCCCAAGAGGAGCGTCTACACTGCAACTGACTTAGAAAGCTGCTTGACAGAACCTCCTCTCTTTATTGGTCCCTGTGGTGGCAGATGGTATTAAATCTGTACATGTGTCAGAAACATTATTTTTCAAAAGTTTGCTCTGATATTTTTCCTCCAGACATCATCGGATGTTGGTTCTGTCTTCATAAATTGCAAGTGGAATTGAGCATCGGTAGACTTTGGACAATCTTCTGTCACTCAGAACTGGCTGCTATGTACTCAACACTGGGAATCTAGAAAAATACAGATCTTTGAAATCATTACTGCTGACAAAGAAAAAGGAAGTCCCAGTGACACCTCTTAACATCATGACAACCTGACTCACCGACCACTTTCACTTTTTCAAAAAACCGTGCAGTGTTAGTTTGGCTTTAACATCTCTGTACCCCTCATTCATTATTTAATCTTATTTTGCTTTGTTCAGACAAGCTATCTGGGCTATTGTGAAGCTTCACACAGCCAATTACCTCAAGGTGTTTAGTTCATTTATTATTTAAAGCATAAATCTTGTACAGGTTGTCCATTGACGACCCTCTGAGTAGATGGAGTAAATGCCTTTCATCCTGGCGGCCTCAGTCAGTGCTCACAGACCTGCTTGCTGAGCTTGGCAGGCCAGGCGAGAGCTGGAGCATGTAAGATAGCAGAGGTAATTGCACTTTACTTTCTGTTTAAGGGTACATGCGAAAAATGTGCACACAGTCGCAAATTGAGTTGATATGTAGAGAGAAAGAATCTTTCATTTAAAATGCAGTATTTCTTTCTACAAAATACTTGCTGGACAAGTTAAATCTTGTTAAACGTTTTAGCTATTGATATGGGCTGGATACTGAATTTAAAAGTTTGTTTAGAGTAGGCCATAGTAACATCACACTTAAGAATACTTAAGCAGAAGTGTTTTGTTGTTTTTTTTTTTTTTTTTTTTCAAATTTGCATCTGTGTCCTTGAACCCATTTTCCTTTCCATCTTGCTTTTAGTCTTGTGTCATTATACCAAGGGTCAGATGACTTGGAAAAAAGGCTAGTTTAAGTAATGTGCCAATTCTGCTGATGGGCTTACACGCCATTAAGAGATTTTATTCCAGGCCGAATGTGCCAGGTATTTAACTGGGAACTGGTACTAATTTCAGAGCTAATACTGAGCTGTTCCACATCAGTGCTTTCAGCAGGTGGCTTGAACTGACAGTGTAAAGAAAAAAGTGAGAGAAAATTACCATTGTACTTTAAATTTCTCTGATTGAATTGACTGATTATACTGTCAGAGGAGCATTGGGAAGCTGGCAGGGTTATGGGCAGTGAAGAAATGACAGACTTCTTTTAGAAAGAGCTTGCCTGTTGGTTTTTGCACGGCCAAATATTTCAAAATGATAATAAGGTTTGATGTGAGATTTTAATTCAGTACTTGTGAAAATTCATGTGTTCTCTGATATGTCTTTTAAAGCAGACAATCTTGTAAGGAGAGCCAGTGGTTTCCCTATCACCATTTTCTCTTATACAGCAAAGTATTGAAACATTGGATTCAAATTCCATCAGTCAATGTTAAACTACATTATTTTATATTTACAAAGAAGTTTCATAAAGATTTCAATTTTGTGAAGAAGCTTCACTTATCAGAGAATGGAATTGAGAACTTAAGTGTCTCAGGATGAAAAACTGTTTGTTTTATGTAATCGGTCTTATATCATGTTCTTAAATAAGATCTTCTGTGTAAGAAGTTCTTACCAGTCACAAATATTCCCAGTTGTCTTCTAAATTTATGATTATTTGTTCTAAAATTCTATATTATTTAAATATTTTAAAATCTTCTTCAAATGAACAACTTAAAAAAAAACCACAGAGATACATTATTCTAGTTACTGTTAGTGGAATAATAATAATGGCAACTAGTGTTTATTGAATAGTTGCCACATACCAGATACTTTACTAAGTGCTTCATGGTGTCCCATTTAATCTTCACAGTGACTACATAAGTAAATTTCTTTCGTATTCCTGTTACTGATGAGGAAATCATGGCCCAGCGAAGTTGGATAACTTTCCTGGGTACCCAGAGCTAGTAAGAGGCAGAGCCAGGGTGCTGACTCTCAGAACCCCATTGCTTCTCCTGTGTCAGCACAGGTGACTCTTTTTTTTTTTTTTTCCTGTCAATTCACTGACTTCCTTCTGTACTGGTGAGACAGGGAATTAATACAATAATTTCCCTTTTCATGGTTATCCCATTATGAATTTAATAGGACTTTTTGGTATAGAGTTATGAGAATTCATAAGGGAATCATTTAAAATGCAGAAAAATGTACTGAAGTGTTCTATGAAAGGTGTAAGAGAGACAAGTTTAGCAGAGTGTAAGTCAGGTTTGGGGCAGAAGGAAAAATCAGTCAGGATAAATGGGTCAGCATTCATCATTTGTTCAACAAATACTTATTGTACTAGGTGCCAGGCATTGGACTCGGCCTGTCGGAAAGCACTGGGTGATTTATTTTTGTTGGGTTGACTCCCTGGTGGGATTATTCACAAACAACCTTTCGATGTAAGTAGGAAGCTTTAATTGCAGAAGAGAAGGGTTAAAGTCTCTCTGGTTGGACTATGGTGTGTGAGTTTTGTTTCATTGCATAATCTAGTAGGCTATCCTCGTATTATCATTATTCTGATGCAGTGTAACAAACCAGCAGGAAACTGCATTCCATGGGATTTCTATGGGGACTACAGAGAATTCGTTCCAATGCTTACAGAGCAGCCTGCTTGGAGCTTAAAGTAGCCTCAGGGCTAATGTGAGGAGCTGTGCAGCTCTACTACTGAACTGTAAAACTCAAAGCATGCGTAGTGTAAATAAAACAAGGTTAGTAGAATCATTTCTAATCTGGAGGCCTTATCAGAGCGTTGGCTGATAATTTATTGTTGAAAGAAGGAAAAAGGCAGGAGATTTGAAATACTATGCCTCACTGAAAATGTAAATACCTGTTTTTTTGCTTAGTTTAAAACTTACTTCCTCTCTTTTTTTTTTTAAGCTTAATTGAAGGTACATTTTGAAAGAATGTGCACCATTTACCCCACTTCCTCCTTCCCCCAAACAAAACTGTCAAGCACAGTGACACTTTCTGTAGCAAACTTATTCAGCCTAGGCTTATAGGAATCCATATTCGGGGGCATGTTGGTTTGATTTCTGTGTTCTGTCCACATTCTGTGAGTACTTTGTGTCCCCCCATCCCCAAAGTGTGTTTAGCAGTGCTCCCTTATGTTAATAGAAGAATTGTCCTGCCTTCTTTAGCCACGCTCACATATTGGATGGTTAAAGTTGCTAGGTACCAGCCCCATGAGGATAGTCTGTGGTCTCCCCACCATGCCTCCCCATGTGCTTCCACTACTGTCGGTGCTGTGCTGTTGATAAGCTGTCAGACCGGCCTCATAGGCCTGCGACCTGTGACTCACAGAAGCCTCCCCCTCACCCCTCGGTTCAATTTGCTGCTGTCATCTTCTTGAAATCCTTAATAATGTTTAATCAAGGGGCTTCACCTTTTCATTTGGCACTGGGCTTTACTCCTCACATAGCTGGTCTTACCTGTTCTGTGGGCATCTTCCCCGTTCCTGACCCCAGCAGCAGAGATTGCATCCTTCTGCCAACTCAGATGGTGCCTCATCCATGAAGCCTTCTAGTTTTTCCATAAACATAAGTATCTCTTCCCTTTGTATGTCCCTCAGTTACAGCCTGCATTCCACCCTGCCTTGAATTCACATCTGTCTTGCATGCACATCTGTCTCCCTCAGTAAGAGGTAGACTCTTGGAGGGAGGGCAGGCACTCTCCAAGGATCTTTGTATTTTTTTCCCTCCATATCCTAGCCCAATGCCTTTCAGTTCTCCATAAATGCTTTCTGAATTGAAGTGAATTAAATAATTTGCCCTTTTATCTGAAAGAGTAAAGAAATTTACATTTAATATAAGGCCCCTTTGATAGACATATTGCCTTCATTTCAGTTCTCTTCTGATGCAGAATTATGGTGCTGGCTTCCATTGAATGGCAAATGGGATGAGATGGTACACATACGATTCTGCCTCACTGATGAATTTGGGGTGGAAAAAATATAAATGAAATCATTTCACTAATTTTAAGACATTTAAAGAGTATGGAAATTGAGCTTAGGAGGAAAAGGTTAACTAAGGTTAAAGCGAATGCTTTTCATTTCACTTAGTATATCACTAAGTGGAGATTTAAAGGCACTGCTCTTTTCTTACCAAACTTTCCTATATTGCTCCTGGATTTCCTTTTAATGTAATTTAAGTAAGACATTCTCATGGTTTAGATCATTTTAATTCTGCATGCTTCACAAGGGCTATTTTCATATTGGAAATATTTCATAATATGATTCCTTGAGCCTCTTAGAAGAATAGAATTTACAACGCTTGGTATCTACACAGGAGGTAGAATTCTAGCAGGTTTAGAAACTTGTATATAAAGTTCAGACTTTGTTTATTAGCAACAAAAGACAATGCAGTTGACTCTACCACACAGATTTTTAGCAGAGGGGCCGTGATCAGCTTCAGGAGTTCTATAAACTCTCTCAAAGTGTATGCAAAAATTTATTTTGAGGACATTCAAATCTCCTAGAGAGAGGGCTCCCAGGGCAATTTCTCAAAGTATTCAAGCCAAGTTAAGAACCAGTGGGCTAGCAAAAATGGAAAATGGAATGAATACACACACGCACAAACAGACACACACATACACACACACACGCACGTATATTGTAAAGATAAATTAACAAATCAATCTGCTGAAGACCAAATCCTGTGTTACATGCATTTGTGCTGTTGAAATCTGAAATGTGTGGACTACAAAATGTTGTATTCATTGAGTATTACACTATTATTTTTCTGAAAATAGAAGATAATACTAATTTTGATAAATATAGATTTATGTATTTATAAATGAGATCTCAGGTCCAGAATTTGTTCATTCTTGAATGCACATTTGTGAGCAATATGTTAAGAAACAGAGGAATTGGGCAAAACACAATTCCTTCACCATGCCACATAATAATAAGAGATACCGTTGCTAACTGTTACATTGGGAGGAAAAACCCAACTTCCAGACATGGTTATTCTAGAATATGGGAAGTTTACGATGATATTTGCAGCATACCCATGTAAGGAATGACATACTTTACAATAACGAAAATCCTTGCTTAGAAGTGAATGAGGCAGCTTTAGGAAAATTCCATGCCCTGGGAGATGCGATCGCCTAAATAAGTCTCACACACAGCTTCTGAATTTCTTGTGCATCTCTCAAAAGTGGGTTGGACAGCCTTCCCTAGTTTTTGTGGCTTGTTTTTTCATTTAGCATTCTTTTCCTTATGTGTTACTTTCTTGACTGATTTCCGGGCTCTCTGAGCATTTGGGAGCAGCGTAGCTACGGAAGAGCCCAAGATTGCATACGGAAACTCAGCTTGGACTCACAGGCTGAGGTGCTCACCTGGAGCACATTTGCCTCTAAAATATGCAAACATTAAAGTTGGGGTAAACTCTGAGAAATCCTGGGATAGTTGCAGTTCTCTTTAGTATAGTTTAGAGACAGCTTACTGTGTGTAGAACAGCTGTAAGCACTAAAGGGGATTCGAAGGCAAACAAGACTCTCCCTTGCCTTGAGGAGCAGAGAAGGTCACAAGGAAAACAAAGACACCAGACATCTGACCCCATCAGACATCCTCAGATGGAACAATTCAACCAAAGCTGTGAGAAGCATATCATTCCAAAGACAGGGGCCTGTCTGAGGAGGTAATTTGTAATTTTTAAAAAAGCTTTTGAGCTTACTTGGAGACATTTCCGAGTTGGAGCCCCAAGCCCCTAAAGATCTTGTGTGATAGCTCTCAAAGCTGACTGCCCCTCATTTCCTTCTTTGCTATCCCTGTAGTTGGTGTAGAGTTCCCTAGTGGGACTCAGAAGGCACCAAGGATGCTTCCCGACTGCATTTTCCTCTCCTGATTCCTTCATTTCAGTCTCTACTAGCTTCCTTTTTCCCGCTTCACACCTATGTCCTCTTCCCCTCTTCCCCTCTTCCTTCTGCCATTCACGTTGGCCTTCCTCCTGTTCTGTCCCAACCATGATTTTTCTGTAACCTTTAACTCCAAGGCAGGCTCAAGCTCTAAGAAAGTAAAAAATGAGTCTTTCTCAAAGAGGATTTTGGTAAATTCTTGGCTTTTCCACTGTGCTATGAGTTGAAGATACATTGTAATATGAGAAGTTTTTCTTAAAAGATGAATTCGTTTTTCAAAATTGTGCTTTCAGAAAAGTGAAGTATAATAATACTTGTAATCTACAGTAGAACACTTCATAAGAGCATGTTGGGAGTTTTGTAGCCCTCTGGTGGAGTGGCATAAGAATCCATAATGGAAATATTGATGACCTGGATTTTCACTGTTTTCAAGATGGCAAAATGATAGCTTTTCCTTTTTTCTAAATACTCTTTTATTTGAGGGCCACATTTTGTTCACTGCCATGTGGCTGAGTATCTCATCATTTATTTTTAATACTTAAATTTTTTTCTTTTTTGTGAACTACTGTTTCAATCCAAATTTCAGAGTGGGCCGGGCACGATGGCTCATGCCTGTAATCCCAGCACTTTGGGAGGCCAAGGCAGATGGATCACTTGAGGTCAGGAGTTGGAGACCAGCCTGGCCAGCATGGCAAAACCCCCTCTCTACTAAAAATATGAAAATTAGCTGGGAGTGGTGGTGGGCACCTGTAGTCCCAGCTACTTGGGAGGCTGAGACAAGAGAATTACTTGAACCCAGGAGGCGGAGGTTGCAGTGAGCCGAGATCATGCCACTGTACTCCAGCCTGGGTGACAGAGCAAGACTCTGTCTCAACAAAAAACAAACACAAATTTGAGAGTGAATAAAGTGTATAGTATTTTAAAATCTTTACCAATGCATTTCATTTTTGTTAGGATTTTATTACATGATTAATCACAGAAATTTAAAATTGAGGGGATTGTAAATAAGAAATTGGCGGGCTATGAGTACAGAAAGGCTGCCAGGTTTTCAAAATGCTGTTTTGCTTCTGTGTTATGCAAATGAATAGTCATAAGCTTTTGTATGAAAGCAGTTTAACATGGAGAAAATAGTATTGAATTGAAATCAGACCTAAGTTTTAGTCTGAGTTATGAGACCTTGTCGGTACCTGATTCTCGAAAGGTCACAGCAGCTTATCTGGAAAACTTTTCTTTACATCAGTGAAAAGTGACCTAGTACATAACTTCTGATACATCTTGTAGTTTTGTGGTTTGGGGATTTTGACATCGTTACAAAAATTGGAAAGTCATGCTTTATGGAATCTTTGCTGGGCAGAGGGGGTGTACATTATGATAATTTCTTAAATGTGAGTAGATGAATTAAAACACAAAACTATCTCTATACTGAGAGTTACAGGCATACCTTAGAGATAATGCAGGTTCAGTTCCAGACTACTACAATAAAACGAATATCACAATGAAGCGAGTCATATTTTTGGTTTCCAAGTGCATATAAAAGTTATATTAACATTATGCTGTAGTCTAAGGGTGCAATAGCCTTATGTCTATAAAAAAGCGTATGTCTTAATTAAAAATACTTTATTTCTAAAAACATGTGAACAATCATCTGAACTTTCAGGGAACCATAATCTTTTGGCTGGTAGAGGGTCTTGCCTTCATGTTGGTGGCTGCTGGCTGATCATGTGGTGGTTGCTGAAGTTTGGGGTAGCTGTGGCAATTTCTTAAAACAAGACAATGATGAAGTGTTCCCCATTGATTGATTTGACCTTTCATTAAAGATTTCTCTAGCATGTGATGCCATGTGATAGCATTTTATCCACAGTAAAACTTCTATCAAAATTGTAGGCAATCCTCTCAAATCCTGCTGCTGCTTTATTAATTAAGTTTGTTATTTGTTGTCACTTCAACAATGTTCACAACATCTTCACCAGGAGTAAATTCCATCTCAAGAAACAAGTTTCTTTGCTCATCCATAAGAAGCCACTCCTCATCTGTTTAAGTGTGATCGTGAGATTACAGTAGTTCAGTCACATTTTCAGACTCTACTTCTAACTTGAGTTCATTTCCATACATCTGCAATGACTACCTTCACTGGAGTTTTGAACCTTTCAAAGTCATCTATGAGGGTTGGAATCAACTTCTTCCCATCTTCTGTTAATGTTGATATTTTCACCTTCTCCCATGAATCAAACATGTTCTTAACAACATCCAAAATGGTGAATCCTTTCCAGAAGGTTTTCAACTGACTTTGCCCAGATCCATTAGAGGAATCACTACCTACGGCAGTGACAGTCTTATGAAATGCATTTTTTAAGTAGTAAGACTTGAAAGTCAAAATGACTCCTTGACCTGCAGAATGGATGCTGTGTTAGCAGGCATGAATACAGTGTTAATCTCCTTGTACATCTCCATCAGAGCTCTTGGGTGACCGAGTGCATTGTCAACGAGCAATAATATTCTGAAAGGAATCTTTTTTTCTGAGTAGTACATCTTCACTGTGAGCTTAACATATTCAATAAACCATGGTGTAAACATTGTACCATCATCCAGCCTTCGTCGTTCCATTCCTTGAGCACAGGCCGAGTAGTTCTACCACTATTCTTAATGGCCCTAGGATTTTCAGAATGATAAATGAGAGTTGGCTTCCACTTAAAGTTACCAGCTGCTTTAGCTTCTAATAAGAATATCAGCCTGTCCCACAGCTTCTCCATCAGCACTTGCTGCTTCACCCTACACTTTTATGTTATGGCATCTTTCCCTAAACCACATAAACCAACCTCTGCTAGCTTGCAACTTTTCTTCTGCAGCTTCCTCACCTCTGTCAGCCTTCATAGAACTGAACAGAGTTAGGGCCTTGCTCTGGATTAGGTTTTGGCTTACGGGAATGTTGTGGCTGGTTTCATCTTCTGTCACTAAAACTTTCTCCCTGTCAGCAATAAGCCTCTTTTCACTTTCGTATTATTTGTGTGTTCACTGACTGGAGTAGTGGTTTTAATTTCTTAAAAGAACTTTTCCTTTGCACTCACAATGTGGCTAACTTCTTGGTGCAAGTGACCTAGCTTTTGGCCTATCTTGCTTTTCGACGTGCCTTTCTCACTAAGCTTCATCGTTTCTAGCTTTTGATTTAAAGTGAGAGATGGGTGACTCTTCCTTTCACTTGAATGCCTAGAAGCCATTGCAGGGGTACTAATTGGCCTAGTTTTAATATTTTTATGTCTCATAGAATAGGGAATCCTGAGGAGAGGGAGAGATGAGAGAGAAGAGCCAGTCAGTGGAGCAGTCAGAACACACACAATTATTAAGTGTGCCATCGTATATAAGCATGATTTGTGTACCCCCAAACAAATGTAACAGTGACATCAAAGATCACTGATCACCCACCACATAACAGATATAATAATAATGAAAAAGTTTGAAAGGTGGAATGAATTACCAAAATGTGACACAAAGACATGAGTGAGCACACGCTGTTGGAAAGATGGCACCGACAGACTTACTCGATGTAAGGTTGCCACAAACCTTCCATTTGTAAAAAGCACAGTATATGTGGTGCACAGTGAAGCGAAATGCAGTAAGACGAAGTATGCCTGTACTTGAGAGTAGAGTCTGCTCATTTTTGTATTCCTAGCCTGCTGCAACTCTTGACATGTAGCAAACATTCAAAAGCTGTTGACTGAATGAAAAACAGTTTCTGAGATTGCATATAAAAATTAAAAATTGGCCAGACCCGGTGGCTCAGGCCTGAAATCTCAGCATTTTGGGAGGCCAAGGCAGGCAGATCACTTGAGCTTAGGAATTCGAGGCTATCCTGGGCAACATGGTGAAAACCCATCTCTACAAAAAATAAAAAAATTAGCCGGGTGTGGTGGTCCATGCCTGCAATCCCAGCTACTTGGGGGGCTGAGGCAGAAGAATAGCTTGAACCTTGGAGGCGGAGGTTACGCTGAACTGAGATCATGCCACAGCACTCCAACTCCAACCTGGGTGACAGCCAGACCCAGCCTTAAAAAAAAAAAAAATTAAAAATTGCATTCAGAGTAGATTTGTTAAATGAAGTTCATCTTATATCAAAAATTGTCTACTTAATAAACTTATATCTGATTTTGTTAGCATAGACCACTTGCCTAATAGGTCTTGGTAATAGTTTAGGTTACATGTGATTACTAAATTTCTGAAAAAGGAGGTTATTATTAATCATGTAATTTTAGTGAGAGAAAAACTTTATTTTCCTAACAGATAGGAACATATTGTTCTAATCAATATGAGAAGTTTTAATGTTTCAGAATTGCTTGTTTTTGATTTTCTATAACTTGAACAAAAAATTGAGGAAAAGAGATTAGCCTAATAACTCCTGCCTTATATGTTGCTGTAATTTCAAATGTGTATGAAACTATTTAAAAATATTTCAAATATCTTTGGACTTGGAAATCATTAGGTTGCATTTTATTTTTTTCTCTTGAAAAATTACTGCAAAACTAGGTTGTAGCAAGCTAAGTTTCATCATTATTGTCTAGCAAGCTTTATGTGCCAAGTTATGAACTCCCAGATATTAGAGTTTAAAATAGCAGTGATGCCACTATAATATTAATGATAAATGTATGCCATATGTTTGAAACATTTAAAAATGATCATAGCCTTAAAGCCAAAAGGAGCTGGAAAATATCAATGGTATAGGAACTGTCCTATTTGGTTCTGAATTATATATAGCAGAGAGAGATAGAGATAAATTGCATAATAAATCAAAGTTCACATGGTATATTGTTTATTTTTTAAAAAAAACTACAAAAACTTTCTGTTTATGCAACATGTCAGCTATTTGAAAAAAAGATGAATAGTTTCTGATTCAGGTTTGTTTCAAGAATGAATATTTAGCACCCAATGGTATCATACTGAATGTAGGAAAATAATTACAGTGTATGTTTAACCAGGAAGAATTCTAGGAAAGCATTGACTTTTTATACTTTGAATGTGCTTTTATTCTCTGATGAATTTGTACCTTTTGTGTCTTTTTGATTTATAAAAGTCAGATGTTTTAACCTCCCTTTCAAAAACTGTAGCAGCAATATCATTCAGTAGTGTATGTAAGATTATATTAAGTCAATAATTAACAGGAAATGTTTCTTCCTGGTAATTCTGTTGTATTAAAACATGATGATTGTCAGAGAATTACAAACATTGGGAAATGCTTTTTGATGAATGGACAGAAATTAGTTACAGAATCCACTGGTAACCAGAACAAAAAAACAGACAGACTTTCCTAATATTTTAATATTCGAAGCAAGTTCCTATGTGAGGAGGTTTCAGAGGTTTGCATATTTTTTGCAGACATGATTTACTATAGAAATAGTGTGTTATGCTCTCTTTAAAATTTTACAACTAATTGATTTAATTAATAGTCTATAAGCCCTGGAGTACTCTGTCCTCATTTTGGACAGTAGTCTCTTCCTTTGCCTTTGAGGTGCAGATGCCGTTTAGCCATCTATGACTTATCCTATACACTGCACATCAGCATGCCCCTAACCAAAAGAATCACAGGACTACTGAACTGCTTATACAGGTTTCTAATACAGAACTTGAAAAGCTGCAGTATCTCACATTACAGGTGGAAGAGCCTTGGTACGGTTATCACTGTGGTAGCTATTTACTTCTAATGTGAGATGCATGTGTGCCAAATAACTTATTCCTGGAATGATTTTGAAAATAGTACCATAGATTATTCATGAATGCATTCATTCATTAATTCAACAACATTTATTGCAAAATAACTCCCAAGGAGCTAAGTAAATGTTTGTGTCTGTTGTGCCTCATTTTAACATGTGGGTCCAGTTAGTCCCCTGCTTCTGCTAACGTCCTGACGTTTTCACTCACGGTCTTGTCTAGTGGGCTCCATCAACTCATTTGTTGCTTACCTGGTCCAGGAGTCTATTAATCTCCACACCTGATCTTTAGAGATAAGTCAGAGGCTAAATGGAGATTCTTGAAATGAGATAAGGAAATGATTAAAACTTAAAGAGAATAGGAGCAAGGAAGAAATTTTAGGATGGAGTGGAGATGAAGAGGGCCTTAGGGACAGCTGGAAGAGCCAGATGGGAGGATGGAGAGCTAGCAGCGATGGCGGGATTTGAAGTGGTGTGTCAGGGATTCCATGGAGAGAATATGCAAGGGAAACATATGGAATATCATGGTCATAACCATTCACCAGACTCGTTGGTTTCTTCACTGGTCCATTTCATGTGACTCGTAGGTTGATATGAAAAAGGAAACAAACATTGAGGAAAAGCATGGTATCTTTGCAGATATTTTAGTATTGTAGATATGTCCTAAGAATACTGTATTTTTTTTCTCTGATACTTACGCAAAGATTTTTTTATATCCAGGAACCAATGAAAAACTGTAATTCAGTTGATGTGTTTGAAAAATATTGATTGACATAATTTAAAATGTAGATGGTAAAGGCAAAATACTTGTATAAGGTTATACCAAAAATGTTTTTGACAAAGTTTTTGTTGTACTTTTCTAGAATTTGAAGGGTTTTCATAAAGTGAAATACCTATTCTGTGGATTTTTAGAACGGGCAGAGTTGCTATTCTGTCCTTTCCTGAAAATGTTACCATTAAAAAAATTTGTACAAAATTATTCTCCATTTCCTCAATGTTATATTGACCAAATAAAAACTGAAATTTGTGCAGAGAATTTTTTTAGGAAGCATACCTACTTGTTTCAAAAGGAAACAAAATAAAATGGAAGCGGTGTTTAAATGATTTTTATTCATAGTGTTAAAATGGTTATAGGAAAAATTCACATTTTTCCTTAACACATTGTAACAAGCAATTAACTTTTTGGCATAGTGATAAATCTGCTTCTCTAAGAAGGTGTTTTGTGTTTTAATAAGTGGCAATACATGCTGGTATGTTCATTTTTATTGAATAGTTGAGTGGAAAAAGTAAATTTAATTCATAAGGTTGCCTTGGGCTTATTGAGATTTTACATACAACATCCCAATGGGATGACATCATATTCAATAGAGTATTATTTTTAAAAAAATCATTAGCAACAAACCATCTTAAAGTATCCTAGTATTTGTAAAACGTTATCATTTTTTTATCTACTCAGTCTCCTAAAATAAAATCATAAATTCTTTAGTAATGTTGAATCAATAGTATTTGAGTCTGGTTTTAAAACAACAACAACAAAAAAAATCAAAAGTTACTTATCCAGAGGCAGGAATTTAAAAATGCTTGCTATCATTTGTATATCCATGTATTTATAAATTTTCTTGTTCATCCATTCAATTTTATTACATACCTGTTCTATTTTAAGAGGAAATAGATAGGTCTTAAGATTATCCATCTAGAAATATATAAACATAGTTGTGATTTATACACTATTAGTGAAGTCAAATACTGCCTGCTTAGCAAATTATGCCAGAGAACAACCAAAAAAACTAGCTATATAAGTTTTCAAAAAATAATTTTTATTGTGGTAAAGATACATAACATAAAATTAGCCATTTAACCTTTTTATGTATACAGTGGCAATAACTACATTCACAGTGTTGTGCAGCCATCACCACTATTTTCAAAAGTTTTCATGACTCCCAAACAAACTCTGTACCCATTAAACAATAGCCCCTCCCTGCTTATCCCTCCTTTCCCTACCCTCTGGTAACTTCTAATCTACTTTTTCTCTCTATGAATGTGCCTGTTCTAGTTATTTCACATAAGTGGGCTCATAAAATATTTGTCCTTTTGTATTTGGCATGTTTCACTTAGCATGAATTACTTATTTCTTACGTGTTGTAGCATGTATCAAAAATTCATTCCTTTATGTGGCTGAATAATATTCTACTGTACGTAAATGCCACATTTGTTTATCTATTTATCTGTTGATGGACACTTGGGTTCTTTCCACCTTTTGGCTATTTTGAATAATACTGCATGAATGTTGGCGTACAAATATCTCCTTGAGTCTCTGATTTCCATTATTTTGAAGATATACCTGGGAGTGGAATTACTGGGTCAAATGGTAATTCTGTGCTGAAGTTTTTGAAGAACCACAAAATTATTTTTCATAGGAGTTGTATTATTTTATATTTCTACCAGCAATGTATGGGGGTTTCAGTTTCTCCATATCCTTGCCAAGACTTGTTATTTTTCTTTTTTCTTTTAAATCATAGCCATCCTAATGGGTGTGAAGTGAGATCTAATTCTGGTTTGCATTTCCTTAATGACTAATGATACTTAGCATCTTTTTCATGGGCTTACTGGCTATTTGTATATCTCCTTTGTAGAAGTGTCTATCCAGATTCTTTATTTTTTAATTAGGCTGTTTATCTTTTTATTATTATTATTATTATTATTATTATTATTATTATTATCTTTGAGACAGAGTCTTGCTCTGTTGCCAGGCTGGAGTGCAGTGGCGCAGTCTCGACTCGGTGCAACCTCCACGTCCCAGGTTCATGCCATTCTCCTGTCTCAGCCTCCCAAGTAGCTGGGACCACAGATGCCTGCCACCATGTCCGGCTAATTTTTTGTATTTTTAGTAGAGACAGGGTTTCGCCATGTTGGCCAGGATGGTCTTGATCTCTTGACCTCGTGATTCACCTGCCTCGGCCTCCCAAAGAGCTGGGTATCTTTTTATTATTTAGTTTTAGTTCCTTATATATGCTCAATATTATAGTCTTATCTAATATGTGATTTGCAAATATTTTCTCCCATTCTGTATGTTGTCCTTTCATTTTCATGATAGCATCCTATAATGTAAAAAAAAAGATTTACATATTAATGATGTTCAATTTATCTTTTGTTTGCATCTGTTGCTCATACTTTTGTTGTCATATCCAAGAATCCACTGCCAAATCCAAGGTCCTAAAGATTTCCCCTGTTTTTCTTTTAAGAATTTTATAGTTTTAGCATTGATCCATTTTACATTCAATTTTGTAATTGCTATGACGTAGAGGTCCAACTTCATTGTTTTGCATGTGGAAATTCAGTTGCTCCAGCACAGTTTGTTAAAGAAACTAGTCTTTCTCTATTGAGTGGACTTGTACCCTTGTTGAAAATCAATTGACCATAGATGTATGGGTTTATTTCTGAACTTTCAGTTCTAATCCATTGGTCTATATGTCTATCCTTATGCAAATGCTACAATGTTATGATGATTGTACCTTTGGTGTAAGTTTCAAAATCAGGATGTGCAACTCCTTCAAATGTGTTCTTTTTCAAGACTGCTTTGGCTATTGGGAGCCCCTTACACTTCCATATGAATTTGAGTATCAGCTTTTTCATTTCTCCAAGAGAAGGATGTTGGAATTTTGATAGGCATTGAAGTGAATTTTTTTTGTTTTTTTTTTTTTGGAGACAGAGTCTTGCTCTGTCGCCAGGTTGGAGTGCAGTGGTGCGATCTCAGCTCACTGCAACCTCTGCCTCCTGGGTTCAAGTGATGCTTTTGCCTCAGCCTCCCGAGTGGCTGGGACTACAGGTGCACACCACCACACCCAGCAAATTTTTGTATTTTTAGCACAGATGGAGTTTCACCATGTTGGCCAGGATGGTCTCGATCTCTTGACCTCGTGATCTGCCTGCCTCGGCCTCCCAAAATGCTGGGATCACAGGCATGAGCCACCGCACCCGGCCGAAGTGAATCTTTACATTGCTTTGGGTAGTACTGATATCTTAACGATATTAAGCCTTCTAATTCATGAACATGGAATGTCTTTCCATTTATTTTTAATAATATAAATTTCTCAGGAATTTGAATTTGACTTCTTTCAGCAATATTTTATAGTTTTCAATGTACAAGTATGTACTTGGCTAAATTTATTTCTAGGTATTCTTTTAGATGCTGTTATAAATGGAATTGCTTTATTTTCCTTTTTTGCAGTGTTCATTCCCAGTCTAGAGAAATGCAACTGATTTTTTGTCTGTAGATCTTGTAACCCTGAACTTTGCTGAATTAATTTAGATGCTCTAGTAGTTTTCTTATGGATTCTTTGGGATTTTCTATATAGGATCATGTCATCTGTGAACAAAGATAGTTTTACTCCTTTCCTTCCAATTTGATATATTGTATTCTTTTTCTTTTCAAACTGATCTATCAGTAACTTCCAGTACAATGTTGAATAGCATTGGTAAAAGTAGGCATACTGTCTTGTTTCTCATGTTAGGAGAAAGCTTTCAGTCTTCCCATTGAGTGTGATGCTAGCTGCACATTTTTTGCAAATGTCTTTTTTCGTGTTGTAGAAAATCCTTTTTTAGTCCAGTTTATCTGAATTTTTAAATAATGATGTTTACTTTTGTCAAATACCTTTTTTAAAAAAAAATCAGTTAACTTGATCACGTGTGTTTTTTTTCCCTTTGCTCTCCCAATGTGGTGTATTACATTTTTGAAGCACCTTTAAATTACTGGGATAAATCCTACTTGGTCTAATTATGTTAATATGATGTTGGAGTTGGTTTGCTAGAGGAAGCTATATGAGTCTTGTATATTGCTAGACTACCATTCAAGATTGTTTTGGATGCCTCCTTTGGCAAGGCTTTTCTCTATGAGAAATGACAAAACATTTGAGTCTGAACTATTTGAGTGCATCAAAATATTTGTGTACTTAAATTTTTAGAACTAGTCTCTAAGGAAAACAAAAACAATTTTATCTATAATGTTAGAGATACTTAAGGAGTTTCTACTAGGTGTTAGGTGATGGGCTAAGTGTTTTTACTATGTTATTTCATTTAAAAAGTAACAACTGTTAATAAATAAAAGGCAACAACTCATATTATCCTCATTTTACAAATGAGGATATGGAAGCTTAGAGCTAGTAAATTGTAAAGCAAGGGGTTTTAGTCCCTTTCTTCTTGACTTCAGCCTCTTACTCCTAAATCTATATTATTATGTCTGATCTGAATCATAAGTCTGTTTACAACACTGCAAAGGAGGAATAATAGTGGCTACAACTAAAGAATACCATACGATGGGGTCATTTTTATATTTTTACATTCCCCAATTCAGAACTCTTGAAACACAGTAAAGAGTGGAGGAATGGATGGGAAAAATATTAAAGGAAATCCAAGAAGGGCATGAAGAAAATCTTTTAAATTCTAAATGCACATGAATCAGTCTTTGTCATTTCTAAATATCTGAGGCATTTTAGAGGTCACCAAGATTTTTCAGAAAAACAACGTGATTCTTCTATGTAAATATTATGATAGAACAGGTGTGTTGGCTAGCGATAAGATATTCTGCCAAGCAACAAATAATTGCACATGAATCCCAGGAAGATGTTTGCCCTCGGGTATATTTGAATGTAATTTTTAAAATGGCATTCTATTTTTTCTCAGCATCAGAAATAGCTGCATATCCCTATTTTGAATGGTAAGGATGACACTATTTTAACCCAATATATTTTATTTTTAATGTTCTAAAATGTTACTGTGAAATGTGTCTTAAGATACCTCCTTTCCTACCCCAACTCTCGTACCTGGCTAAAGCCTTAAATTTTTTTGTTTTTTATTTTTCTTATCGTATCTCCATTAAGAAGTCTTCTCAGGTTTTCCAAGCCTTGGTTCGCCACTTCTGAATTCTCCCATAGCATCCTATACTTACCTGTCTGTGGCACTATCACTGCACCATTCTGTTAAATAAGAGAAGAAGGAAAGCATCATTTTACCCGAGATTTGCGTTTTTTATTAGCAATGTGGTTAATCCTTGTAGTTAATAAGAAAGCACATGTTCTTAATGTTGCAAATAATCGTTCATGATTTAATACTTAAGTAAAAGACAGGGTAGGCTGGGCACGGTGGCTCAGACCTGTAATCCCAGCACTTTGGGAGGCCGAGGCAGGCGGATCATGAGGTCAGGAGATCGAGACCATCCTGGCTAACACGGTGAAACCCCATCTGTATTAAAAATACAAAAAATTAGCTGGGCGTGGTGGTGGGCGCCTGTAATCCCAGCTACTCAGGAGGCTGAGGCAGGAGAATGGCATGAACCCTGGAGGCGGAGCTTGCAGTGAGCAGAGATCGTGCCACTGCACTCCAGCCTGGGCGACAGAGCGAGACACTGTCTCCAAGAAAAAAAAAAAAAAAAAAAAAAAGACACGGTAGGGGTGGTGAAATGTTTTATGGAATTCAGTAGTGATGACAGATTGAATAGGGAGGTATGAACATATAGCTATATAATTAAGGCTGGGAAGTTTCATGTCCTGATCAGCAGGTCCATCATAAAGAAATGTTGTATGTACCTCATGTTTTCCCACCACTCTGATTTCATGAAGAGTCACTAGAGCACTCCCCAGTGAAGGATTATCTGATGTTACTGCTTCAATTTTTGACTTCACCTCATATGGCATTTATGTTTTTATGAATGAGGAGAGATACCATTGGAGGAGGTGGTGATTTTAAACTGGACAGCTGGGGAACCAAATTAGATAAATCTGAAACTCCGTGCTTAAAGATGACAAGGCCGTTAGTATGAATGAGTAGATGTATAATAGAAGTATTGTGCAGTTGTGTATATTTGTGGAAGGAAAAGAGGAAGGAGGGGATCAGGCAGAGTGAGGAGGTATTTGTGGAGTTATTCACATGAATATTGAAATCTTCCATAATAAGAATTGTGCACTAAAAGAAGAAAGTGATGTCAGATAATCAGATTGTATGGGTTCAAATATGAAGAACAGGCATAAAACTGGGAAAGGGACTGTCTCAATTTTGCATAGTGAGATAGTGGGACAATGAGTCCCTCCCATGTGATAATTTACTGTCTTTTGGTTCAGGGAGAATTTTGCTGTGATTTCATATCTGTGCAGTATAACTGGAAGAAATTGTTAATGTAATTTCAAATATTATCTTTGAAAAATTTAGTAGTTGGGTAGATGATGCCCCATAATGCTTTTATGTTACCTAATTGGTAACTTGTTAACATTTTTATTTAATATCAGTGAAGAAAAAATTAAAATTAAATGGCTGCTATAAAATGTGATTAGTAATTCAAGTGACAAAAGTGGAATGTCTCTCATCTGGGCTCATGCATATTTTTCTCCAGCTTCCTCCTTAGCAATATGCCCCTTCCTACTTTCTGTCAGCCAGTTTTTACTGCATGTAAATAAATGCATGTAAATGGCAAGCAAACAACCCTTTAGAAATGCTTTTCTGTCTGAAACCACTGCTTTCCACATATTTTGACAGATACACAGACAGTAAGGTGTACAGTGCTTTTCACTTTTCTCCTTGTTTCTCCGTGGTTCTTTGCTGGCTACCCCACATATATATGATTTTTTCTCCAAGTATTATAGTATAGTACATTATTTAATGACAGGATCTTTCTTTTTGAAATCTTCCTCCTTCCCCTAGATACCAGGCTGTATGCAGAGCAGTCAATAGGTAATCAATAAATGATTGACGAGTGAAAAATCAATTGAATGAATAAACCATATGGAATCTTTTAAAGAAGATGGCAATTGTGTGTTAGGTATATATTTTAAATGTATGGCCTGTGCATTTAAATGTAATAGTTTAATATTAAAAATGCATTTTATATTTTTTTCTGGATGTTCAACAAACATAGTAGTATGAAATACATAAGTAGTTTGGAATTTTGAACGCTTTTCTCCATGGCACCTCTCTATTGCCTTTGTTTTCTATTGTATTTCTTCAGTTATGTCAAATTAAGCAATATCTCATAGCATAATTTATTTTATAGGTGGTTTAAATAAAGTGCATTATTTTAACCCCTAAAACAAACTTAAAGGTTGTAACAAATAAAACAAGTG
Source organism: Homo sapiens (assembly GCF_000001405.40). Lineage (NCBI taxonomy): Eukaryota > Metazoa > Chordata > Mammalia > Primates > Hominidae > Homo > Homo sapiens. The sequence goes on from NC_000014.9 coordinate 33,182,500, forward strand.
CAGCAGTAAAATGCATGAAAGTATAGTTGTATTACTTGATAATAATTACCATTTGCTAGTACAATTTTATTATTATAATCACATTTATTTTTCTTGCCTTTAAATTTGACTCTGTCAAGGGTGTGATTATTGTCAACATATTTTTTCACTCTAGGTTCCAAATTTTTTCCTTTATACTCAACCTGTGATTGTCCACATGGGGTTCTGGTTCTGCCCAGCCGGTCCTTCATCATTTCTCTCTACTCTTTCACACCAGCATGTGGGCTGGCTGAAACCTCCCCATCATTAAAACAACCTCTTTACCCTATGTCCCCTATTCCTTCATAACCAATTTTTTGGAAACAGCAATGAATGCTGAAAATTTCCACTTCTTTATAGTACCCAGGCTTCGTTCCCACTGTCTCTCATGCTCTGCCTTCAGGGAAATTCTTCTGGCAGTGACATTGAATTGTCAACAGCCAGTGGCCTTTCTTCTCATCTATTGGCTTTGTGGACAACTCCCTTCTTCAAGAAAATATCTCTTCCTTGGACTCTTGTCACGCCTTTCTTTGGGTATCCTTCCACCTTCCTTTAAGTTGCCTTAAGGGCTCATATTTTTGCCACTACTTCTTTAACTCTCGATGTACCTTAGAAATCCATTCTTGGGCTGGGTGCGGTGGCTCATGCCTGTAATCCCAGCACTTTTGGAGGCCGAGGCAGGCGGATCACTTGAGGTCAGGAGTTCAAGAACAGCCTGGCCAACATGGTGAAACCCCGTCTCTACGAAAAATAGAAAAATTAACTGGGCATGGTGGTGGGCGCCTGTAATCCCAGCTACTTGGGGGGCTGAGGCAGGAGAATTGCTGGAGCCTGGGAGGCGGAGGTTGCAGTGAGCTGAGATTACACCAGTGCACTCCAGCCTGGGCGACAGAGTGAGACTCTGTTTTTTTTTTTTTTTTTTTTTTTTTTTTTTTTTTTTGAAACAATCTGTTCTTGGATTTTTCATGTCTTGCTCTGTGTTCTCTGTGCTGGCCCATCTAATCTAAGCCCAGGGCTTAAATGCTGTCCTGTGCAGGTGTTCTTCTCCATCACGCCTGTGTCTGCCTAGACAGACCCACATCTCCCAACTGAAATGTTGCATAGTGTCCTGGTCATTCCCTCTCTTCCACTTCCCTGGTAACCTTGTAATTGTAGTCTTCATGGAATTCAGAGTGACCTTCTAAAGTCATATCTCTCCATTGCTTATGATCCTTTCAAGACCTGTCATTGCCTAAATATGAAGGCCAAATCTGTTGGACGACTTTTAAGGGAATTTCATTGTCTGATCCTTGCTGAACTCTCATTTGCTTTTCTCCACTCCTCCTATCTGCAAGCCATATTCATGTGCCCCATAAATTGCCATACTGCTTAATGGCTTCTCATTTTCCTCGTGATGCCCCTTTTGTTCCAAGACACCCAACTTAGGACAGCCAGTATCCCTGAAAACTCTCATTTGTAATGACTTGTCTGAAGGACCACTTATCTAGTGAAACCTTCCTTGATCTGACCTGAGGTAAGATTGTCCATAATTTCTCCTTCGTAGCATGGCAGTACCCTGAGCTATAGTTCCTGCCATCTGTGCCAGTTTATACCGTAGTCAGGAACGAAGTCAAACACGCACTTTGAGCTTTCTGTGATTGGTCCTTGAATAGGGAGGGGCACGATGCCACAGAGCCTCCTGGGAGAACACAGGATGCAGACTCCAGAGAAAGCGACTGCTAAGGGGAGATTTTAAGGATAGGCAGGTCTTATTTTGGAAAGGGGGAAGCGGCAGAGGGAGATGATGCTAGCAGGAGAGGCCCTGGAGAGGAGAGTGAGAGAAGGGCTGACCAATCTCCTTAGGTGTGCCTGGAGTATCAGTTCAAGGAGCGTAATGGAGAAGGGAGCAGGAGCTGGTTCATACGAGGCCTTTACAACATGTTGATGAGTTTGGAGCTTATGGTAAAGGCAATGGGAAGCCATACAAGTTTCTGAGTAGGAGAGAGACTTGGGAAGGGTACACTGTAGACAGATCTCTCTGATTACAGTGAAGAGAAAGGATTAGAGCGGGGCCAGTGAAATGGGGTGACAAAGGAGTTAGGGGGTTATTGCAGTAGTTCAGAAAAGATGATAGTGGCTGAGAGTAGGTAGTAGCACAGATGGAAAGAAATTGGGTTCTAGAAATTCTTAGGAGGGATAAGAGAACCTGTAAGTAACTGGATATCTGAGATTGTTAGGGGAAGAAGAAATACAGGATGCTGCCCGGTGTTCTGATGTGGACAGTGGGTGGTGCCATTTAACAAGGATAGGCACCAGTGGGGAGAGTCAAGCTTTCTCAGGAAGATGGAGATCTGTTTGGTGCTTCACGTTCCTGTGTAACATGAACATAGGGAAGGCCAATAGGCAGCCTGAAACCTAGAAGAAAGTCTTATCTGCCTATCTTCTTTTTTTAAATCATGTCTTATTCATCCTCAAATGTCTTGTGACTGTTATCCAGTTGGCTTTAAGAACTCTTTCAGTGAATGAATGAATGAATGAATGAAACAGGAATACTCCCTGGGGTGATCCAATCCTCTCCACTCTTGTCCACAAAGGGCTTATTTGGATCATTTAGCCAATCAAGATTATCCTGCTAGCCTTTTCAGGATTCTTATCGTGAATGCTTCTAGTACAGTGGAAGAACCAGAAACAAAAGTACATTCTAGAATACAGAAAAAAATGTAAGGACCATTTTCCTCCTCAGTATGAATACCTATTTTCTTATCCCATATTTGTGGCGTTATCTGCCTTTTTTCTCCTTGAGAGTCAGGATGTTTGTGATTTTAATGAAGGTTTCACATAGAGAGCCAGATCCTATTTTGTGTTATCCATGCTAATGTTCAGATAATGAAAAATGGCTATAGTTTTAAAGTCTAAGTAGTTCAAATTTCTGCAGGGTACACTTACCACATAATGAGAAACCGAATCATGCTTTCCAAAGTGGATCCTATCAAATATCATTTCCTCCTATATTTATATTCAGTTTGGAGTTAATCTGGCATTATCCCTAGGTATTATATAGGAATGGTGGTAAGGATTCTTGTTATTCTTGCAAAATAGTGTTGCCTAAAATTTAGCTAATGTGTTCTTGAATGAATGGAGAATTTCTTGGAAAATCACAGGAACACACACACACAGACTCCTTACACTCACTCTCATGTAAGGAGTTTAGTGGACCTTATTGTAATACTGGCCAAGGAAAATCTTCAGAAGAGAGCCACTCGGGAACTGAAGATGTTCTTTTTGGTTCCTTTGGCAGTAAGGGAACCTGTGAGTCAAGGTTAAGACTTTGAGAGCTAAATAATACAACTGACTAGGCTTTTTTTCCCCTACCAGTAAGCAATCCCCAAGGTCACGGACTCTTGTCTTCAAAAATTCTAGAGACCTGAAGTGATTAAGAATTGAACTTTCTTCTGTTTATCATATACCACAAGGGAAGAAATCAAGTGAATCTGAGCTCTGATGAGAAATGCTTGGGTCTCAGTCAAGGTAGTTGCAATCAGAATATAATTCAAGATGCTGGGTTAGGAGATCACTGATTTCTGCAAAAAGACAAGTAGACTCCCCCCCACCCACAAGTCACTCTTGATCTTCATTTTTAACTTTGCTTTGCAAATTAAGCCTTTAAAAAAGCATCCTTGATTGAGGTGAACCATGCATACTTTTAAGTTACATTTTGTTTAACTCTATCTCTGCAGTATAAGTACACTCTGGTTGTGCCTGTGCACTTGGAGACCTGTTTGGTTGAAAATACTGAAATAATTTTGTAAAACATTATCTTATAGTGTTGAGGGCTGTAATGATTTTATTGTAGAGATGGTCTGGTCACCAACAGTGAAATAATACAACTTAAGTATTTTTTAAAGTGAATCTTTTTGCATAGATACACTCAATTATCGTCTCTGTGCTGGTGACTCAATTATTTTACCCTGCCACCAGATTTCATTTCTGAGCTTTAGTTTGAATATCCAAATGATCTCCTGACATCAGGACCACTGCCATGTCATGATGATAGCTCAAGTTCTGCCAGTTTCAATCTGAACGCATGATTTTCCCTCGAGTCTGATCTACCTCCAGTGTTTTCTGTCTCAGTGCATGGTATCACCGCTTGTTCAGCTGTATAATCAGAAACCCTGGATAGGGCTGTATCCTTGCTACTGTTCACTCCCTTATCCCACACCTAATTCATCAGCAAGCCTTGTTGAATTTTTTTGTTTAGTGTGTCCAGAATCTGTCTCCTGTTCTGCAACTCCCCTGAGATCACTCTAGTGCAGTGTTTCCCAGCTAGGGATGGTTTTGTCCCTAGGGAATATTTAGTCATCTCTGGAGCCATTTTTGGCTGCTACAACTGGGGAATTGCTACTGGCATCTAGTGGGTAGAAGCCTGGCATGCTGCTAAACATCCTCCAATACACAGAAATGCTCCCACAACAGAGTTAAACAGCCTAATATGTCAATTGAGACAAGGTTGAGAACTCCTGCTCTAGTCTAAACCAGCATCCTGGATTTCCTTATTCCTGAATTACCACAACACCCTTTGAACTGGTCTTCCTCCACCTAGTACTTAAACAATGCAAATCCACCTTCTGTGCCCTTTGGGGCTTCTTACTACCATTAGAATAAAGAGCATCCTTTCTCAGAATGGTCTGTAAGGCCTTATAGGGTCTTGCCTGTGGCCACTTTTCCAATGTCAATCAATCTTGTTGCTTTCTGACTTTCTCCATTCCACAGCTGTATTGGCTTAGTTCTCATCTTTGTCTGTACCTTGTTCTTCATGCCCATGGGGTTTCATGCACACTACCCTCACCTGAAATGCTCTTCTCCACACCTTTATGTAGGTAATTTCTCTTGATCATTCTTTAGTTGTAACTGGAAGATTATTGTGCATGAGGAGTGCTTTTTGAACCCTGCTCCAGAGTAATCTTCTAATGCAAATTCTGATAGCTCTGGACTTAAAAAAAATTATGTAGGTTTGTTGTATACTTGTTTCCCTTTTTAAAAATTCAGATAATTCTGCCAGGTCTGGTGATGCCTGCCTGTAGTCCCAGCTACTCAGGAAGCTGAGACAGGTTGATTGTTGAAGCCCGGAGTTTGAGACTATAGTGTGCAGTGATGGCACCTGTGAATAGCCACTGCACTGCAACCTGGGCAACATAGTGAGAACCTGTCTAAGGGAAGGAATGAATATTTTAAAATAATTTTAATTAGTATTTATTAAATTAAGAGATTATTAAATTAATATCTATTAAATATTTATGCTGGGCAGTTTTCTAGGTGCTTTATATATTTTTAATCATCACGGCAACTATATATGATGGATGTTGTTACTTCTTCTTGTTACCTTATTTAGTAGAATCTAAGATATATTTTCTCTAACATCTCTGAAATTAGGATGCCTTACTTTCAATTGCATCTTAAATTTGGCAGAACATGATATTAATTCCATTTTGCAAATGCAAAAGCTGAAGCACAGAGAGGTTAAGTAACTTGCCTATGATTACATAGCTAACCAAGTGATGGTGTGAGGACTGAAATCCAGGCAGTCTGATGCCATGGACCATATCAATTCCAATTCAGTGCCTCCCTGCATCCTAATGTCGCTGTGAGGATTACTGAGATAATGCATCAAGCATGTTAGCTCATTGACATATAGTAAGTACTGAATAAATGTCAGTTATGACTATTATTAGTATCTTTATTATTTCTCTTATTGTGTCATTCTTTAATGCTGTCTCTTCCACAGAAAGGAAGATTTCAGAAGGTCACGGCCTCTGTCTCTTCTGCTTCTCACTGTATGAGTTTTTCTTATCACTGACCTGGGTAATAAGTGTTTTTTGAATGAATAAATGAATGCTTGAATGAAGACAGGGACTATTAAAGAGAATTGGAGTCCTATTATTTGAAGACACAAATGTCCATCTTGAGTGATTGCTTTGTGCCTCTCTTATAGCACTTACCGTGTGGTGTGTTGTAACATTTATTTGTGTAATTGTCTTTTATTTCCTTACCAGATTATAAACTTCCTACACATGTGGCATTGCATCCCCAGTACCTACCAGATTTTCATTGTATAGAAGACAGTCAGTACATGTCAGACCTATTGACTCTTGAATCACCCTAGAGCTTCAGCTCAGTTCAGGACTTAGTATTGTTACAGGAGAAGATTATATCTGCAACTTTTTTAATACCGTAAAACTTTTTTACATTGAAATGCTATCATTTCCCAATCTTCAGGAAGCGATAAGATGAATATTCCTGTATATCTTTACAGAATTACTGTGGGTTATGATAAAAACAGTCATCATACTCAACTGAAAAATATAGATATTTGGGGTTACTTTGTCTTTTCCTTTCTGGTTTAATTTGTGTTAAGATAAAATTTAAATAAGTCAGTGGTAATTTTTCAGAGATTTTGAGACAGATTGTTCCTCAATAGCCTTTATTTGCTTGCCTTAAAAATTAAAGAATGAGAAAACAGGATTTTAAGTATTGGAAGTTGTTTATCTGAATTATTCACAGTGTTGCACAATAATGAATTTATCGCCTTTCCAATTGGCTACACTTATTGGAAGGCTGAAGAATGAATCTTTTTATGCCAAGGAGAATGTTAGGTCATAGGCCTAAACAATTTACCTGGCTTCTCCCTTTTGGACCCAGTTTCATGTCTTTGGCAGCTGAATGCAAAGGATATTGTGTTCTGCCCTATCGGTGCCAAAAGTTCACAGAAGAGAGCATTTTTGGCAGACAGAGCTTGTTTTAAGGACAAAGGTGTTTGAATTTCACACTCTGTTTTCAGAGACTTGTTCATACGCTATAGGTGAGAGGTTCACAAAATCATGCATTGTGTACTAAGCACTTGGGGATATAGTGCATGTTTCACCTTGATTGGGCTGCTCAGAAAGCCCCATGGCGGCCTTTGTTACCTGGACTATGCACTGAGTAAGTCCCACGAGGGAGCACTAAGTGGAATGGAAATTAATTATTGTTGTGTAGCTTCAGAATTCAAATACCTTAGAACACAAAAGAAGGATATTTTACTAAGTGCAGTGACCTTTTGGACTGTAGGCACAATAGGCACAATATCTGAGATAAGAAGTCATGTTAGTGACAAAAAGCCTAAAGCCATTAGAGTATAGCAGGATTCTGTCATATATGGTCAACTTTTATACATTTAAAAATGTGTCATCCCTTTGTAACGTTCATATGAATTAGTTTATAGATCTAAATACTTGGAGGGGTATTATAAATCCATGTAATTCCCCAAACATTAGATTTAACATGTAGAATTCTGTTATAAAGATAAGCAAAAAAGGAATACAAATGCAACTTTTTCATTATCGATACATATAAGTGTGTTCATGAGTCTATATTGTTTTGGTCATTGTCAAATAGCCAAACCCAAACATTTTCTTCTCACAATCGGATGAGGGATTTGCCTCCTTTGAGCTAAAAGTTGATGCTACTCTGCATTAGTTGTTTTTTAATGTGTATATTCTTTTACCCTTTAATTCCATCTCTACTGACACACTCCTATAATACATCAAGAAAATGCATAGAAATACTTATTTCAGTATTATTGTAATATTAAAAGTTTAAAAACAGCTGAAAATACTTTTCCCTATACATCTGGACAGATAAATTACAATATTCATCCAATGAAATATTGTCTAATGCTGAAACAGATTGAGTTAGATCTGTATGTGCTAATGATGCCTGAAGTTCAAGACATGTATTGGCAAGTTTCAGAACAGTATCAAGAAGATGACTTTATTCTTGTAAATAAGGTGAGGTTTATATGTAGTTTGCACTTTTGAGTGTATTACATCCCTTTTGGGAAGGTACACAAGAAACAATCCACAATATTTGCTTCTGGGGATAGAGAGCTTTTAGAGGCTAGGGTGATTTTGTTTTTGCCTTTATATTTCTCTGTCTTGTTTAAATTTAAAAATCAATTTCACAAAAATAGTTGATTAATTTAGAAGTGAAATACTCTGAATTGAATCTTTAGCTCACATTGGGTGCCATTCTGTTAACAAGTGAGTCGAAAGAAGAAAACGTGAAGAAAATGAACAAAGTGTGTCTTTTAATTTTGCCTGTGGCAGAATTAACTACCACACACTCCACATGCCTTCCTAGTCATACCAGAAGACACATCTGTGGGACTGTATGTCTCTGCTGCATGTGGAGTGCTGCAGCTTCTGCAGTTAGGATGTTGTTTTGGCGCTCCCCCTACTCACTGCCAACATGATATGTGTCGTGCTGTCCTTTAGCGCCCATCGGTATAAAGCCTTTTCTTAGTCGAAGAGGCCCGACTCTGTTGTCAAGGCCAAATTACAGCTTGGATAATTACTTTTGTTCACTTCCCACTCCTCTCTTGCTAATAGATAGCAGTGCTATTTTTGTTATGAAGATAATAGATGCTTATGGATTCCCCCCCACAATTCTTTATTGTCTTTCCATAAGTCACATGATGTATTCAGAATTTTGGTGAATCTTCTACCTCTCGTTTTGTAAATGGTCAAAATGAAATTTAGTCAAAGCAAGTGACCCTTTTCAGAGACAAGGGTTGAATTAAGTTGAACAGAGAACAGTAACAGATGTGTGTTACTCTCTCAAATGTGTGCTCTTACTGTGTCTAAAGAGAATTGCTGCCTTTAACCCGAAGGTGAGTTCTTTCTGGGGTATCACTTAGAATAAAAAGGCATTTATCAGTAGATATCATAAAGTATTATGATTTGGGTGGAAGAAACTGCTGGGAAGAAATATTAATTTAAGGCTATATATAGCATACTTTTGTACTCTGTAACCAAGTATGTGTTAAATCTTATAATTTGAGCATTTAGTCATTTTTTATTATACAAATACAAGTAGAAGCAACTAAATAATTATAATTAGGTGACAGTATAGGATGGCAATAAAGATAGAAGGTCTAAATTCTTAGGGGCCATTCATCTGTTGAGAGTCATAGGTCATTGCCACATTGCACCTGGAAAACCACTACACTTCTATGGATCTGGAGATCAGCACTAGATGAATAGCAGAAAACAGCTGGATCATGTTTTAATCTGAAAGATTTCAAAATGCCAATCAGAACCCTGGCTTGCTCTAATTTTCAGAAATACTATGTGAAATGTGGATCATAAAGCAGAATTTGGCTCTCAATACTGAATTAAAATTATTCTTAGGAAGGCTTCAATTAACTCCATAGCAAAACTACCAGTGTTCTCAATTTTGTAGCTAGAGATACTTATGAGAGTGGCAGATGGCCACACAAAGCAACCATGTTATTTTATTTCCAAATTTATGTAAACTGAACTCATAAATTTTTAAAAATAAGACTTCTCAAATTTACCACAACAATCCTAGGTCCCCAAATCAAATCTTGAGATCATAAAAAGTCCTTTAAATTTGCTGATGTGTGTGTGGTTTTTTTAAAAACAGTAATTCATGGGATTTAAAAGTAACTTTCCTGTGCCCACAATGGTTAGAACTTCCACATCCTTTCTTCCCAGCTCACCTGCCAGGTGTTGTCCATGGTAGTTGAGCATGAGAACTTTGTAGTCAGATACTTTTGGACATTGAACTCTGGCTCTGAAGTGACTAGGAGACCTTAGGCAAATTATGTGATCACTTTAAACCTCCCTGCCCTCCTCACCTGTAGATAGATAACCATAAGATTGTTTAAAGATTCAATGAGAAAAACAATATGAAGCAATTAATTAGCATAATACCAAGTATATTAAGTCCTCAATTACATCTTTTTTTCTTTTTTAACATTGGCTAAAGGACCGTAAAAGGAAGAAACCATGGGTTCTTTAAGTCTTGTACATGTTTTAAAAAACAGCTGGTGTAATAACTAAGAAGCATTCTGTTGAACCAGATAGCCTTGAGGTGTGGTATGAGTTCAAACAGCTGGAATAGCCCAGGCACTGACACCAGAGTGGATGCTGGAAGGTGAGTCTTGCCAGTGTGTTGGCTGAACACCAGCTTGGCCCTTGGAACCCCTTCTTCTTATGGAGTGAGTGGTGATGCTGATATTTTTATGACATGGCATTATCATTACATATCTGATTGGAAAATAGGGCATCTTACCTTCATACGGGGGGAAACAAAAGGAACTTAAAAGAAGTCAGGAGTACAGAAATGATTCTGGTTAGTTGAAACTTCAAATTGTGTTCTAGTAACTTGAGTTTTTAACTTGATAGAGAAATTGAATTAATTGCTCTTCACTCTTCACATGGTGATTGCACTGTCGAGACGTAGACAATTCTATCACAAGCACAGTGTCACCTAAATTGAAATCTTATCTAAAGTTTTAGCCCATTTGCTACTCAGTGGTAGGAACTCCCTTTTAAGTGGCACCTTCTGTGTTTTACATTTTAGCTTACTTGTTAACTATATGAGAGATGGGAACAAATGACTATCCCTTATACCTATACCCTGAAAACATACATTCTAAGTATAATCAGATTGTTACTGCTTGTTTTCTGGATGGGTGAATCTCTAGGATTACCCTAGTGGAAGACCTAATCAGTGAAAACAATTCGTTGGTTTGCTATCTCTTTTATACATAAAAGTTCTGGCTTTGTTTTGGCTTTTTATATTTTTATCCAATTAAAGATTCATCTGGAGTTTTCTTCTTTACCCATTTGAAGTGTCTTAGTTTTTTTTTTTTTTTTAGGCTTAACATTTTATTTATTTATTTAACTATAGATTGGTTTGAGATGCAATATATGCCCAGGCTATTGAGTAAAGGAAAACCAACATAGTCAAGAATGCTTTCTGAGTGCCCACTTCGGGAAATCCCAGCCATAGGGGAGTCAATATTGAAGTGATTATCTTAGAAAGAAGTACTTTTTTGCCATATCAGTAAACACATACTCAGATGGGGGCAGCAACAAAACAAGTATCTACACTTTTCATTTGCAAAATAATTTAGCTTTAAAAAATGTACAGGCTGGAGGATGGCGATGAGGATCTGCATCCTAGAGGATGACATAGTGAGTGGAAGCAATTAAAGCTCAGACATTTTACAATTCTATCTGAAAAGTATTTAATGACAAGATAATGTCCTACTTATTTTAAGATTATTTTATAGGCTCTGCTCCTCTAACTTTTTGCTAGCTGCAGAAAGTTGCTAGAATGTATTTCTTGGCACAAATAGGGTTCTCAAATGTATTTTCAAATATTAGTGTTTTGAAATGAATTTCACACCATCTCTGTGTTACAGTAAGAAAAATGATTAACATGAGTATTTTCTTCATCTGGCTATGGAGTGGATGCAAGAAGCTGAGCTTTATACTTATTTGGTCATCATCACCTTTTTTTGTTTCATTTCTTTTGATATCACTTCTATTTCTTATCTCTTCATTTTGCAGTAATAGAAGAAGCCTTTACAGTTGCAAGATTACATATTTATATCAGGGTTCAGACTGTGAATTCATTCTTTTCTAGGGAAGCAGAAAGATCATGTAAAAATGGTGACCACATGTTGACAGAATGCATGATTTAACGAAACCAAAGGCAATCATTTCAAAGAAAAATGTTTTATTTTCTGCCAGCAGAGTATAATGGAGAGAAATTGGCTGGTATTATTTTTAAAAATTGCCCAAATCACTGTAGTTAGTGTAAAATTGTCTCTGGAACTATTTCCTGTAAGTTAACCAGACATATGATTGTATCCTTTCTATTTTGAATACTGAAGCTCACATTTCAACTGTCTTGTATGGAGCCTATCAGGTATAATAGCTCTTTGTAAAGGTGCTTCCTTTTCTTTTGTACTCTTTTCCATCTAAGCTTCCACTTTCATTTACCCAAACTTAGAATACTTAGAGTTTGGGCCTTTTGGAACTTTGAGCGAAATATTACTCACTAACAAATCAAGACCATAAGCTACTCAAAATGTGCTGCCTCAGTCTACAGAAGATCAAGTGAAATTAACTTAAACAGTGTTTATACTATTAAAAATTCTCTACGTATTTCAGTTGAAAGGAGATTTCACTTTTAACATGTGGTCCACATGGTTTGTTGCCTTTTTCTTAGTATTTATAGTAATTACAGATATTATACACTGGTACCTGCTTATGTTGTTTGTGGTTATAATAAGTATTATTAGTAACAAAAAATTCGATTACGTGTCAATGAGAGGAATAATGCTATCTGATACGATTCCAGTAGTCAGGTCTCTCTGAATAAGTAAAAAAGGCATGAGTCACTTGGTGGAATGTGGATGGTCATGCCACTACTTTGGCCGCTCAGGTTTTCAATGGCTAAAATAGGGGTTGGAGGTGATATGGCAGTTGCTTTCTGGTCAGTTGGAGGCTGAACCACCCCATGAGATCTAAGCCTATAGCATTTAGGAAGAAGTAGCATTTAGGATCAGCCTATAGCATTTAGGATCAGCTTTGCAAACTAAAAACTAGTATAAATATGACTTACCTTAGGAACAAATAGGAGTGTTGCATTTGTATCTACCCATGGTCAAAAGTACTGGTGTGGACTAGATACAGATAATTGATTGATTTGGATTTAGCTTGATGTCACACAGCAACCAACGTGTATTTGTTGATTGCTTGATCCAGATGTTTAACATTCTGTAGGAATGTTCCAAGGCATTATACTGTACATAGAGAGTAAACAGGCATACTTAAAAAATGCAAGCTTTGCCATCATTTGAACCTCTCCCACCCACTAGCTAAAAAAAAAAAAATTTAAAAAAGGGTTTTTTTTTGTTTTGTTTTCTTTTGTTTTTTCAAGATTGAGTCTTGCTCTGTCACCTAAGCTGGAGTGCCGTGGCGCAGTCTTGTCTCACTGCAACCTCCACCTCCTGGGTTCAAGCAATTCTCCTGTGTCAGCCTCCCAAATAGCTGGGATTACAGGCGTGCACCACCACGCCCGGCCAATTTTTGTATTTTTAGTAGAGACAGGTTTCACATGTTGGCCAGGTTGGTCTTGAACTCCTGACCTTGTGATCCACCCGCTTCGGCCTCCCAAAAATGCTGAGATTATAGGCATGAGCCACCATGCCTGGCCAAAACAAGAGTTTTAATTTAATGTTTAAAACAGAGCTGTAACCTTTGTATAAACCACACTCTTCTTTCAGCTTACACAGCTGATATTTGTTATTAACTAAAAGTAACTGTTTTGTGCTCTGCCTTATCAGTTCTAGGCTTTCCTTTCAAAGCGTAGAGCTGAAATTATATTACTGTTATTAAACAGTGATTTTGGTTAAGCCAGTTTTCATGTATTGTCTGTGAATTTAATAACCATGCAAACTCACTGGATCCTGAAGGAAAGTCAGGTTGAATATTTACTTATTGAAGGCTGAACAATGGGGGATCACACACCACTCTAAAACTGTAGGTAAATGGGAAATAACTTTAATGTACGCCAGACACACGACCAGTAGTTCCACTAATGTTGTATGACAAAAACACAAATGAAAATAGGATCTTCAAATGGAAAGATGTCCTAGAGAAAAATCCTTTTGTTTTAAGGTGAAGAAACACAGAGTCAGAGAAATTAAATGTCTTGAAGTCACACAGCTATTACTGGCAGAGTTCGGCCAGCGCTAAGGTCCCATGACTTGTAGATCGTATTTGATTCTAATGAATAACTGTGAGTTTTCTCATATTTTTCCTTACATTGAATAGCCTCCTATGTGTACCATCTGTACCTACCCAATTAGCTCTACTTATTTTCCAGATGACCTGTCTTTCAATTTCTTTATTCTAGGTCTGCTTACAAATCACTTTTATACATACATTAGTTGCATCCAGGACCTCCCACTGATAGCATGAACGGCAAAGATGGACCTGTCTCGGATAGTTCAGTTAGCTCCCTCGTGACAAGGATGTAAGTATCCTGACCACAGAGGGGAAGCAAACTCTACTTTTCAACAGGCCATCTCTCTCTTTTGAGTAGTAGAGCTTCCTTGTCACTGACATGTTTCTGTATGCCTTCTGGCTCATGTGAGGATCTGTTAGATTGATGCCTTGAAAACGCATAGATGGGTGGCTCTCCAGCGGGATAAGACCCTCCTCACCGAAATCTCCGCTATACAAATAAGGACACACAATAGCTGTTGAGCTCATGTGAAAGTTGAGCACATTGACATAGAATAAAGAGACATTATTTTCCTTATTCCTGCCTTTCATGTACAAATTGTTCAAGAGCTCATTTGTAGTGTGCAATATAATAGACCCAACTTGATTTTACATGTTTACATTTAGCACACAGTAACATATAAATGAATGCTTATAGAAGTCTTTGTTAAATGAGTCAAATGTGCTCTCATTTTCTGCTTGTCATCTCTCTCACAATTTGTATAGATTTGCCAAATCAGGTATCCTTGTGCAATTCAATAATTTGGGTTTATTTTCTGTGTAAGAATTGGCCTGGTATTTTTTCTTCTCCCTTGTCATCATGGTCCAAATACAGGTATTGATAACTATGCATCATGACTGATTTAAAAAAAAGTTCCAAAAAGGCTTCCAAATGAAGGCTGTAATTTTGTATTGGATTTCTAGTGACATGAGCAAATCACTTGCTCTTTGCCCTTATGGATTTTACAATGTCATCAGAGTCTATCAATAAAATTATAGCCTACAGTTGAACATACACCATTCCTTACTGTATCGCATATACAGGGGTGAAGGGAAGCAAATTGTAGCATGTCTGCTCTGGGATGCACTCCAGCAGGCTGTGTGTGTGTGTGTGTGTGTGTGTGTGTGTTCTTTTTCAATTGAGATCCACTGTACAGTCAGTCCTAGAAGCTACAGATGAAGAGCAGTACCTGAGCCTCACATAGGAATGTGTCTCTTGCTCCCACCTGCTGTGAGTGAAATTGACTAGAATGGTGCCATTCTGATCAATTTCATTAAGCATCAGACACTGCACATAGACATCATGGCAGTCCCCTTCACCTAAGCTGTAAGCTTCCATCCCAGAGGGAAGCGTATACTGCCAGAGACCAGGAGCATATTGTCAGAAAAAAAAAAGAGAAGGCCACAGATGCTCCTGTAATGGAAGCAAAAATGAAAAGCCACATTTAAAAAATAAAGGTAAAAGGTCAAAACCCAAACCCTAAAGCAGAAGAGATTCAGCTACAGGAAAACAATGGTTCCAAAACTCTTTTGCAAACTGCAGAAGACATCTCTAGATAGTTGCCTTATTCAGTCATTCCAAATCTTGGAGAGATTTAACATTTCACCTTAAGTGATTTGTAAGTATCCTGCCATCTTGAATCCTTTCTCTGTAATCTCTTATGTGTTCTCTTTGGAGCAACTGCTGTGTCCCACATTGGTGGATTCTTGGTCTCACTGACTTCAAGAACGAAGCCGCGGACCCTCGCGGTGAGTGTTACAGTTCTTAAAGATGGTGTGTCCAGACTTTGTTCCTTCTGATGTTCGGACGTGTTCGGAGTTTCTTCCTTGTGGTGGGTTCATGGTCTCACTGGCTTCAGGAGTGAAGCTGCAGACCTTCACGGTGAGTATTACAGCTCTTAAGGCAGTGCGTCTAGAGTTGTTTGTTCCTCCCGTCCAGAGTTGTTCATTCCTCCCAGTGGGGGGTTCGTGATCTCACTGGCCTCAGGAGTGAAACTGCAGACCTTCGCAGTGTTACAGCTCATAAAGTCAGTGCGGACCCAAAGAGTGAGCAACAGCAAGAGTTATTGCAAAGAGCAAAAGAACAAAGCTTCCACAGCATGGAAGGGGACCCAAGCAGTTTGCCCCTGCTGGCTCAGGCAGCCTGCTTTTAATTCCCTTATCTGGCCCCACCCACATCCTGCTGATTGGTCCATTTTACAGAGCGCTGATTGGTCCATTTTACAGAGAGCTGATTGGTCCATTTTGACAGGGTGCTGATTGGCAGATTTACAATTCCTGAGCTAGACACAGAGTGCTGATTGGTGCATTTACAATCCTGTAGCTAGACATAAAAGTTCTCCAAGTCCTCACCAGATTAACTAGACACAGAGCACTGATTGGTGCGTTTGCAAACCTTGAGCTAGATACCAGGTGCTGATTGGTGCATTTACAAACCTTGAGCTAGACATAGAGTGCTGATTGGTGTATTTATACTCCTTTGGCTAGACATAAAAGTTCTCCAAGTCCCCACAGACTCAGGAGCCCAGCTGGTTTCCCCTAGTGGATCCCGCACCAGGTCCGGGGGCGGAGCTGCCCGCCAGCCCTGCGCCATTCGCCTGCACTCCTGAGCCCTTGGGTGGTAGATGGGACCGGACGCCATGGAGCAGGGGCAGTGCCTGTCAGGAAGGCTCGGGCCACGCTGGAGCCCACTGTGGGGGAGCTTGGGCATGGCAGGCTGCAGGTCCCGGAGCCCTGCCCCACAGGGAGGTGGCTGAGGCCAGGCAAGAATTTGAGCGCGGCGTGGATGGGCTGGCAGTGCTGGGGGAACCCAGGGCCGTCTCTGCAGCTGCTGGCCCAGATGCTAAGCCCCACACTGTCCGTGGCCGGCGGTGCCGGCCTGCTGGCCGCTCCAAGTGTGGGGCCCGCCGAGCCCACGCCCACCTGGAACTTGCGCTGGCCTGCGAGCTCCGTGTGCAGCCCTGGTTCCTGCCCGTGCCTCTCCCTCCACACCTCCCCGCAAGCAGAGGGAGCTGGCTCCAGCCTCTGCCAGCCCAGAGAGGGGTTCCCACAGTGCAGATGCGGGCTGAAGGGCTCCTCAAGCGTGGCCAGAGCAGACGCCCAGGCCGAGGAGGCACTGAGAGCAAGCGAGGGCCTCCAGCACGTTGTCACCTCTCACTGCCTCTGTCTACTTTTTGAAAAATTTCTGATTACGCATAGACACACAGATCTGGCAAATGTGAAGGTCTAGGATTCTCTTTTACAAAAATTTCCTCCTGTCCCTATTGTATGGTTCTTCCATGTAGGCAGGATTTTCAGTGACTCGGCATTCTGAATGTTACTGTGTATGATTATAAAGAGAGGCTAGACAGGCTCTTGGCTGCTGCTGCTTTCCTCAGTTTACCTCAGTTTGGTGCTCACTAGTACCACCTCCAGAGTGTAGAAAGGGGAGGAGACTGTTTTGAGAATTTAAATATTTCTGACAGGAAAAAATTTATGAATGTATCTGTTTCTTTCCTCCTTACCTTCCTTTCCTCCTTACCTTCCTCTACCTTTCCTTTTCCTTCTCTTTGCCCCCTGCCCTTTTCCCCTCCCCCTTCTTCTTCCCCTCCCTCTTTCCCTCCCTTCCTCCCCTCCTTTCACTATAATACCACTTCAAGGACTAATTTACAGTAGGTTTAATTTCAGTAGCACTACTACTGGCTGTGTTGTTTACTATTTTTAATCATGACTTTTAAGGACATTCAGATCAGCAGCAGCATAATCATCTTTCAACACGTACTTATCGAAGACATACTCTATATGCAAGACGTTGTCTCTCAACATTATTGCACTAATAAAAACAAAGCCTTGTTTAGCATGTACATTTAAGATATTGTTAATCACTTATTTTGAGGGGACTACATTTGACTCATTGTTAAAGGGCTATTTTAATTTTTAATAAAAGATTCCTTACACATGATGTCACCATAGTGAGCTGATTGAACTTTTGGTTGTGATTAAATGTTCAATAAAACTGTGTGGTTTAAACATGGTAAATGGATCTATGTATTAGGTTGGTGCAAAAGTAACTGGTTTTTGCCATTACTTGCAATTGCAAAAACCGCAGTTACTTTTGCACCAACCTAAATATAGACATATAATTATTTTCCACTCTCTGGGCTACTTTTACTAATAGACTAAGCCCCATAAAATAGTAAGTTTAACTTTGATAGTTTATAGTAAATTTATAAAACAGAAAAGTAAAAGCAGAAACACAATCACTCAGAGGAAACTACTGTTAATAATTATGGTTTCTTTTCTTCTAAGTTCAGTTTCTTCATTTTCCTCCATTTTATGCCTCTTTGCCATATCTTTAATGTCACCTGGCTTTATTGAAAAGCTTCATACCCATACCTTTATGTGCCCCATAATTAAATCCTACTCCCAGCAAAGGTTATTATTGGCACTAAACCACAGGTTGCTAATTGCCACAGGAGAAATGAGAATCATAAGGGGCCTACAAAGAGTTTCATTTTTAAAATAAGATGCCAGTGCTTTCAAAAACTGGAAGATTTTACATTAAAAAATCTGGATTTTTGGCTTCTTTCTGAAAGGAAGATCTGGCAACTTTGGGGCCACATTCCAATCTAGTAACAAATGTTTTCATGAATAATGAATATCCCCTATGTGCTGGGCAGGTGCTTTCCAGTTTTCCACAGGACCCACTATTCCCTGTTACTATTCAGCAGTGAGATCCAGTTTCCACTAATCATCATGCTTGCACTGCTTTCTTTCACCTAGTCATCTTTGCTCATTTGCATAATTTTCTTTGATCCTGCAAGTATTTGAGTTTTTGTGACCCTTACTTTAAATCCATTTACAATAGTCTAACCATTTCAGAAAACGAATAAAAACCAACCAAACTATACCACTCTTCTTACATATATGAATTTTATGAGATGAGATATGACTAATGCAAATGAATGATTCTGAGAAGAAATCAAATAGAAGAAAATGAGAGAGAAAGACAGAAGGCATTTGAAGGACCATCCTGGGACACTTAATAAAACGCTAACTTTATCTAATGCTAGTAAAGCTCAAATACTACCTCTAAGAAGTTTGGAAGTGTTGACTAATTGGTGAAGTTATAGCTAGAGGCAGCTGTATATAAAATTCACTCCCCTTCACTCCCCTAACAATGGTGTGTGTGTGTGTGTATGTTTGAAAAGTGACTCAGTTCTACAACCATGGGAACATGGCCATGTTGCCCCATTGCCCCTGGTGGCTCATTGAAGTCCACACTGTCTTTGTAAAGATGCTGTTGAGAATCACTGCCGTTTTCAGAAGTGAAGCTAAAGACTTAGTGATCTTTTGTTGCCTGATAACTCAAAAGGACACCTTGAGGAGAAACCTTTTGAGATGAATATCTCAGCCCAAACAAAACCAAATAAAATGCAGAGAAAAGATAGGTATATTTAAGAAAGGGCTCATGTATAGCGTCCTGTGACAGGCAGGCAACAGGATATCTGCCTTGGTCAAGGATCATGTTGAGCTCTCAGTTCAGGGGGAAATGTTCAATCATGTAGTACACATTTTGTGTATTTCGACCAATTATTCAGTGGATTATAGGTTCTGATACTAAAGTTATTTGTGGATGCTTTGTGATGGGGGCACATTGAGAAAATTGCTGGCTTTCATTGCCCCATTCCAATTAAGTAGTCTCTTTACATCAGCTTCCAAATCATGTGCTTTCCTCCATCTGAGAACTCTCAACAGTTGGGATCAATGTTACTATTAATGTTACTTTAATGATTTGTTCAAAATCCGGAAATTCAGTGCTGACTTTCAATTAAGATAACTGAAACTTTTCAGTTTTGTATGTACTTATATTATGATACAATCTTTTGTTTTTCCATGAGCAACTTGCAAGTTCATGCAATAAATTTTTAAAATGTGCCTAATTATTTTATTTTTATGTTACATATTTTAAACATTTGTTTTCTATATAGAAATGTTACTGGGCCTAGTGTGTTGGCGCACACCTGTAATCCCAGCACTCTGAAAGGCCGGGGTGGGCAGATCACTTGAGGTCAGGAGTTTGAGACCAGCCTGACCAACATGGCCAAACCCCATCTCTACTGAAAAACACAAAAATTAGCCAGGTGTGGTAGTGCACACCTAGAGTCCCAGCTGCCTGGGAGGCTGAGGTGGGAGAATTGCTTGAATCTGGGAGGTGGAGGTTGTAGTGAGCCAAGATGGCACCACTGCACTCCAGCCTGGGTGACAGAGTAAGACCCTGTCTTAAAAAAAAAAAGAGAGAAATGTTACCGATATTTGTCATCCTGTTACATAAGTAGACTTGGTTAAAATAACGAATTTGTAATTCCTCAAAGGCAGATTTTTATGAGAGGACTAAGCACCTAATAAAGGAATAGGAGCCTATCAGAGGACTGAGCCTTTTTTTTAAATGAAGAATAATAAAGTTTTATTTGTAGTGATAGAAATCTGGAGAAAATTTCTTACACTGAGTATGCTCATTAATATCCTAACTACTGAGATAAATATTTTTATTTAAAATAAAAAACAATTTTAAGCAAATATTCATGTCTTTTTTTTTTTTGAAAAATAAACCCACCCACATGTATGATTTCTTCTGATTATTTCAGTTGGTTCTGAAGTAATCATGGAAAGATGGTATCATTAGTCTGCATTATTTCAAAGTGATATTTTCCCTTTTACTGGAAAATTCTTTGTTTAAGCTCAGGGCAGCTTGCAATTAATTTTCAAGAACTTATTCTGTTAGAACTTTTGTAGTATATTTTGAATAATATCGTAAGAAAAGTCTTTTTCTGACATATAAATATAATTTTCTTCCCCAATTTTATGGTGTCTGTTCCCATTATGTGAAGACATGTGGCCTTTCTTGACTACTATTTCTTAGACATTACATTACACATTACACTGTTTAATCGTCACAAAGACATTGCAAGTTAAACATTACTGTATTTACTTTTCAGATAAAGACATTGTAGCTCATGAAATAAAGTGAGTTGCCAATGATGGCACAGATTTTAATTGATGAGAAGGGATTGAAGGCAAGGCATGCATGACTTCAGTGCCCATGTCATTTTGGTTTGCAAGAAAAAAGTCCTAAAGAATGTCTCTTACTCCTGTGCTACTTAATTTCTGAGGCTAGTAGGACCATGTCTTTTTTTATTTTATTTTATTTATGTATTTTTGTTTTTTATTATAATTTAAGTTTTAGGGTATATGTGCACAATGTGCCAGTTAGTTATGTATGTATACATGTGCCATGTATACATTAACTCGTCATTTACATGAGGTATATCTCCTAATGCTATCCCTCCCCACTCCCCACACCCCACAACAGGCCCCGGTGTGTGATGTTCCCCTTCCTGTGTCCAAGTGTTCTCATTGTTCATTTCCCACCTATGAGTGAGAACATGCGGTGTTTGGTTTTTTGTCCTTGGTGATAGTTTGCTGAGAATGATGGTTTCCAGCTTCATCCATGTCCCTACAAAGGACATGAACTCATCATTTTTTATGGCTGCACAGTATTCCATGGTGTATATGTGCCACATTTTCTTAATCCATTCTGTCATTGTTGGACATTTGGGTTGGTTCCAAGTCTTTCCTATTGTGAATAATGCCGCAATAAACATATGTGTGCATGTGTCTTTATAGCAGCATGATTTATAATCCTTTGGGTATATAACCAGTAATGGGATGGCTGGGTCAAATGGTATTTCTAGTTCTAGATCCCTGAGGAATCGCCACACCGACTTCCACAACGGTTGAACTAGTTTACAGTCCCACCAACAGTGTAAGTGTTCCAATTTCTCCACATCCTCTCCAGCACCTGTTGTGTCCTGACTTTTTAATGACTGCCATTCTAACTGGTGTGAGATGGTATCTCATTGTGGTTTTGATTTGCGTTTCTCTGATGGCCGGTGATGATGAGCATTTTTTCATGTGTCTTTTGTCTGCATAAATGGGCTGAGCACTTTTTTAAACGTGTGTAGGGTCCAGGGAAGACTTAGTTCCTGAGTAATGGAAGCCTAGAAACAGGCATTTCCTATGTTGTCTCACTTTAAACGTTTCTGTGTGAAATATCATGACCCTTCAAATTAAATCTTACATGGTAATCCGTGCCACATAAAAACATTTAGGCTCTTTATATATGTAGTCTCATGCCATAGAGCCACCCTACCAGCAAGGGCCAAACCTACTGGAGATGGGAAGTACAGTAGTGAATGAAAAAGCAAAGAATGATTCTAATTACAGTAGTTAGGTCTGTGTTGCAAAGCTTGGTAGAGACCCCAAGATACCATCTATTGTGGCAGCTTCTTAACCCAGACTTGGGACAGGATCTGAGAGCGTGGTTCAGGAAGCACAGTCTGTGCAATATGTTGATTTGTATACGTTTTCTCCTCCGTAAGAGCCTGTAGCTGCCGTCAGGTTTTCAAGGATGTGACACACGGAAAAAGTCAGTCACTGAATGGAATCACATTCCATCCCCAACCAGCAGCCGGCAAATGATACACTGAGCAAAGCACTGCTTTGGGATTCCGAGGGGACCATAAAGGACATAGAAACCCTAGCTGCATTCTAACGGACTCAATCGTCTGGTTAAGACCCTTGTGGGATAACTTGAGAAGGGATGAAGACTTCTCCCAGCTATTCCAATTCCAGCTCTCTTTTAGAGGCGTGACCAAGCCAAGCATTTTCTCCAAATACTTCTCAGGCCCTACTATTGCAAAAAGTAGGGAAAGGGTGGCATTTGATAGCACTATTTGGTCACTCATTTATTGGAAAAAAAAATGCCTTTAAGCATCAAGGCACTTCTCATGCTCAATTTGGATCCAATAAATTATATTTTCATTTTTTCAGAAAGTAACTTTTATATTAAAAAGTTTACTGAAGAGAGTCCAGCAAATAGTTAGCCTCCACACCCTATATGCAAAAGAAATGGTTTTGCCATGTAGAAATAAACAATCTTAATATTTTGATTTGTAGCAGTTCATTCAGATTTGGATATATATTATCTCTATATCTTTATAGATAAAGATATATAGCTATAATTGTATGATCTCAACACATGCTGCTTTATAAACTAGTTATTGTTGAACATATTGTATTTTCTAAGCCATTGAATATTTTTCAAGATCCTTGTTCAGTATCTTGAGAATATCCCATACTTTATTTTTAAAGCTTATTAAAAATGCAGTAAATATCCTTTTTGGCAATATGTTTGTTTACATACTTGGTTATTTTTTCGTAAGGTTTTCTATAAGTTAGCATGGGCCTAAAGTCGACAAATTTCTAAGCCTTTGGATATGTAGTTGCTAAATTGTTTTCTAGAAGTTGTAATAATTTAGGCTCCTGGCAACCATACATGTGCTTTTGGAATCTGGATGAAAGGTGAAATAACAATGTGTCTTAAAAAAACAGATAAGTGAGAGAAGGAGTATACAGTTTCTTGAGGCTGGTGAACTTGTATTCTCAGCTGTAGTGTTTAAAAAGGGGAACCATTTTATTTAGTGATCTCTGTTTCACAAAGGAATGTGGATGAAGTATAATGGTGTGTTCCTTGGTGTCAAGTAAAGCATGTGCTATGTTTGCTAGTATTCATATGACCATAACTTAAATTTTTCATACATAAAGATCTTTAAACTTGTCAAAGCACGCTTTCTCCCTTCCAAATGTGTTATATCAAGCTGGAAAGTCTTCAGAAGCTTTCTTCCACTTAGTTGTGTTTCAGAAGTGTTTGAAATCACACTTAAGGAAAATTAAAAGAAAAAATGAATTTTCCCACTAGAAAGGTCGTTTGAATTTGAATTCCAAAGCAATTTAGTTTGGGACTTATAGCAATTAACAGCAAATCTATCTACTCCAAATTGGAATAGGTGTTTATAAGCCTGAAAATAGGGGTTTTATTGGATATTTCATTAAGGAATTAAGTTTTCATAACAATTATTATGAAATTTATATGGGTGATTATAAATTAAATAAAAATTTTATCAGTGACTTAATTGTCATATAATTATAATAGAGAAAAGGGAATCATGAGGATTTTATTCCTATAGCGGCAATATTGCACATTAGTGATAAGGACTTGAGTTATCTGGCCAAGGTTCAAATGCCATCTCCAACCATCATTGGCCTTAGGTAAGTTACTTTTCCACTCTCTGTTTTAATTTTCTTGTGAGACAGTAAGATTTATGGGAGGACCAAGGATCCTGGTTTGCCCAGGAATGTCCTGCTTTTAGCACCTAAAGTCCAGCATCCAGGGAAAGCCCTCTCTAAAACAAGAAAACTCCCAGTTTTGGGGGATGGGTGTAGAAAGTTGGAGGGAAAATTTAAAAACTCATACAGTGCTCCCCCGCCAATAGTGGCTGAAAACAATGCTGTTTTTAGCATCAGTCATATCTAGTGTAGGCTACTACCTTCCATAGTCACTGTTACCAGTTTTCCCCTTCATTGCTGATATTGGCAACCATGAATTAGATGATGTTGAAAACACTTGGACCTTGACTGAAATATAGTAAGCATTCAAACATATTCATGTTTATATTAGGTTCCATGATGTTCTTTGATGGTGCTGTATACTGTTGAAAAAGCAGAAATAACATGTATCCTTTCCTGTTATTGATATTATGAAAAATAGTACTATAGTTCTTTGGAGTGGTAGAAATTCCAGCAATTGTCCTTTGCATGGTCAGTGAAATGTCCTGCCGTCAAAGGGTACCCACAGTTCCCTCTGATTTTTCCTTTCTGCAGAGATGCTCTGACCCTTTCAAACATTTAGCTGTGGACTTTCCTCTCAATGTGTGCTCACGACTCTTGTTGCTGTTAATGGAAGTTACACATGTGTGCTCACCAGGATGAGAAAGCCTTTATCCCATGTCGGGCAAAGACCCGTGATCCTGAATCTCTTTCTAAACTTGCGACCTGAAGAGAGCAGTGCAGGGAATTGCTGCTTTCTCACTGTATTAGCTTCTTCAATTTCCTTTTAATTGGAGCCTGCAACCCAGATTCTTGTAACTTCAGGGGGATGAACAATACAGATTAAGATCTGGATGCTTTCCAGGAAGTTCTCAGCTCAAAGAACATTACACACACACACACACACACACACACACACACGCACACACACACACACACACACACAGTTGTGGCTATTCACAAATCGCATGCAGTTGCCTAATGAGTCCATATTTGCTTCTGAGTTTTCACATTTGCAAACTGCACTGCTGAGAAAGTAAGTGAAGTGTTCACCCATCTCTGAGTGTGAACTGATTGATTTAATGTACAGGACAGATAAATACTAGAATAGTCCAAATTGTAAACCAGTGGCACAGAACCTTCAAGTACAATATTTTACCCTTGTTCAGGACATTCATTTATCCTCAAGAATTCTTTTTAATGTATAAGATTTCAATTTATGTTTAAGAACTAGTAAACTATAGCAGTTTGACAGCCATTCACACTTAATTCTGTGCATTAAACCAACAGCATTCTTTTCCACAAACATCCATTGTTAGGACAATGCTCTCAGACAGAATTTATGAGAAATGGAATTATGTTACCAAGGAGATAGCATTTACTATAATGAAGAGTAGATCCTAGAAAATGGCCCCTTTTACAGCAGCTCAGAGCAGAGCCACAAAAGCAATTGATTGGTCTTGGCATTTAGTCTTATATCAGCTGTGTCATCCATAGCTTCAGGAGTGAGAACACTAATCTAAAGTGACATTTCTGTTCTGGCGGGCTTTTCTGCCCTGATGAAAGCAATTACTTCATTCCTAAATGATAATTTGCAGGAGTTTCAACCACTTTAATTGATAATTTTTTTTTGTTCTGAGTTCAATTGTGAAGTGATTAGCTGATTTGGTAAATAGAAATTTAAGGTGTGAAATATACAAGTTGCTTCAAGGTAAAGTGCAATTTATTGGGTGGAAAGAAATTACTTGATAAAACTGCAGTTTTTTTTTTCCGTTATTATGGAACTGCCAGTTGTATAGTTTAAAGTTCTGGGGGAAAATGAAGAACAAAACACTTTGATTCATGAGGTTTTTGGCAGACACCAAAGCATACAATGAATAGTTTGGTCTTGCTGTGGTTTATTCAAGGGTTATTTGAATCAAGGTGAACATCAGTTGAAAAGGACTGTGCAGACCTCTCAGCGTTCTTTATTACTATTCTAATGACTCATTCTGGAATTAAATCCTCTTATTTAAAGTGTTAAGAATGAAAATGCTCATTGGCTAAAACCAATTAATTTAATTATTAAGTTCAAACATACACAAGGCATTTTCTGAAGATGAGGGAAGGCATTCAGTTGAATGGCTTTAATTACTCTTTTGATCTATTTTACCACAAGTCAAATGGGTCAGGATTATCCCATCAGAGTATATCTTAGTTTAAAAACTCTAAGTATACATCTTGATGTTGATACTTTATCAAATGTTAGCAGTTGCCGATGTTTTTTGACATTTTTTTAAGCAATCAATTTCATATTTTCCTACATGTGGAAAAATAATGGTCATTTCACATGTTAAATGAGAAAAATAAAGCAAGAATGAAGGTCAAACTGATTTAGCACATCAAACAGTCTTTGTCAGCCAAGCTTAATATATCCTGAGTTTGTGGAACAAATGAAATTTTGCTGCTATGTTACACTTTGCTTCCAAACAACCATTACAACTGGTTTTATATATTGTGTGAGCATCAGACCATCAAACAGTGCATCTTTACTGACGTGTTTCTGCAGTGATGATCTACAGCAGCAACCTGCCATTTATATAAGGGCAAAATGTGCATCTATATTTAGTTGTGAAATTGGCCTATTATACTCTTGATGTTTACAGAGGCTAACATAAATTAATGATGACAGCTATGAGCAGCGCATTAGTTAAGCAGCAGAGTTCTTACCTTGAACTTGAAGGTTCCAGTTTTAACTTCCAGCGTATACTATCCAGCTTTCTTTACACCTTAAAGAAGATTTCTGAAATTATTATCTTTTTTGGAGAGCATTAAACTACTTCAATTTGTGATCTTTGTTGTGCATAATCCTACCAGATAATAGTTGTTTGTGCATTTCTCAATTATGTTACCGTTACCTTATAAGAAAGCTGATACTTACAACCATGCCAAAAAAAAATACTCTTGGAAGAATTTTTTTCCTTTGAAGTCAGCTGATTTGATTGACTTTGAGCTCTATGTAATGTCAATGTGGGGTGGGCTGTTTTACTAAAAGTAATGAAGGAAGGGCAAGCATTGCTTATAGAATCTTTACTGTACTTTTTCCCTGGGAAGGCTCCTCATTCGGCTCATGTTAGGGCAAGTGTAGGTACTGGAGTAACTATAGATTTCACAGTTAACTACGACCAGAGATCTGACAAGTATGCAGGTGTTCAAAGGTTCATGAGTTAAAATGCTGAAGCCTTTGATGAATTTTTGATGGCTGCATTTTTAATACAGGTCGACCTTCTTCCTTTGAGGCTGCATGCCAGATTAATTGATAAATAGTAGAAGTATGTAGTGCTGGGTTCTCCTAAGCAAAACAAGTAGGAAAATCCATAAAAACCTGTCTGTCTGGCTCCTTAGAAGTACTTTAAAAAGGTAAAATTTAAAATGGTTTTGACCCTGCTTCTCCTTTACCCTATAGTTAGATAACCAAAACCTGCCATGCTCTTTTATGAAGACTAGATATTATATTCTAAAAGTTTACGTGAAGGTGTTATGTGTTCAAACTACAGCTTGGAGAAGGATTTTTACATAGAAATAGTGTGGATCTGTCAATAAGGTCAGTATCTGAACCTCCTTCATAAAAATAAATTATTTAAAAGTTGATTAAAATATGACTATGAAGAAATCACTGAAGAGGAAGAAACATTTGGTTAAGTTGGCTTCTGTACTCTGTGGCTACCTATTTTTAATCCTTGTTATCCTCTGTGGATGTACAGCTATATTATTTCCATAATCATTATAACCTTCTCTGTGAAGTGGGGAACCGAAGTAATCAATTTTTCAAAGCTAAATTTGATCAACCACAAAGGATAACTTACCTCTTTTAATTAAATAAGTCATCAAGTCCAAAGCTATCTTTTTTTCCCACTGTGGACAAGTGGCCCAGTAAACAATTGACCTCTTATCCAGCTTCATGGTAGATTCACAAAGATTGCAAATTCTTAGGCAGTTTCATAATATTTTCTTTTTGATAGCAGTAGCACCCCTTTTTTCAAACTTTTTTGGGGATATATTTTGCTGGCTTCTAGCTTGAAAAGAATTTCATGATTTGACCTTGCCCCCAAAAATAGAAGTTGAGGAGGCAGCTGCTGTGCAGCTTCCCCACTTCTGGGCACCACTTGTCCTGGGTGAGCTCTCCATGGTCCTGGATCTGGGGCTTTGCCTGATTTTCAAGAGAACTTTTAGGTTTGTGATCTTTTGAAAGATCATCTTGTCTAGAAGTACACATATACTCCTGATTAATAATTATCATTGCCATTTAAAAACCTTCAATAGCATTTTCACAATCTTCCTGAGTAATCTGTTCTTGTAACAGCTGTTTAGATACTCATTTTGTAATATAAACAAAATTGCTTGTCCTGCAATTGAATGTCACCTTTTATCTGTTATTGTACTAAAAAAAAAGGCTCCTTATGATCCTGCACAAAAAAATTTATAAATCTTTAAGCATCCACTAATTAAATATATTTTTATTTGAACAACTCACTAAGTACACTTATGGTATACAATGAATAGACCATAGGCAAAATGAGGACTGTAATAAAAGGAAAAATGTGTTATGTCAGAACCAAGGAATAGGAATTATATTAGTGAGAAGAGAGTGCACATTATTAATGAGCATTGCAGGCATTAGAAGGAAAGAACAATCAATGTGAAGTGAGCTTAGGTTTTCATTTAACATGTCTTATACAGCATTACTATGTGTCAGGCACCATTGTAAAGATCTTATTTAAAAAAGACTCATTTAACTTAATTCTAACGACAACTTTATAAAGTAGAGTATTATCCCATTTCACAGATGAGAAAAAGTGAGGCAATAGAAGTCACCTCAAATGTACATAATTAGTAAATAACAAAACCAGGATTTATACCCAGGCTGGCTAGCTTCACAATCCATTCTCTTATAAGAAGAAATTATAGACATTAGGCTGGGCGTGGTGGCTCACGTCAGTAATTCTAGCAATTTGGGAGGCCAAGGTGGGCGGATCACTTGAGGTCAGGAGTTAGAGACCAGCCTGGCCAACATGAAAAATTAGCTGAGCACGGTGGTGCATGCCTGTAGTCCCAGCTAGTTGGGAGACTGAGGCAGGAGAACCACTTGAACCTGGGAGGTGGAGGTTGCAGTGAGCCAAGATCGAACCATTGCACTCCAACCTGGGTGACAGAGTGGGACTCCATCTCAAAAAATCCCAAAATGACAGACATTAGATTATTAGCCTTTAGGTTGGTGTGATGGACTACATTTGAGAATCTGAAAATTTACTATTTCTCCTATCTATCTATCTATATATTTATATGCACACACACAATAATGCATATAATATCCAGATACATACATACATATATGTGTGTGTGTGTTTTGAAATTATTGACGTTGTTTTTGTTGGTGGTAATAATGATTTGTGAGGATGATAATGTAGTCATCAAAAAGAGTTGAAATTTTCATTTGCTGGGGATTCATGAAGAATCTCTTTTCTGCTATTCAAATCTAAGTGCAAGAACATTAGAGCAATGGGAAGTTTAGGCCCAGGGAGTAAATATTTGGGTCTGAAGTTTAATCGTATTTTAGATGGCAGAGATCTGCACTATAACATTTTACTCATGTACAACTAATCTATTCTATCTTTAGTACTCTAGACATACAACCACAATACTTTCGTTTAGAACAAAACGTACAAATACAAAGTTTATTTTGGGTTTTAATATAGTTCTTAATTCAATGTGAGGATTGCTTATAACTGGGCCCTACTTTACATAAGCGAGTGAAAGATTAATGCACAATCTAGAGTGTCATTGTCTTAAGGTCTTTGTCTTCATCTGTTACACCAGCATCTCAACAACCTTTATAATCCTTTGACTGTACTTTATTGCAGTTGCCCACAAAACCAATTACTACTTATTACAGACACAGTGATATCATTCTGAAAGTCTTCTAAACTATGGTCCCTGCATAATGATGTGATGTGAGAGTCATGGAAATCCTTTGTTATTAAGATTACTGCCAAGAAGATTACTCTAATAGGGGGACACCATGTGTGTTAGAGTTAAAAAAAGAGAAAGACAAGGTAGAGAAAAGAAAACAAGGAGGTAGGATAAAAAAAACATAAAGTAAATTCTGACCAGTGCTATTTTAGAAAAGTAGTAAAACATCAGAACACATGTTAGGCAAGGCATCCAAAGACATTAGTGTCTGCTTATTCCCTTCCCTGAATGGATAGAGAAAAGCCATCTCCCTAGTATCTATCCTTTATAGCCTATTGAGTTGATCCCTGTGATCTTGGGCTTTGTCTCCCATATGAAGATGAATTTTTTCCTTAGATTATTGATAAGCCTATACATTAATATCAATTTCAGAATAATTGCTTAATCTTCTACTTTGCTTCAGTTGAATAAATTCCTGATATAAATATTACGGTATATTACATAAGTAACAAATAAATACATTCGTGATCATTCTGAGTGACATGAATAAAGGAAAATTACCTATAACATCACGCGAAACTACTTTTATAATTGTCTGTCCAAACTGTTACCCAATTGTAAAACGAGTCCCTGATCCATGTTTGACTATGACATGTTTTATTTGGCTTGCATGACTTTTTAAAGCTTTAATTTGTTAAAATACCAAAATTGGGAAATGGCATATAAAAGTTCAGATGTTGTCCTCTAGAAGTGGTGACACCAGGCATGACTTTCCCTAAAGTGGCATTGGCTCAAACTGTGCTACCTCTTGGCCAGAGTTGTCCTTCAGTTCCTCCCAGTCCCCATCAGGCCTCTTCACTCACTGACATTCCCTGCCTGAACCCTGAAAGCCCTTGAGTTCGTAACCCCTGCTCTAGAGCCCCATCATAGTCACTTACTGGACCAAAAAAAAATTGTAAGTTTAGCCCACCTTCTGGAGTAGTATTTAATTGCAAGAACACAAAAAGAATAAAGCACTGAACTTGAACCGCTGCTCCTTCCCCTATGTAAAAGTGTTAGGGAAAATATGTCCAGAGACATAATTTCTTTTGGCACAGCTAACTTAAATGTTGTTAGATAAGTTACTTTTATTCTGTAAAGGGAGGAATTCGAACTATTCTTGTATCCTAAGGTGTTAACCTGGATCCTAGTTATACTTACGCTTTGTCAGATTCTAAGACATCTCTCACTTATGTAGCTTTCAACCAGCTAAAATTGAGCACTTGTAGAATTGAATGGAGGCTGGCCCAGATATTGGGAAATAAGTGACAAAACATGTCTTTTCCTTGTAAATTAGTAATGTTTCTGCCTGACTTTATCACTTGAGATGTATCAAGGGGCAAAGATTTTGTCACCTGAGACTGCTGTTACTCTGAAAATGATAGCATTAACTTGTCTAATTCTGAGAAAGACATTTGTTAGCTAATGTAGACTATTAATAGAGCAAACATAAAACTGGTTGGGTATTAGCCTAGCAAGTATCTGACCAGAGCATTATGGCATTACTTAGATTACATAGATATTCAGTAAGATATTTCAGGTGTGATTTCTGCAGTGAATACAGTGTTTACACCAGAAAACAATGTCAGGAATCCTATAATGTAATAGGGAATATTATTCACCATAGTATATTAAAAGAGAACGGAGCCTTGCTGCTGAACCAATTTTGATCTCTTCCTTTGGTCTTCCTTCCTTCCTTGTTTCTCTCTTTCTTATTATTTCATAATGAAAAAAAAGAATGCTAGACTCAAATATTTACAGTGCTTTCAGAATTCAATAAAATGCATACATAAAAATGATTTTAATAGTACCTTGATACTGAAAATATTATCTAGCTACTTATCATTGTGGTCTGATTTTTAAATTTATTTCTCATCAGACACAATACAGAGCAATTCAGAGCAGGTAGAATTCTCCTGTCAGATGCTCACACACAACTTCAGTTGTGCCAGATTCTGCCCTCAGCAATGTGAGCAAACTTCAAACAGAAATGCACATGAATAGTTGAAGGAAAATGCTGGATCCCACCTGTTGCCTCTTCTGGGAAGTAATATGTCTATAATGTTTATAAATTTTAATAACCCATACAGCGCTTTATCTTTCAATATTAAATTTATATTTTCCTAAAGTTTGACTTCTTTGGGCAATATATTTTATTCTCTAGTATCTTAGAAAATCAATCTACTAATGTATGTCCATTAATAAATAAGTATGCTCTTATCAAGCAGTTATCAGCACATTTATAAAATTACATTGAAATCTTCATTTTAAATATGATGTTTTCTTCATCTAACTGAACGTGCTGTGATCTTTATTGAGGGCTGGAAACATATTTGTTGATTCTGACAAGGTGAATTGTATTCGTGTTTACCTTCTGCTCCCCAAGATTATAATTGAAATGAATTTTTCAAAATAGTTCCTTTTGATGAAGATCCCATACTGATGAAAGTTAAATGAACAGAAGTATTAGTTTGAAATAGATACACGAATGTAAGCCCAACTTATAAATTGATTCTAGTTGATAATATCAAGCTACGCCTGTAAACCTTCTGTTAGGTCTTAGAAACAATAAATACACCTCAATGCATGGACAATTGAAGGAAAAAAACCTTAACAAGTAAAACACAATTTTTACTCATTGGACTTGAGTTTACAAAATGTAAGGCCAGAGTTAGAGTTTATGGCTTTAGTGGACATTTTCTGGAACTCATTTTACTGTCACTCTCTAGTTTTGAAATAGTTTTTGGTAGAATTTTGGTGGGAAAAAAGGAAATACAAAGAAAGCAGTATTTGAATGATGACAGAGTCACATATTCTAAACCACACATTCTCACTCCTTTGATTTCAGTTTACAAGCATTGAGAAAGGAGAAATCCCGAGATGCTGCTCGCTCCCGCCGGGGAAAAGAAAACTTTGAGTTCTATGAATTGGCCAAGTTGTTGCCTCTTCCTGCAGCCATTACCAGCCAGCTCGACAAGGCATCCATCATTCGACTTACAATTAGCTATCTGAAAATGAGGGACTTTGCTAACCAGGGGGACCCTCCGTGGAACTTGCGAATGGAAGGCCCTCCACCTAACACATCAGTAAAAGGTAAGTTTTAGGTCACTGTTCAGTCTGAATATGATGGTCTGTAGGGGTCTGTAAGACAAAATGTTTACCATCATCCTTTCTTCTTTTCCTGCATATCAAATCCTTTAAAGGGATACAAATGTGGAAATCTGAACTCTGCATGAGAAAGACACCATGTGAAGGTGAAATAAACCTCTTATTTTTCTATTTTATTTTCAAAAAGTCTATCAGCCTAAAATTCTGTCACTTTATATAAGATTTCAGAGAAATGAAAATGAAATGACACATTAAAATGCTTCTTGGGTTTAATGTATGTTTTACCATTACATACAAATTCTTCTTCATGAGTGGGGTATGGACACATTTGTTAAAGCATAGAGCTGACATTTTCTGCCTTAAGTAACCAAAGAAAGGCAGGGAGCATAGCTCTTCCATCTTTAGCAGGCATTTTAAGTTAATGATTTTATTGACCAATGAAAATCAATCTATGTATTAGTGTTTCAATTTTCTCTATATACATATTACCTAAAAGTTGTAAATATAAACATATATTTTTTATTCAAATCCTTGATGCAGTTACTCTTACAACTTAGTATCTTTAAATGTTAGGTCTTTCTCACTCTGATGCCTAAGACAGGTATTTTCTTGTGTGTTCCTGAAATTCCTAATAATTTATGGCATTTTTGGCATTTAAATATGCATGGATATATTTATTTATGTATATGTGGTGTTGGCCATTGGTTTTCTGTCTTTAAGGGTATTCTATTCAAGGTGTATGGCCTAAATAATCTGCTAGGTTCTTATGTTCAAATCGTGTATCTAGACACTTTATAGCATGAAATAAAACTGGGCATTTGGAGGAGGTGCAGGCAACTTCCTCTAGGGAAGAATTAGCTTCTTTTGTTACATCTTGCCAACTACCTTTGGAAAAGTCCCTGTACTCTTGGCTATGATAGGAAAGGGTACTAGTCGGGAGCTGTAATCTTTTGTAGGATTCAGATTGAAATGAAGGGTCAAAAGCAGTTATTATTTACAATTTTGTGCTAAGAGCTGTGATCATATATGTGTCCGTGAGAGTGTAAATTTGTTACTTGGGGATTGTGTTATGCACATTAGAGGTGGAAAATGATAATTTAAATTGTAACAGGTTATTTTCTTCTAGAGCAACAGTTGGCAAACATTTTCTGTAAAGGGCCATGTAGTAAATATTTTAGGCTTAATGGGCTACTCAACTCTCCTGTTGTAGCATAAAATTAGCCATAGACAATATGTAAACAAAACAGCGTGGCTGTGTTCCAATAAAACTATATTTACAAAATAGGCAGCAGCCACAACATTTGTCCCATAGGCTATAGTTTGAAGACCACTGCTCTAGAGTGTAAGAATGACACTTAAAGATTGAGGAGAACACACAA
This sequence comes from Homo sapiens, assembly GCF_000001405.40. Taxonomy (NCBI): domain Eukaryota; kingdom Metazoa; phylum Chordata; class Mammalia; order Primates; family Hominidae; genus Homo; species Homo sapiens. Next base: position 33,216,821 of record NC_000014.9, read on the forward strand.
CAGAGGTACCTCTCAAGGACAGGATGTCAGTCAAAGGTAGCCCAGGAAAAATAAAGCAAGGCACATTCGAGTTGTCCTTTTACATCCCTTCTGCCCTTGAGCATGTAGATATCAATTCAATAACACACCAATTCATGTTCTAGATTGTATTATGCTATAAAAAACTACCCGAGAATGGATAAACAAAAAAGGTTTAATTGACACACAGTTCCGCATGGCTGGGGAGGCCTCAGGAAACTTACAATCATGGTAGAAGGCGAGGGGGAGGCAAAGAACGTCTTACATGGCAGCAGGAGAGAGAAAGAAAGAGACAGCAAAAGGGGAATTGCCACTTTTAAACCATCAGATCTCGTGAGAACTCACTATCACGAGATAGCATAAGGGAAACGGCCCCCATGATCCAGTCACCTCCCAGAAGCTCCCTTTCCTGACACGTGGGATTATTAATGCAATTAGAGACAAGATTTGGATTTGGATGGGGACGTAGAGCCAAACCACATTACAGATATTAGTACCAAATTTTTCCAAGCTAAAGATGTAAATATAATTGTGATAAATATACATTAGATACATTTTTTCCACTCTAGTTTGAGGCACAGGCTATCTTTATTCCAGATCACACAAGATGAAAGGATGAGGGTAACAGGTTAGGAACCATACCATGTGAAAAACATGTAATAATTATTCAAATATATAAGTTCGAAAAATATATTATTCAAATGAAATGATGGAATGGACCTGTATTTATTTAACATAACTCAGAAAATTTTTATTTGTTTACTTTCATTGTTAAAGGGGTTTGTAGTCAATAGGCTTTCTTGGCAGTCATGGCTACCAAAGTAGAAAAATGTGATGGTTCTGTTATTTGTCCATTTGTCTGTGATGTAGTAGTCCAGCTTACTTCCAGAATCATGGCCTTTTAGGCATGCGAATGTATAGATCACATGTCATTATTCCCTCATTTTATGAGGGATAGTTAGATGAGGCAAGTGTTAAGTGGAAACGACTTTGCAATTCAGCGTTAGCATATCTAAGGCAAGAATCCACTTTTCTTGCCTTCTGTCTAGTGCTCTATCACTTCTTGTCATTACTACAGATAATATTTGTTTTCTATCACCATCATCAGACGTTTTAGGTGAGAATTTTCTCAGCTTCAGACTGTTTCTAATACTTCATTTTTATTTTGTGGCCTTCAATTCCACTCTTTAACTTCTTAGTATGATTAAGATGTATAAAAAGAAGATAAAATGTGGTTGCTGCCCCCACGTTGTTGCAGTTTCTGGAATGGCATGGTAGTGTCACTGAGAAAAAACAGGGTGGTGAAGATGCATGTTTAGAAACCTGGAAGGAGATAACAGACTTTATTATATTTAAAATTCCATCCAGATGGTGGCAGAGCATCTAAGTTGGTACATATTCACTTTCACTATTAGTAAACTGGTGATAGGTTAGAAATAATGAAGATGTAAACATAGTGACTCCCTACTGTCTACCCCGGCTCTCAAAAGTAGCTAGAAATATAAGGAGCACTTTCTATAAACTGGTTCTACTGTAAAATATATGTACATTTTATTGCTTTACTCTAGTTCTTTAATGCAAAACTGCTATTCATTCTGATCAAACATTCATAAAACAATAACATCAAAAGAAATTCATTTTAATTTATTAAGGTCTTCTATGTTGTGCCCTTGAAGACGTTCATACGGATAAACAAGCTTATATAAATAGCCTGCAGCATCATGTGAAGTGCAGTTCATAATCCAGCAATAAAACGATAGACATTATACTTCATGCTTCTCCAAGCAATCTCTTGAATAAACCTAAAGGCATTTGGCAATTCGTATGAAATGTACTTACATTGTGGTGGCAACATTTTTTAATGTGATGAGTTGATCATGTTAATAATTAAATTTCAAAGCTTAAATTTAAATTTGTCCCACACAACTATATAGAAATTTAATCATTTTAATTTATGGCTTCAGAAAGGTCCTTTACTGTGCCCTGTGCAGTATTCATCACATGTTTTCTTAACAGTCCATAAAGGTTGATGAGTTTGTTTTGTGATTCCCATTGTATACAGATTATTACAAGTTATGCTTGCAGAAAGAACACTCAGGTGACAGTATGTAATATGTCCCAAGTCAATTACTTCATGGAAATGATAGGTTAAGCAATTGGAAGGTAACAGATAGTTTTTTCCCTTATTTTAGAAATATCTGTGTTGTTATAATACAGATCAAATCTACAATGAACATTATGCGTTATTCAAGAAATGACCAGGCATTCTCAGCAGTGTTTCAGCTAAATAACTGATGATTGTAACCTTTAAAGAAATCTCATTGTGGTGACTGTTGGTAAATCACTTCTCCATTCATAGTAATCTCTATTTAGAGGCTATCTAGAAACCATTATATCTTTTATTAATCTTTAAAGCAATAGCCACTGATTTGACATTTGCTAAAACTAGATAAATTTTCTGTCTTTCTAATATCACAGACTTCAGTCAATTTTAAGAGTCTGTCGTCTGCTGCAACTCTATTAATCTAGGAATATTTACCATTGCAGTCATAAGTTTTATTTCAATTTAAACATTGCAGCTTTTAAACAACAATTTGCCTATGTGTGTGACAGGTAACAATGCTAAAATATGTAAAGTATAAGAAATTCTTAGTCTTTGGAAAGGAACAGTTGAAAAATATGCAAGATATCTGGTGATTAAAATTGACTGAACACATTAGGGAAGAACTTTACTATTTCCATAGAATTTCCCTTCACTATTTCGGGCATCTATTGTGAATTAAGTAGGAGATGTTTCTGAGAGTAGAGACTTGCAGGCTTGTATTTAAGCAACATATTAGCTATCCCTAGCCAAAGACTAGACTCTTACTAAAGCAATGATGTTTAATGGATTTATTTTAAATCATCGTGTAGTGTAACTGAGTACAGGTCGTACTCAGAGTGACACTAAACTACTGTTATAATATTGTCCCCCAAAATTAGATAGCATTTTATAAAATGGATTCTGTTTCAATAGAAAGGTAGAGACTCCAAGACTGAGTGATAGGTCATCTTGGTCTAAGCAGTTCAGGGATTTTCCTGTTGCTGTTGTGGCATTTTCCTGTGTGCTGACATACATTTACTTCTACCAAGTGACATTCATGCTATGGGGCAAGGGTCATATTCCTCATTACTAAAAAACCATGTGAGATGAAAGTTCATAGAATCAGTACATGGCCATGGACACCCAGCCGATGACATTCTTTTGTCTTTTTGCACGGGTAAAGGGAAGAACCCAGACTGTACACCTTAGCTTCTGAGCAGGAGCCTCCTACAGGGCTAGACGAGTAGGGCAAAGATGGTAACTCAGTTCTTGCTTGACTCCTCTTCCTACCTCCATCATCCTCAGCAGACTGAGGAACAGACTCCCTGCTCTGATCTCTACTTCTGTTTTGTCCCAATCCATAGTAGGTGGTGGGTACCCAGTGGAAACAGAACAATTCAGAGGCTGAGCTGCCAGTGTTCGTTGTTGTTTATTTTGGGAGTGAGTGCCAGGTTTTACTAGGACATGGAAATGTGATGTATTTGCCTTTACTTAGGTATGCTTCCAGGAAGGCTTTTTAATTATATGCTGTTATACTTTTGTATATTTCTAATGAAGTTATGACTTCATTTAAGGAGCTCATTTAAGAACTAACCTTTTATCTTACTTTATTTTACATCATGATAGGACAAGCAATGTTTATATCACCGCATTTCCCAAGGACTATCATCTTTGACACTGGGCAGGAAGGGCTTTCTGACAATTGCAGGCTAAATGATGAGAGAGTATGTCTCTGAGACTCTAATTCTTTGGAGTTTTACACTTTTTCATGAAAAGCTTTGGTGACTACAAAGGTGAACTCTTGATCATTGAATTATTATCTAACTCAGCATGAAAAATATTATATATAGCATTGCTGGTATCTTGCTGCATGCCACTGTTCAAGAGTTTGGCTTGTCACTATTGTTTTCAGTGCATCTGGTACAACGGAGCATTCAGGATTACCCTCAGCTCCAGACAGTGACTTGAAGAAAGCATATTTTTGAGAGTGATGGCTGAGAATATGTGAATATTCAGGTGTCCTTGTCAACTATTGCCAGAGAACAAGCAATCACAACATCTAAGTGGCACACAACAACAAGCTTTTACTCATGGAGCTGCGGTTAGGCTGCGAATTGGCAAGTCTAGACTGGGCTCAGCGGGTGCCTCTGCTTTGTGCTACAGCTCTGGCTGGGCTTGGCTCCTTGCTGGGGGTTCAGCCTAGCTCTGTCCCATGTTAGAAGGCAGCACCTATTTGGAAGTAGTTCTTTCATGCTGATGGAGGCAAAGGTGTAAGAAGGGTGAACAAAAACAAGCAATGTCTCTTAATGGTGTGGCTCAGAACTGTCATGGTGTCATTTCTGTTCAGTCGTTAGGTCAGAGCAGATCACGTGGCACAGACCAAAGTCAAGGGGCAGGGAAGCACATTGCACCTCTACTGGGAGATACTGCAAAGAAACATGGCCAATTTCACAGATAGAAGATGAAGAACATGAATCTGTAATTTAATTTACCTTATCCAGAGTAGTACTTGTGTATTGTTTTTATCTGTAGTTTTTGTTTGCCCAAAAGCAGAAGTGGGCTCGGCATGGTGGCTCGTGCCTATAATCCCAGAACTTTGGGAAGCTGCGGTGAGAGGATTCCTTGAGCCCAGGAGTTTGAGGTTACAATGAGCTATGATTGCACCACTGCCTAGAGGGAGAGCTTGTCTCTAAAATTTTTTTTAAAAGGAGAAGTAGAAATGAGGATTTTTTTTGTGGAGACTTTGGAAATGTGGGCAAAAGAGTACAGATGTGCTCTTTTGCATTATGCATTAAGATTAATCAACCTCTTTCTATCGCCACTATTACCTTATTTTCCTGTAGCAACATTGAGTGGTAAAACCCATCCATTTCTGCCTTTGACTATGTCATCATCTGACTGGATTGCTCTTTTCCTTTGTAGGGGTAAAAGTGTAATAACTTTTCCTCGCCTATCACAAGGGTCATGGCTGAAACTTCCATAACAAAAGACAGGTTATCAAGAAAAAATTTATTTAATCAAAATTTTACATCACATGGGAGCGCTCAGAAATGAAGACCCAGAGACCCAGGGAGAAGTGCATATTCTTAAGCTTAGGTTCGATGAAGAATGGACAGCTGTGTAGAAATATGACTGGACAAAAAAGGCATGATGTAATGATAATAACTTGAGGGGAATTCCAACAAGTCCTGTGTGTTCAGATTTTTCTTGGCCTCTCTGTGTAGCATTTCTTCCTCTGGGCATAGGGCATGACACTTGTCATGTAAGGGTCTTCAGGGAGGAGAAGAGAGGGTCAGATAGTCTTCCTAGATTTTATGGCTTGCTTTGGGGTACAGCAGTTCTATCGTGCATGATGCACCTTCAGGAGGAAATAGGGGAAGGAGAAAGGAAGGAAAAAGAAGGAGGTCAGAGAGAATATCTTTTTACGCCCTTCCAGTCTCCTTCAGTTCAAAGTATTCAGCTTGTCAAAATGCCATACTTCACAGTATCACATTCTGAGACCCAACACCTTCTATTGGGTTTGCTTGAACTCCTATTCAGCATTCACATCCCAGCTCAGATGTCACTCTCTTGTGCAAATCTCTGCTTCCCCAGAGCATTAGTAATTTCTTTCTTTAGGGTATTGTTACATTATTCTGTTGGTTTGTTATCAACTTAAATAGCAATTTGTTTCTTTACATGCCTGTCTCTGTATTGAGACTATGAGCTTATTGAGGCAATAGCCTGGGTCATCTTATTCCTTTTTATATCTCCAGAACCTTGTACAATACCTATGAAAGTAAGTATTTAACTATGTTTTAAGTTGAATTGTGTAGAATTGAATTATATCTTGGGATTACTATTAGCGGAGTTATATAGTACTGATAAGAACTATGGGTGAGTTTAAATCATAAACTAGGGAGATGCAAAAGAAGAGTAAAACAAGGAAGAGTAGAAGAAAAATGGAGGGAGAATGATGGGAATAATGTGAAAACAAAGGGAAATTATGCAGGACATGGAGTAGGCGCTAGAAGCAGGTGTGGCTCCCTGGGATGAGCTGCTAGTCCCTGCCCTGTGGTAGGGTTCCCCCATCAACGTGGTTCTCCGTGTGGATGTACATGCAGAGGAGGCGCAGGTTAAAAACTGTAGTCTCAGTCCCAGCACTTTGGGAGGCTGAAGCAGGTGGATCACCTGAGATCAGGAGTTCGAGACCAGCCTGGCCAACATGGTGAAACTCCATCTCTACTAAAAAATACAAAAATTAGCCAGGTGTCGTGGCAAGTGCCTGTAATCCCAGCTACTCCGGAAGCTGAGGCAGGAGAATCGCTTGAACGTGGGAGGCAGGGGTTGCAATGAGCCGAGACTGCGCCTCTTCATTCCAGCCTGGACAACAAGAGTGAGACTCCATGTCAAAAGCAAAACAAAACTGTAGTCTCAAGAAAACCATGAGTATTCTGGGTGTGTGAACTGGAGTCCGTTGAACAAATACCTGAGTATCTTCTCTTAGTAAGTCAGTCCTCTAAGTCCTTTGCCTTGGAGATATTTATAATTCATAGAGAAATGAATGTGCAATACATAATGGTATGACAGCTTTCAAGAAAATTAAACATACCATGTGACTGGTGTCATAAAGCCCTCTCTAGACCTCAGTTTTCTTTTTGTCAGTGATTCTGGTCTGAATGATTACTTACTGTCTAATCCAAAGTCCCAATTCCTCAGAAAGGATTTAGCGATTATTGTCCTAAATTAGACTATTTGAGACTAATAGTCTTCCTTGGACTATATGGTTTCTTGAAGCCGTTTATTAATAATTTCAAAAGCCACATACCCTAACTCTTAATATTTTGCTAATATTTCTATTTTCCTTTTCTTTTACTTAATTCCCCTGTACATGGAGGTACCATATCTCCCTTCTATGTGTTCAAAAATGTATGGCAAAAAAAAAAATTTTTTTTTGTTTGTATTTTCAATATTTGAGCATGTGTAATCATTATAAATAAGACAGGAGAGTAAGATAGCACATAATGAAGTTTTAAAGAAATCAAGTACAAAATATATGATAAAGATAAAATAAGAACCTAGCACTTCATATACTTTTTCTTTGCATTTACTCTCTTGAGAAAACTTTAGGGAACACACTTATATTCTATATCACATCCAACTTATTTTAAAAAGTCTACCAGTTCTTGATAATGTAATATTTTAGTCATGACATCTTGTGGTTTTGCATTATACTGCACTGTACTCACTTATTTGGGACTTTCAAGTTTATGTGCTCTGTTCTTTAGGACTGGAATTCTTTAACGTGTTTTTGTTAGCCTTATCACCTCTTGCAAAGCACAATATATAGTTCCAGTGCTCTGCAGATGATAATATTTCATAAGCATAGCAAAGAAGGACTCACCTCTGACTGCTTTATATGATTGAAATTGTACTGTGGCTTTAATTTTCAGAAATGGCTTTCTGGATACTGTGCATAAGTCTTAGCTCTGCCTTAATAAACAGGTGACCTCCACCTGTGAAAACTAATGTGTCTTTGAATATTGATTGACTGCAGCTTTTCAGATCCTTTCTGGGTCCATAGTATGTTAGTAAATGTCAGAACCTCAGCATTCTAAAGGAAGGCCAATAGATATTTTTTTTGTTAAAAGACCAGATTGCCTGGTCTTTTAACAAAGTCAGTTACAGAGTTGGAACTAGAATTTGGGCCTCTGTGATCCTAGTTTAGAACATTTTCTTCCATAATAAAGAGACTTTTCTCTCTATGTTCCGCTACTTACGATTGGAATCCCTTTTCCCCATTTACATTATATGTGAACATTTATCCACAAATCTAGCTCATGTTAGACCCTGGCCCATTTTAGAGCAAATGATAACATTTTATCATGTTATGATTCTATGAAATCACAACATGATTCTATGAAAAGAATAATTCTATGAAAAGAATAATTTTAAGAAGGCATTAGGAAACTGGCTGAAGCATAGATGGGACCTTTCTGTAGTGTCTTTGCATCAGTACACGAAATTCTCTATAAATCTAAAAGTGTTTCAAAATAAAAAGTTTTATTTTAAAAAAATCACTAGAATTCACTCTGATGATAGAAACATTAGAAAAACAAGCCTCTGTCCAAATGGAAACTTGTTATTTCCCACTTTCCTGCCTTTCTAACTGGTCAATATTGAGTCCCCAAATGCTCAACATTCTAAAGTGCTTCATGGCTGATTGTATTAGGAAACGTGATTAACTGACAGTTACAATATCAATCAATGGAAATGGAAGGGAGGAAATTGGTTAGTCTGTTTACATAGTTTGCTTAAGACTTTATAACTGAACTATTGCCATAGAGAGTCATACATAAGTTTTCTTTAAAATTTATAAATTATTTCCATTTAAGAGTCATACATGAGCACAGGTGCTCTGGTTAGTCTCCTTCTTTTTCTTGTGAAGGTTATGACTAGTATTACATTTTCTATTCTTCCAGTCTTGGTCAAAGAGTGCCTAAAAGGCAAGGTTAGAAAGCCAAGACAAAACCTAGTTATAGAGTTCTATAACAGGAGTCAGCCAACGTTTTCTGTAAAGGATCAGATAGTAAATAATTTAGCTGTTGTTGGCCATAAGGTCTCTGCTGCAACTGCTCAGCCCTACTTTTATAGTGCAAAAGTAGCTATATAGACAAGCTGTAATGGAATGCATTTGGCTGTTTTAATAAAACTTTATTTGTGGACATTGAAATCAAATTATGACATGTCATGAAATATTATTCTTAAGAGTTTTTTTCAACTATTTAAAAAATTAAAACAACAAGGACAATGCATTCTTAGCTTGTGGGTGGTACAGAAACAGGTGGCAGGCTAGATTAGACCTGCATGCATGCCATAGATAGCCAACTCCTGTTGGGACCATTAGAACTGGAGGTGGACTTAGGTACCTATTTTAGAAACCATTATGGTAGAAAGCATACTTTGAGTTGTAAAAGGTCGATTCTTGTATTTGTTTAAAACATATTGCAACAACAATGAATGGCCAGAAATATGTTTTTTAAAAAAATTATCTTCAGTGCTAATGTATGTACATAAGTCTATTTGTCATGATGGCTGTCATGACTAAATTATGTACCAGCCAGGAGTGTGATGTTGGCATGTTTCAATAGCTATCCATAGATGTATATGCATTGTGTATGTCACCGAAAAAATTAAGTGAAAAGTCATATTAAGTCAGTGGTATCATTTGGCTTATTACTTTTGGCAGCTTTCTCACTTTAATATAGCAAATGATCCAGACTAAGGCTATTCACATAGTCTTTTTAAATGCATGATCTTAATGAAGAGAAGCATGATGAAAACATTGTCTACACAGGACTATTGTTTGGTCATTTTGACGTGGCTAATCAAACAACTGATCAGTTTAGGTTAATTAATAGTTTTGATTTATTTTTCCACATAATTTATTAGTTGTCTTCCTGATCCAACTGATGGTTTAAAGTATGTTGTGACTGTAACCATCATTAAAAATCATTAGAAATAAGATGTTTGAGATCTGTGTATTTAGTGGTATTATTATCAGCAATACAATGAATAAAATTGGTAAATCTAACCTAGTTTTTTGCGGGTAAAATTTAACATATCTCCAAAACCAATGTCTATATAAAATGAATAAATGTGGCTAAATTATATAACATAATATAATTTTCATAACTTACACTCAAGAAACCAAATACAGTTGCTAGGAAATAGCTCCTGTGGTCTTCTGCTGTTGCCCATTGGGAGCAGTCAGTCACCAGGTATTGGCTGAGTGCTCCAAGGGTGAATGCTACCGTACTAAGTGCTTGAAAGACACTAAAATTCAGTGAGTTCATAGGAATAACTTCCCAAAGCACTACAGATACTTAAATTTCAGTAATGTTTTGTAATTAAAGCATATTATTTACGTATAATTTTACAGTTTGGGAAATAAGACTGTTGAATATCAGCACTGATGATAAAAACAGACTGTGTACACAGTTTGGGTTTTATATAAATACTTTAAAATATTGGCTTTCTTCTATAAAAATAGATGAATACTATCCAGGTTTTTACAAGAATTTTAGCATAAAAGCAAAATTGCTATTATTTTCCATTTTGAAAAGAGGCATGAAGATAACATTAAAAAATATGTAAAATGCAGTATGTCCTAGAGACATATGAAAGGAAGCAGGGATGTTGATGCAGGTAAGCCTCATTTTGGATGTTCTCAGGGACGTTTGTAAAGTGGTGCAGTGATATTTGCTTAGCTGACACCTGACCTAAAGTGCTTTTCATTATATCTTCTATGGATACTGAGCTCCTGAAGTTGCAGAAAAATCTGTAACAAGTTGTTCAGCCTCTGCTATGTTGTGATTCACATCTGGTAGGCAATCAGACTCAACCTCCTTGTTGTGAGTCAGTGACTGAATTTGTTGCTATACGAACAACTCCAATTGGAAAACTAAAATAATACTTTTACTGAGATTAGAAAAGGGGACTCTTGCTAGGGTGTCTTAGTTTGGACTGCTATAACAGAATACTATAGATGGATTGGCTTAAACAACATTTGAAAAAAAAATTTCTCACAGTCTGGAGGCTGGAAATCCAAGATCAAGGTACCAGCATGGTGAGGTTCTTCGTGAAGGCTATCCTCCTGGGTCACATAGCCATTTTCTTGTCATATCCGTACAAGATGGAAAGAGAAAGAAAGATTATGTCTCCTGTGTCTCTAATCTCATTCATGAGGGTTCCGCCCTCTGTGACAATTACCTCCCAATGATTCCACCTCCAAGTACCATCACAATGGGGATTTTGACTTTCAACATTTGGATTTTAGGAGGGGACACAAACATTCAGTTCATAACACAAGGAGTTCTAACAACCTGTAATAAAGGTACAGTTCATGTATCCCAGGCTAGAGAATCCAGCAAAATGTAGGAATGCAGTGAAAATTAATCATCCCGGTCATTTTAATGTATCTTCAGAATGGCTTATTGGTAGTAAGGTTTTCTGGTCAGTGGAGTTGAACACTCCTGAGTTCAAATCTTTGGGACTGTGAACACATTTTTTTGCTTCAGTTTTCTTGACTGAAAAAAATGGCATAGTTGGACCTGTGAACCCAGCTTGTCTATACCGTCTACTGCAGTGAGCTGAGATTGTGTTGGGAGGCTTATATTCACATAGGAACTTTCAAAGGTATATTAGGATTCCCGTTTGTGATTTTTAGTACACATTCTAATTAGGGCTTTTGTTTTTAAGATTATGGTTTTAAAATGATATTAATCAGAAGGAAGAGGTAGCTCAACATGCACAGTTTTTTGGGGGAATTCTAGCATGTAAAAAGTCTTAACTTGTATCATTTGATAAAGTGGAGGATATTTGAAGCATTTCTTAGATGATGGGTGATTTGGGTGTGTTTTGGCAGCTTGATGTTTAATACTTAACGAGACATGTAGAAGTTGATTTTATAAACTGTTAATGTAGATATTTCATTGAGTTGATAGGAAAACAAAAAAATTCTTAAAATATACTGCATCTGAAAGGAAAGGCCAATTTGCTGAAACAGTGAATAGAGCTGACATTTCCTTTCTCAGAATTTTGGCTTAATAGATATAATCTTATAGTAGGTTTTAAGATATCAATTTTTTGTTGTCATCAGGGATCCGAAATGGGTTATTTTCTCCTTTAATTTACTCACCTATTCATCCTCTAAATATTTGAATATTTATTATATTGCAAGACTCTGTACTAGGCTCTCTGGGGGATGCAAAGTGGGGGAAAAAAGCGAACCATCTCCTCTAGGAGTTTATAAGCCACTAGGAGGGAGTGACGCATTCTCACCAAATAATAAAGTAGGGTATTATTCATGTTGAAAGAGGTTTAAGCAGACAAAGTACTGTGGGATCCAGGATGATTAACGCGAAAGGAGAAAAAGACGGTAGTCCTTATTACAGTTTTAAATAGGTGATCATAATGAATATGTATACAGTACTTTCAAAATAAAATATCGTATTATTTTCCAAGTAAATTATTTTTTGAACCTCTACTTTGAAGTATTTGCCAGGTCTATATTTTAGATATCCGTTGGTGTTGGGGAATTTATTATGCATAAATATAGTTAAATATTTGAATGTGATGACATTTAATGAGAATTGTGGCCCTCCAGATGTAAGGTAAACTCACGATGGTTTTTCCTCTCAGAAAAGTATTTTAAACAGGATACCCAATGCCATGTAGAACACAGACTACTCATGCATATCTCTGTTATCTGAATATACTTACCAAACAACTAAAGGCATGAATCACATACCATACTTATAAACAAGAGCTTAATCAAACATACTCTTTTAGTATCTTCTCTCTGATAGCTTTGCTTTTCATAGAGATGGAAAGAGAGAAGTTTGAATGAAGTGTATTTTTAAGTTGTGAAATCTTAATGTATGTAGTTTGTAGAAAATCCCTTGGCATCTAAGACCTGAATATAGAAAGATCAAAAGAGTAGCTATCATCCAGGGAGCCGGGAAGTCGAGTGGCCACAGTTCAAGCCTGCTACTGAGGCAGGGCTCAGAGTCACGTGCTCACCTTCCCGCCCGCTCACATGCATCTCACTTAAAGCCTGTATTTGCGAGGGAAGACTAGACGGTGCGAAAGAGCATGTTTTGTACTTTTATTTCATTTAAATTAGCACAAAGGGAGGGAACAATTTTGCTTCACATGTGAAGTCAGTCATTTCTTGGGTTGCTAGCTCAATGTTTTAGCAGAACAGCTGTTCTGTACAATGTGGCTTTCTGCAAGCAATATTTCTACTGCTAGAAAAGTGGCAGTCTGCCAAAGAGAGTGCCCAGACCAACCCCTAAACAAAAAAATCTTTTGTCAACGACTCTAATAATTTGTACAATTCAGGAAAGGGGGGTTGCACAGTCTTTGCAGATGTGCATTTATGATGCTATTTTTAAGCAGAGCAGCATGAAAGAATAGATTCATACGAATTGTAAGTTGATCATTCATTTTAAGCATTTGGCTTCTGCTCCTGCTAAAATTTCATTCTGTGGAACGAAAACACAGCCAGCCCTGAAACGAGGTAAGGCAGGGTGTGACAAGATGAAATTCTTCATTTTCAGACCTGTGATGCCTGCTGAAAAACAGAAAGCTTTGGGGTCTTTCTCCCCAGCTAAAGAGATAAATGCAGTTTGCTGATCCCCTCACAGCAGAAACTTGTTATCCTTCAGCATTTTGAGGAAATAAACTCTTAATGAGCCTGCATTCTTTTACAGCAGTCCATTCTCTGAAAATGAGTTTAAGTGCTGAAGGAAATGCCAGAAGCGTTTACACAACCAGCGCCAAACTATTATGTGTTAATTCTCTGTAGTTTAACATCATAGACACCATGCAGTTTTTCTGGTATCAAAACCTGGTCTGTTTTCAGATCTGTCCTCTGTGCTCTGGCTATCCCAAATCTACAGCAACAGACTCTGCTAGCTTTGAACCCACGGATGGAGTTAAGAAAATAAGATGATTTCCATAAATTAAAGACCCTTGGAAAGAACACTCAAACTTCTACTAACAGCAGAGGATAAAATCTGATAGAATCCTCATCTTTTATTTTTATTCAACAGTACACCTAATATTTACATAAAAGAGAATTACATCTACTCTAGATTATTAAAATATGAAATCATATACTCCAAAATGACATAACATTTAATACAGACTTATTCTATAAGGGTGACACGGAGCAGAGAAGACCATAGAGTATTTTAAGAGAACACAGTAAAGTGAACTGTAGAATGTTCACTGCCTTGATCAAAGGCTTTCTCTAATTCTGAGTTGGGACTTTTGTTATTCTTATTTTTCTTTTAAAATATACGTTCTTTTCATATTCTGAATAGGTGTGAAAAATGCTCAATTAAATGGAGTAAATGTCGTATTAAACCAGGGGTATTTTTGCTCCAGTCAGAATGCAAACCACTTATGTTCATTTTCTCTGTCCCCTGAAACTGTTACCTTTTATGTATACTAATGAAAAACACAAACCGTGATTGTGGGAAGTTGCTAAAATTGCATTATTTCACTCTACCAATGCAGATACGCTTCTAAAGATAGTCATTCAGGTGACCTGCTAGATCATACTTCATTGTTACTCAAGTGTTCTTCAAATATTCCTTCAGTTTAATAAGGATTTACACTGAAAATTACAATTCTGTTTGCTCGTGCAAGCTTGCCAGTGCAGGGTTACTACACTTTGTGAAATGACAAGTCCTGGACAATTGTTTATAAAATATTTTATAAGTTCATAAAAATCACAGTTTTTATATATCAGAGAAATTCTCTTATGTAAAGGATTTCTATAGCAATTTGTATTTTGTAAAATCAGTTATTTTGCTAAAGCAATTGATGACTCCCCTCAAATATATATTTTAGGTTCATATTTTTAACGTTTAATTTTTCTTAAAGTAATGGAATGAAAAATCTATAAACAATAAATTTGGGCTGTTGATTTGTATTTAATAGCTATATATTCCAGGAAAATATTGGAGACACAAAATTATTCATGTTATATTCCTGTGAATTTGCTTGAGCCAGGTATGACTTTTTGGTTTAGAGCCTACACTTCTTTAATGTTCTAGTATGGTGATCTATGATCATTCTTTACACTTACACATTACCGTTTCTAAAAATCATAGAATTCACATGCTGCTCTTTATAGCAATTTTAATATTAATTGGGTAGAAAAACATGCAAAGATACTACACATCATTACATTTCATTTCTTATAAAACCTCATGAGATGAGCATCATTTTTCTTTCTCGTATGTAGAACTCTCTTTTAATTATTCCTGTTCTTTATGTGCAAAAGATATCTAAGTAAGGGGGAAAAGAAGGGGTGTTCAAAGACTCTTTAAGTAAACTTAGATGCTTTGTATATTGACCAGTTTTTCCAAATGAAATGCATTCACTTTGGCCCTTGACGTAGGCAAATGGTTCAAGAAGCTCAAATCCATTCATACTAGCCTCTGTGCAAAAAGCAAGAAAAACTCAAAAATCATTTTCTATAAATGCTTATCTATTACAATTCATGTAGATAGTCCTATAGAGAGAATTGGTATGTATTTCATAATAATACCATGTAGTCTTATCAACCATTAGGTAATGATTACATTTCAGCACATTCTAGCCAGAACCCCCCAAAATAGATTGAGTGACAGTAGCAAGAAGACAGTTGCTTAGATTGCGGATCCAGCTGATGTCAGTAGTATTGTTTTTGTTAGCTTGTGAGTAAACTCCACAAGAAGAAAACATTCAGATCCAGTCCATAAACTTCTCTCTAGACATAACCAAGTTGCTGGGCCAGCGTGGACTCAGATTAAGAGTGTGGGTGCTTTGGACGGATTCATCCCCACAACAGAGCTTGTTTCCTTTGTTTAACAAGTACTAAACTACACTTGCACACTTCATCACTCACTCTTAGTTGTTTATATGTTGAAACCATATTATGAGATCATACTTTCTGAATACACTCAATCTGTTTTTCATAATTTGACATTCTACTGTGGAACAGTGAGATGACTTGCGCAGTGTTAAGTAGTGTCAGGTTTATAATCTCCCAATATCTTTAGTTCTTTACTGAATTCATTCCCTTCTTCTGCGTTGCTCTCTCTTTTGAATTATGTTTGTGGCAAACCTCACCCTTCCTGTGATTAATGGGTGTTAAAACAGTGAAATCGGAGTTCTCAGATTTTGTTCTACAATCACTTCCCTTAGCTTTCGTCTACTTCTACAATACTATTCTTTTCCCCTTCTCTATTTGTTCCCTATTTAAATGAGTCCTATAAGTTACTACATTTCATGGTCTTGTTCAAAGAATTGCAGAGCAAAATTGTCGAACAGTAGTAACATTTTAAATAATGATTAAGCAATGCACAGAAAAGCAGCCAGTGCAAAGCAGATATTTAAGTACAGGTTTCTCAGAGACATTACAATTTCACTTTAGTTTCTAGGGCGAGTAGTGCTGGATGGTGGATTTAGGGGCGGAAGAAAACTGCCCATTGCATTGTAGGCCACTTATACCCCATATGTATAACAAACCTTACATCCAAATCACTTATATGCTATGGATCTCTCTGCTGATGTTAGTCATCTGATTTGCAGAGAACTAGAACTAATAACCTTTTCAAATGTTATCAAATGATGACAAATCAAATTACTTAAATGATGACTGATCAAGTATTTGATATTTTAATTTTGAATGAATCTACCTCAAGGACTTGATATTTCCCTTAGTTTGAGTAAAGACCACAAATGCTAAACAGTCACATAGTTCATAAATTTCACAAACAATGAACCCCGAATGCTATAAATTAACTTTATTTACTGACTTTAAAATAAATGAATGGCCTTTAGCATAGCTATAGACATAGCAAACTAAGTGGAAATTGAGGGAAAAGCACCTGACTGGAAGTACTTTTAACTATATTATAGGTTTGTTTTGGATGCAAATGAATCTGACTAGATTTCTCAGTAGCAAAGGAGACAGAAGCTCTTACATGTAGGTCATCCTGCATTTTAGGTTGCTAATGATTCATTTTAATGTCACCGTTTAGTTACATACTGATCATTTATACTGACAAAAAGGATAAAAAGAAAACAAGGAACCTGTCATCAATCATTCATTTAATCAAGTAGCAAAAGTAGATAAATAAACATACTGAGTTAATTATTCTTCTGTATGTAATGATTGACAATAAAGCTAATTTATGCTTATTTTAACCCTTTAATATTTAGTGCTGTTAGGATTAATGGGAATTAGCAGTTGTAGAAAGGACTTGCAGGTGACCTTGTTCCTAAATTACCTTAAGGGAACTCAGTATTCGTACTTGAGGAGTTTATTCATTTGACATCTATCCTGATAAAGAGTTGTAGTTATTTGCATTTAAGCATATTAACTCTATGCTATCAAATATAATGAAAAACAATTACACTATGTTGGTCTGCCTCCTTTGTATTAATCCTATTCAGACTGTCTAATGAAGACTTTTTCTTTGAAATGTGCATTCTTAATATGTAAAATAATTTATAACCAGATACAACTATGCTGTCAATTCAAATGTATATTAGATAAAGCACGAGTGGAAAAGAAGTCTTAGTGACAGCAAAACACTAAAATATGTTTTTAAGTTAAAGGGGTCCTTGAAAGTTATAAAAACCTATTTTTTGGCTTGCTAGCATTTTTTCTCCAGTTTTTCCCCCAAAATTTTGTCTGGTGGCAATTCCCTTTAAAAAATAATTTTACTTTTATTAGACTTTCCATAAACAAGATATTCTTCAGGTAAGTGTGTATAATAAATCAAAAGTTATAAACATTTTCTCTGGAATCTTTCTAGCATCCTTATCTAAATCAGCCTGCACCCAAGAAATGGGAAAGTAATAAGCAGACCTAAGGGATTTACGCATGCAAATAGGAATTCAGTTGTTCATTAAAATTATTGTACTAAGATTTGAAAGATAAACTGTGGTTGCCTCTATGGTTAGAGATGTATCTCTTCTAGATGCATTTTATTAAATGCCATTTTTCCTTAGCACTTTTAATGTTTAGTGTAGCCAAATTCTAACCACTGACTAAATAGACTTCTCTTCCAGCTCGTTAAGTCTGGCCAGTTCAGTTATATGAAACTAGAAATGAAATTAGAGAGAGTTGGTGAGCGAGAAAACCGTGGCTGTGTGGTGGCTAGACCAGAGCACATTTTGCACGAATGCCATCCTTTGTGTAGACTCTCTTTTGTCCCATTTCCCCAAAAAAGTGTGCATAATTTTTTTGTTTTGGGTTTTTAGAAAATTATCAAGTTTACTATGGGTCTAGAACACTATACCTATGAACAGTAAATTCCAGTAGACTTCAAGCTTGTATCACTGTTCCTAGATTCCCACATTTGGTTTTTGATTGCTCGTGTTGCAACTCATCATCTGTAAGCATTTGGCTATAATAAGAGATTTTGCTCATGACGCTTTCTGACAACTTGAATAGATACGGTATTGTAGCTATGTCTGTAATGGCAAAGTAAAATTTGAAAAATATACAACATTTAAATTGTATGTTACAAACTAGATAAAACCAGATACCGAAAGTCATTCATTTCATCAACCCAATGTGTAAATGAAGGACTATGCATTAATGGGGAAAATATAGCTTTGGAAATAATAAATTTAGTGTTATCCACATTTCTTAAGTTTAAAACAATTGTATTTGATGAACGAATTCCTCTACCGCCCCACACTCCTCCTGCCATAGATGCCTTTAAGCTTTATTAATTTCTGTGTAAATGTGTTAAAGAGAAATCTTTTCACTCTTTTTTTGTCCTTTGTTTGGCTTCTTTTTACCTGCACGCGTTAATTAAGCGATAGTATAAATGAGGAGTGAGAATTTGTGGTCTTTTTGTTCACTGAAATAATGGTTGATCTCTTTAGCTTTTGTCCGATTTATGGCTTTCCTTTTTTTTCAGCTAAAAATCTGTAACTAGCAGGTTAAGCATAATGTAGGTTATAGTCACTGTGGTAAGAGTGAAATCAACAACTCTCTTATTCCTTCCTTGACGAATCCTCTTTGGTGTTCTCTGATGGCATATATTTGAAGGAGAAAGTAAAAGCTGGGGGAAAATGATACTAGAGACTCTCTAAATAGGTAATATATACAGGTGCACATATATACACCCAAATACAATCACAGTTTTGAACAGAAATATTTGAACTGAAATATTTAGTCCAAATCTACTGTCATTCTGTTCAGGAGGAAATAAAAACTCTGAAATCTGTATTTCTTATCACTCTCAGAGACACAGAACCAAATGAATCTTTTGAGTGCAAGTACATCTTGCGTACAAAAGACTAAAAGTTCTGTTGATACAATTCTTTTTTTTTTTTTTTTTTTTTTTTGAGACAGGGTGTTGCTCTGTCACATCATAGTTCACGGCAACCTTGAACTCCTGGACTCAAGCGATCCTCCTACCTCAGCCTCCTGAGTAGCAGGGACTATAGGTGTGCATCCCCAAGTCTGACTAATTATTTTTTAATTTTTTGTAGACACGGGGTCTCACAATGTTGCCCAGGCTGGTCACAACATGATACAATTCTGAGAGAGAGTTAGCATCTATTTGATTCATCTTAATCAGCAGGTTCTGTACACCCAGCCCCAGGGTTCAAAGTGAGAAAGATGGCAAAGTTGGTTCTGGTTTGACTTCTGTCCTTTCTGGATTCATCTCCTGTCACCACTGAAAAAAAACCAAAGAGGAAAGGATTGTTTTTAGATGCTTGTGCTTGTCCAGAAGTGGTGGATTGAAGCTGAAGCTCTCTTCCTGACCATCAGGTTCCCTCATTTTGTTTCACCTCAAGCTCTGGCCTGCTCCTGTGTGTTACTTGCACAGCAGCTGTCTACTTGAAAGTCTTAAAGTTATTAGCAGTTTCTCTCCTTTCTTTTACCTCACTGTAATTTTATTTCTTAATTTAGAATTGAAAGTATATATTATCCATCTGACATGTGTGCATGGAGCTTGGAGAAATAGAAGATGCATTTCTCTTCATGAAACGTTTGTAATTTATTTGTAGAAACAAGACTTACTGATATAAAAAATTTGGAAAGCATTTGTGAGAGCATCGAATATCAGGTGCAGTGTGAGTTGCTTATTAAACTAAAGAACAACCCTAGCCTGGAGGATGTTAGTGCATTTTCTCAAGGCAGAGATGCCCTGAGACTTGTGGCTGGCTTTGAAGTCAACTCCCTGTGACCTTGGCTGATGGACATTCCCAGGTCTGGCTTCGACATTTTAGTCTGTGACATGGCAAAGTAAAATCATTTTGTCTCGATTTTCCACAGGTCTTAAGAAAATGTGGAAAAATTCATATATTCAAAGATATATTCAAACAGTGCTCTCAGTTTGTTGGAGAAGCTGTTTAAGTTCACATTGACCACAGCGACATTATACTGAACCTGTCTTAGCTTTAAAATTTTCAGTCTTTATGAAAGATAAATCAGTGTTTTGATTTTACAGTTACAATTTTACAGTTACAGTTTTGATTTTACATTACAAAAATCAAACTGAATTATCTAAAAAATGAGATTTTTGTTTATGTTTTCAGTGGCTTTTAGGAAAAACTTAATATATTATGATTAAGTCTTTCATAGGCTATGGTTGCCTTTTTGAAGAAACGTCATGTTTTTAACACAACAGAGCAACCGTGGATACATAGGTATGTGTTCATTGAATCTTTACTATAGAAATGGAGTGTGGTTACTTAACACTTTAAAGACTTGTCTTGACGCCACATTCTTTAGATTTCTGATATTTCATCATGCTCATTGATGTAATTTTACTGTAGCTCTCATGTTTTCTCCTACTTTGTTAAACAGCATTTCCTGGAATTTGGAATGCCATTTTTCTTGGCACTTCAGTGGGCAGCTTATGCACTCAAGGCATCACCTAAGTACCAGCAACACATTCTTGACTGAATAATGATGTATGTGGAATGTTACTTTTTTTGCCTTATAAATGGATAGCAATTTACACAGCTGTGGATGTGGGATGTTTCAATCCCAGACCATGTTGTAAGAAAAATTGAATGACAGTGAGCAAAACAGCAGTAATTATAAAACTAATTACTAAATGCTGATGATGCCCATAGGCTTTGCATAACTAAAATTAGAAAAGGAAATTGCTTTCGGCTTCAGAGAGGCAACATGCTAGTTATTTCACTGTTTCAGTCAAAATGGAGGGTAGTATATAAAGTTCAATCAGGAAAATACATGCATACGTATATATCTATAGATTTGCATATACATATATTTTTCTATGTTGAAATGTTATTCACTCTATATTACAATTTTATTTATAGAACTTAATGCACAGGTATTTACATAAAGAAGATAAGTATATTAAAATATTTGAATGCAGTATATAAACTATGCATTTTTGCATATGCTATAATTATAACATTAAAATGAATATATTTACAATATATTTATATATATTTAGTTTTTCTCATGTACATTTTCACAAGCAAAATGTATACATTTCCGCTTTTGCATAAAGAACCCAATCTTAGGAATTCGTAGCACATTTTTCAAAAAGAATTATTTAAAAAATTAAAACATTGATTGGCTCAGAAAAAATGAACTAACGTGTTTTGGGAAGGCAAATGATTGATAAATTCAAAGTCTATGAGGCATACCTTTGTTCATGCTCAGTTTGGAGCTAAGAAATACATGACATTAACTCCAAAGAAGTCACTAAGATCGTAAACATATTACCTGCAGACCCCAGACAGTTATAGGATTATAAATGTTAGAGCTGATATTGATAATCTTCAAATAGGAAGTACTAGGATAATGAATTCTGTTAATATGCATGTAAATGGAAAATGATTTAACAAGTTTTAAAATGCGGTCATTTTTATTGAAAGCATATCCTTGTTCTTTACAATTAGTTGGTTTCTATTTCCATTCTCTCTGTAGTCCCACAGACAAATGTTGTAAACTCTTCTGAATAAACTATTGCTGGTTATGTTTAAGTTTCAGATTAAGTAGATCATGGATCAGGAAGATGAATCATTGTTGATACAGAGGAAAAATACCTATTTACAAATTTGAGTAGTTTGAATGACCTAGTATAATGTTTTATTTAATTTTCTGCTGCATGTTGTTTTAGAAGTCTTAAGAAATTAAAATGGCAAAAGACGATACTGTCTGTAGATGTCTATTATTGAAATGAAAACCAAGTTTAATTGAATCAAGGCTGTAAGGAAATTCTTCTTGTAACTTTTACCTAGTGGGGCAGTACAATGAGTTAGTTCTTCCCATTTGTGGTAGTGAATTTAGTAATTAGTTCTTTTACCAAGGCAAATGGTCTAATAATGGAGGAATAAATCACAGAATGCCATATAAAATGAATATGGAAAGTCTTGCGCCGTGTGGAATGTCTGGTAATTTAGTCAGCTGAAACTAATATGTGTACAAGTTGAGGCAAATTCTCCACTTCTGCAAGTATACAAGGTACTAAGAGTTAAAACAAATCACTGCTGCTTATCAGTTGTCCTTCACATTTGAGGTTATGTCAGTCATAAAAAATAAGTATGTGATCAAGACTTCAACAGGCTTCGAGTGAGCTAAAATGAAACCAGCATGTTTATGTCATTTTTTCAATGGCACATATTTGGCCTCACATTTATTAGCTTCCAATTTGTTCTCCTGGGGGTCTGAGGGGAGAGGAGGTAAGAGGACTTCTCAGTGTATTAGTGCTGAGAAACATTGGTTTTCTTTTAGTTAAGTGATAAAGGGGAGTTTCAGGGGAAAAAGGGATGAGCAAGTGGAAGAGAGGTGTGTACTTATAGAAAACCACTTCATCCAACAGATAATTACTGAGGATTTAATATGTGCCAGGCTTACAAACATCTTGAAAGGAAACAAACTTGGCACTAAGTGATGTTTGAATTCAAAATTTTGTTATTTAATCTGTGAATCAAATTTTAGTAGAAGACAGATAACAAAACAGTTTTTTCAAGGATCTTTATTCAAAATTCATTGTCATTTGACTCATTAAGGCAACTCACAGTGGCCTGTGGGGTACTGTTTTTATCCATCAGTACCAGGAAGAAAGCCTTGCTCACAGACAAGATCATTTTCTACAAATTTTCTGTCATGTTTCACCTTGGTAATCTCCATCTCTTGTGTGCAAAAAGAAACAATTTATTTTCAACACTTGAGGGATATAGAACATCTGACTGCTGTCATAACCTATCGTTTTTAACATAAACATTATAGCTGCATTTGCCTTGAAATATTTGCCCATTATTGCATAAATCTGAGCCATGTACAGAAGTGTCACCTTGTGCTCTCCAGCATCAAAATGGAGACCTATTGCCTAGAAAGTGCAATTTGCTCCCTTCACATACATTTACTTCAACAAAATTAGAAATAGTTTTTTTTTCATAATTGAGTTAAACAGTGCAGTAACCGAAGAAAAACTTATGAGAGAATGCACTGCTTTTAACCATAGGAGTAGAACCCCTCAAATGTGGCTAAGGGCCTACTATATTTTCCTTTATCAAAAGATGGTTGATTGCTTAATGGTCAAAGCACTACTAAATAGCCTATTCCACTTTACTAGAGAAAATGTGCTTTACATCAGTTGCACAATGTAATTCTTTCTATTATGTTGGTGGAATTGTTTTACCTTGCATGGAAGGATGCATGTAAGAGAGAGGATGATTTGATAATCTTTTGCAATATATAAGATTTCTAAAATATATTATTCATAGGATTCTGTTAGTTCACTTACAAAGCTGGAGCCCTTTGCAGTGTACTCTGATCATTCACTTACAGAATGCCATAGTTTACTACTCAACATATCTGGTTTAAAACCAAAATAAATGTTTATATTAAGCTAATTCCTGGCTCCATTTTGGGTCCCTACTCTTATTTTTCTTTTTCTTTTTAATATATTTCAATTTTATATTTCATGTACCTCTCTAAGCTGTATTAAATAATAATTGGACTCTTTGTCTAATTTCATTACATGAAATAAAGCCTTCTTTTTGTGTTGATAGCCTTGTCTGTGAACGTTTAATTCATCATCAAGCTAAAATAAACATTTACTGTAACATATATTATTTTGTATTTTTCTTCTGGTTAGTACTCTTCTTTAATAAACTCTGATTCACTGTTGGAGAAGCCAAAGGAACATTTGTTGTTTCCCATGCTCTGCTTTTTCCTCTCTTGAGAGACCACATCGCTCCCTTTCATTATTGCCATTATTTTGAACTGTTTTACAGCTGGTTCCTAGTCTGACATCATTTTGTAATCTTTAAAATGTAGTTTTTAAGCACCTCTTAGGGACTTAATATTTCTACTCTGTTACAGCCTTTTAATTTACTGATCAGCTGCCATTTTAAAAGTTTTTTCTGTAGGTTTGGCCTCTGCAGCCTTCTTTGTGTTCTTTTTCATTTTTATACTAATAATTACAACACTTCCCAATTAATTGCCATTTGTGAATATAATTGATGTGTTTCCTCCCTCTCCAGACCACTAATGAAGATGTTAAATAAGTCTTAGCATGAGGCTAACCTCAGC
Source organism: Homo sapiens (assembly GCF_000001405.40). Lineage (NCBI taxonomy): Eukaryota > Metazoa > Chordata > Mammalia > Primates > Hominidae > Homo > Homo sapiens. The sequence continues at coordinate 33,241,015 of NC_000014.9, forward strand.
AGAATTCCCTTGGACCACTGGCATATTAGAGTTTACCATAGCTCTATTTATTTTCTCTTCTTTTAAGAGTGCTTCTGGTTGAGACATTTTAATTCATTTTCTAGTATTTCACAATAGTGAAGCTCTGCATGAAGTGTCTGTCTAGATATACTATGCCTGGTGAACTCTGATTTTCTGAAAACTAAGGCTATTGATTTACTTAGGTGTCCTAGAATCTTAGAAGCATTTTTTGCATTCTAGACAGTGAAAACAAAAAGCTTTTGTAAATGTAATGTGTGAGATATTATCACTATAAGATAAATTCAACTGATTTTTTCTTGTTTTGCAGTATTGGCACAAGGGAGCGCATCAAAGGTGTTTAACACAAACTATGTAGCTGTCTTAGAAGAGAGCATGCCTCCATTTCAGCCCAACAATATTGGGTCCACTTTCTCTATGATCAGAATATTACAAAGGGAGTGGAGAATAATTTATATCAGAGGTTCTGTGACGGAATGAAATGGAGCCCTTTTGAAGTATGATCTCTGAAAGCACAGCATGAAGCTCAAATAAAGTGAAGGACATTTTGCTATTACAAGTAATGTCCTTAATAATCTTGTTAGTCTAGTCTCCCTCTGTACGAGACAAATGGAACATTATTGGCTTATGGGCTGTAGTAAATAATTTAGTTTCCAATATTCAGGCTGCTTTGACAGTAAATTAAAATGACATGAAAGGAGCTTGTTGAATAAAGAAAGTATCCAATCAAATTTAATTGGCATGACTAAGGCAGTAGAAATATGTTTTATAATTAAACCATGTTGTCTTGGAGCTTTATAAGCATGTATGAATCAAAATGTCAAAAATTATTCTTTGATACTGTGCATTTAAAACTTTGCATGGTGAATAGTTTCCTTAAACAAGCTTCTAGACATGCATATTGATGTAACATGAAAATAGTTTCATGTTTTAAATAATAAGTGATAAACTTACTTCTTCATTTGTAAACCCTTGTAAGTAGCAATTCTGATAACAGGCCACTTAGAAGTCTCCCTTATAAAAATTTTGTTTTCCAACTGATATACTAATAATTCAGAGAAGGTTATGATTTTTATTTTGGCTATCTTATGATTCTTCAGTGCTCAACCTTTTGGTGAAGAAAAATAAGTCGCAAACTCACTGAGCAGAATAAAGAATAGAGAAAGAATAGTATTGAGAATAAAAAACAAATAATGCAAGATGTATTTTGGTTTATAGTTCCCTTCTCAAATTCAAGATGAATTAGATTTTCTACATTTGACAGTAGACGTGTCAAGTACCCTTCTGCTATAAAAGTCAGGAAGCCATGGGAATTTCAGATTTTTGTATGACCACCTGTCCCGTTTTTTCCCTTCCCTGAAAGTGGTACATAAGTAAGTGCCCATTTGTAATAAAATTTCTAATGACAGTCTTTCCACAACTTAGCTGGAAAATATATGGTGGTGTCTGAGTCTGCAGAGGTTGCTTATAAAAACAGAAATGAGCTTAGTGAATCATTTTTCATTCATAGCCTTTTCAAATGTCTTAGTCAGAGTAAGCTAAAGATTAGAGAAGGTAAGCGAGAAGAGAGGTTCAGATGCGTCAACATTATTCAAACTATGAAGATCATATGTGGCTTTTTCTTAGAGATTTGGGTATTATTATTTTCTAATCTCTTGATAGCTTTTCAGTTCAGGGAAGATTTTTCATGAATAGTCACTCTCTTTTCTTGATTAGACCCAAATGCAATAGCTTCTTCAGAGATAATATGGTTTGTGCTTACATTGCTCCAAGATAAATCTAAGACAATATGCTACAAATTCATTGTATTGCTCTTCATGAAGTGCTATAGCATTAGATGATGTGGAAATGCATAAAATATTTTCTTTGAGTAAAAAATGTTAAAAACGAGTGGCCCTTAAAGTCTGCCCTCTCTACAGTCTATATTTGAAGGCTTTTAAACCTAAAGTACATTTTTATTAAAATTCTGGCCTAGGAACAAATTAAGGGGACTGTTTTTTAAAAATCATTTTTTCCTTAATGTTTATCCAGTAACCTCCATATGCGTGCAAGTTACAGAGAAAGGTTAAGTTTTAATTGTTTTCTGTTGTTTGGTTTTTATTTTAAATATATATCTAGCAAAAATTATTACTAACATAATATTTTATGTACCATTGTGACCTGAAAGGATAAAAATAAATGAATAACTTTATAATGGAAGCAGAAAAGCCTCATCAGAGAAAGTTTCTGGAGAGAATAATGCAAACTGGGATATCTATCTCTTTACATATAATCACTATATCTGAGAATGCCATTCTGTCTTGTTAATCCTAAGTAATGTATATCAAGACTTTTTTTTTTGAATACCTACTCCAGTGGTTCTCACACTTCAGCATGCATCAGAATCATCTGGAGGTCTTGATAAAACATTGCTAGACCCCTCTTCCAGCATTTCTGATTCAGTAAGTCTATGGTGGGGTCCAATAATTTGCATTTTATCTAGTTCCCAGGTGATACTGCTGCTGCTGGGGGGAAACACTCTGAGAACCATTCACTCATATTATCAACAGCCAATTATTAATCTCCTCCTGTGGGCTAAGAACTTGTCTGTGTCTGCTGCCTGGATGCTGAAGGTCTGTTCCAGGGAAAGCTAGCACAGAACATAGACATTTAAGAAGAACAAAGATGCTACCTTTGGCATTGGCCTAGAGCACCATGGCAGTTCATGGCAAAACACATAAGCCAGCTCTACCAATTAAAAAAAAAAAAGTACAAGCTGAAGGCTGAAGGATGAGTAAGAGCTTCCCAGGAGAAATGGAAGGAGGAAAAACAGATATTTTGGTGACAATTTGTATTTTTATTTAGTGTCAGTATTAGTCTGAAACATCATTAATGTTCTCTAAAGGGAAAAATTACTATTGCTTTTAAAACTTTGACTGACCAATTGATGTTTAGAAAGGAATAAAATAATGTGAAAGCTTCTTTTTCTAGAAGGCTTCCCAGCCCAACTCATTTCAGTTCTGTGCACATAGCTTTGTTTGATTTCCTATACATGTTGGGTGTCTTTTGCACTAGGCCTACTATTTGGAAAATCTAACTTTCAATTTTATTGATATCTACATTTGTTAAAAAAAAAAAAAACTATGCACCAAAGCACAATATTAGGATTTTCACCATTTTTGGTTGGTTCCCATTGTTATAATTTGCATTTTACTTCCCAGTTACATGGAGACTTATATCTTCTACTTCTTCCAAGCTTATAGAGAATACCCAATAAATGTTTTAGAAATTAAAAAATTATTTTCTGTTTTTAAGTAGTTACTTAATTGAATTGCATTTATTTACTTTATCAGTCTTTTGAGTTGATCTAGCTCTGAAAGCAGTTGGGCATTTGGAACTATATGATGCTTCTAGGAATAAAGATTTTGAGATGATAGTGGTACATAAACACTTGTGGCTTCTGCTATCTTGGACCTTATATCTTATGGATGTAATGTAAGTTAAAAAAAAAAAACATATTTATCTGCAAATTTTTTTGGTAGCTTGCTTTCTTTTAATTTTGTCTCCTACAAACTCTAAAATATATTATTTTCATTTTACAGATGAAACAGGCCAAGACAGGCTAAACATGAGGCTAAATGGCCTCTAAGTGGTACAGTCAGTATTATAATACTCTTTTGACCGGTTCTCTACTCTTTCTTCTATACCACTTTACCAGAGCCTTTAATTATTTATGCTTGCCCAACCTGGAATGCCAAAAGCTAAAACCCCAACTCAGCAAGGCATGAGTAAAGGCCACCCCATAGGTGTCAACTTGAGTGGTCGTGCCTTCCTTGCATTGTTTTCTTCTGACCTTGTCTTTGCACTTGATTTTGGGACAAGTGGTTTTCCTCTAGGCCAGTAGTTTTAAACTTCTTTTCTTGTTTAGTCTGATAATATTTTATCTTGACAACAAATACACATACAAACAAATACACAGAAGGCTATTTGAAAACCATAGCTCTAGGCCTTGGTTCCTCACCCTGGCAGTTCTCCTGATGTAGCTGAAGGCTTTTATGGGAAGGATATAGACTCCTTTTCATAAAAGCAGGTGGTATGAGTGGGGCTATAGATGATACATTTTTAAAATATGATTAAAATATATTTTTAGTCATATTAAAATCATATATAGATGCCCTAGTTATACCACCTGATTCAAAACATTCATTGAATATCTGTTAGACAGTTGTGATGATCAACCTCATTGGAGAATAATAATAACTACTACTACTGAGTATTTCTGTGTGCCAGGTTCTATTAAGTGCACTTCATGGATTATCTCATCTAATCCTCACAATACAGAATTAACCAGTTAGAAGAACCACAATTCAAACCCAGATAATCTATCTCCAGATCCAAAGCCCTTAACTTATATGACGTAGGGTTCTGTCCTAACTTCTCTCTTCTCCCCTCAATCAGATAGGTGCTTCCTGGTTCTGAAATAGGGGGTATCTGTTGACAAGATATTAGATTCCTTTAAAGTAGCCTATTAAAAAGTAGGTTATTTTTAAATGATTGATAATACATATTTATACCAGGAGTAAATTACCAGATAGGAATATGAAATGGATATGCTCTATCCACCCTGTTATTCACAAGAAATATTCTCAAGTACAATAGTAAGAAGAAGTTCCAAACCAGATTTAACATTTCACAGAGTTAAACACACTGTGTTGAGGACCTATTACAGTTTACTCTAATACATGTTTGGGTTGTCTGTCAAACATTTCCTGACACTGTATTAGTGAGAAAGTCCAAAACTATCTCATACTATGGTGAATTAAAAAAAATAGTTAGACGAGTCACAACTTTAAGTGTTACAATGTACAATATCAATACCAAATCATATTTTAATTTTTTGTTAGCAATAGGTGTTTTTTTTTTTTTTAGCTGGCTCACCAACTTCCATGATCCTTAAAAACAAAGTCTTGCTTTTTAGTTGCTGCTTTTTCTCCCTTCAACAACTTTATAGTTGGCAGTGAGGACATGGATATGGAAGTCACCTGACTTGAGGTCAGAGCTTGGCTTTGCCAGTAACCAGCTGTGTAACCTCGGGTAAGTTTATGATATGCCTCGAGCCTCAATTTCCGTCTCTGTGTCACTGAGACTGTTAGCGCCCACCTCATAAGGTCATGGTGCAGACAGCATGAGATAAGCTGAGTGGGAGCAGCAGCCCAGTGCCCAGTCCTGTTAAGAACTAAGTGCTCGGCCAGGTGCGGTGGCTCACGCCTCTAATCCCAGCACTTTGGGAGGCCGAGGCGGGCGGATCACGAGGTCAGGAGATCCAGACCATCCTGGCTAACACGGTGAAACCCCGTCTCTACTAAAAATATAAAAAATTAGCCGGGCATGGTGGCGGGCACGTGTAGTCCCAGCTACTTGGGAGGCTGAGGCAGGAGAATGGCGTGAACCCCGGGGGACGGAGCCTGCAGTGAGCCGAGATCGCGCCACTGCACTCCAGCCTGGGCAACAGCGAGACTTCATCTCAAAAAAAAAAAAAAAAAAAAGAAGAACTAAGTGCTCACTTGTTCCTTTCCTATCTTCAGAGCTTTGATTCTAATTAGAAGAGTATCTACTTTGAAGTTGGTCTGACAAAGTTCTAGTCTTTGGAAGAGAATGTGTTGTTCCTAATCTAAGCTTTCCTAATGAAATAGTAGGCAGGCCGGGCATGGTGGCTCAGGTCTGTAATCCCAGCACTCTGGGAGCCCAAGGCGGGTGGATCACCTGAGGATCAGGAGTTCGAGACCAGGCTGGCCAACATGGTGAAACCTCATCTCTATTAAAAATACAAAAAAAAAAAAAAAAAAAAAAAAAAAAGCTGGGCATGGTGGTGGGTGCCTGTAATCCCAGCTACTTGGGAGGCTGAGGCAGGAGAATTGCTTGAACCTGGGAGGCAGATGTTGCAGTAAGCCAAGACCATGTTATTGCGCTCCCACCTGGGTGACAGAGCAATACCCTGTTTCAACAAACAAACAAACAAACAAAAAAGAGAAAGAAAGAAAGAAAAAGAGATAGTAGGCAAAGACAGAACTTCCTAGCACTGTATTTGTGCAAACTTCCTTACATTCTAAAGTAGAATGTACTTTAAAAGAGAGTACTTTAATGTACATTCTATCTTAGAATATACATTCTAAAGTACTCTCCCCATTATTACCTGTGTTAATGTGATATTATCTTTTGCATTTAATTTTAATTTTTTTAGCATTGTAAATACCATTTCAGATAAAAGATTTTCTGATTTTGACTCTTTGGGGAAACCAGCTAAGCCTTTCAGTACCTCAAATAGCTGATTATGAATAGACGGTATTGCCTTTTGTTTTACATTACTTTTTTTCTGATGAAATTTTTTAGAAATATTCAGAATTGCCTTTTTCCTTTACTTGAATATGAGGAGAAGGCTTTGGGCTGATTTTGAAATAGAGACTGGTTGCCTTAAAAACTGCCACAGTGGAAGCCCTTTATGATCCTGGCGGTGCATGTGCAAGGACAGCGGGGCATTGTGCATTCGTGTAGGCTTTTCTTGTAAATTCTTGCTACTTTTTGGTAAAATTCACTACAAGTTGGTCAAATGACCACACTTTATTGTGTATTTGTCACAATTTCCACATAAAAAGTCATATTCAGATTGGAAATTAAGCAGTTTAACTTCAAACATAACCTTCCATAATTTGTTTTAAGAAGTCCTCATGTCGAAAAGATAGAATTACTTTAAATTAAAACCTATTTGCTAATAGCACTTTTTTATTTTTTAGAAATCATCCTTAGTAGTGAAGTGTGGGTTACAAGATGAAAACTATAGAGAATATACATTCACCCTAGTCTTTGCTCTCAGATTCATTATAGACCTGGAAAGACAAGCACCCCAAACCCAGGAGGGCAGTGTTTGCAGAATCCAGAGTGTTTAAAAAGTGAATTCTATTTTCACGGTATAGTTTAGCTAACTAGACAACTTCTGTCATGGCAAAATTGTGATGAAGGCTAAGTTCAATCCATGCAGGGCAAGATGCATGAGCTACAATGTGTGAA